>NC_000011.10:63009922-63312952 GCF_000001405.40 Homo sapiens | reverse complement strand
TGTATGTTGCCTCAGGACCCTGTGATGGTTGCATTAACTGCACAAGTTGTAGAGTACGTGTGTTTGAACTATATGAAATCTGGGCACCTTGAAAAAAGAACAGGATAACAGCAATGTTCAGGGAACAAGAGAGATAACCTTAAATTTTGACTGCTGTTGAGCCAGGCAGAACAGAGCCATATTTCTCTTCTTTTGAAAGCAAATGGGAGAAATATCGCTGAATTCTTTTTCTCAGCAAGGAACATCCCTGAGAAAGAGAACGCGCACCTGAGGGTGGGCCTCTAAAATGGCCCCCTTGGGTGTGACCATCTTCTATGGTTGAGACTGTAGGGATGAAATAAGCCCCAGTCTTCCATAGCGCTCCCAGGCTTATTAGGATAATGAAATTCCCGCCTAGTAAATTTTGGTCAGATCAGTTGCTCTCAAACCCTGTCTCCTGAGAAGATATTATCAATGACAATGGTGCCTGAAACTTCATTAGCAATTTTAATTTCACCCGTCTTGTGGTCCTGTGATCTCGCCCTGCCTCCATTTGCCTTGTGATATTCTATTACCTTGTGAAGTACATGATCTCTGTGACCCACACCCTATTCGAACACTCCCTCCTGTTTTGAAAATCCCTAATAAAACCTTGCTGGTTTTATGGCTCAGGGGACATCATGGAACCTACCGACATGTGACGTCTCCCCCAGATGCCCAGCTTTGAAATTTCTCTCTTTTGTACTCCGTCCCTTTATTTCTCAAACTGGTCGATGCTTTGGGAAAGTAGAAAAGAACCTATGTGAAATATCGGGGGTGAATTTTGCCCGACATCTGGCTGAATTTCCCCCGACACCTCACCACCAGTTGTTTGTTTGTTTGAGCACCAATAAATAGCATGGGCTCCCAGAGCTTGGGGCCTTCGCAGCCTCCACACTTGTGATGGCCCCCGGTCCCACTTTCTCTCTCAAATTGTCTTTTTCTCATTCCTTTGACTCCGCCAGACTTCATCGCCCCGACGACCTGGCGTTGGGTCTGATCACCCCAACATTCAGTGTATCTTCACCCACTCTGAGAATCATTAGCACTTAAAATCTTTGCTGTTTAAAATGAAAGTTTATATTTTGGTTATATAGGTTTGCCTGAAATTACTTTACTACTATATGTACTTTCATTTATTAGTCACATCATTTGAAATATAATTTTTTAATTTATAGTTATTTTATTAAATGTACATACAGTTTGAAAATTGCTGAACCTGGCCTTTGCCCTTCAATTTGAACAATATCTTTATAATATTGTAAACTATACCAGCTATTTGTTTAAAATATACAGAGAGAAAAATTACAAAGAAAAAGTAATTAAAATTCCACCATGGAAAAGTAACTAACATCATTTAGTGACTGTATTTACAAAGAGATAGTCAATGTTATTTAGTATCTAATCTTTCCGTTTTCCAATGGCTTATTATGTCAAAAGTATCATGTATTAAATGCATTTATATAGGTCTCTATTTCTGGATTTATTTTGATTTCTGGTTGCATGTACAGTATTGTTTTGACTTTTGCAACTTTATGAATTCATCACATGGTGCTTCATACACCAGCCAGCCACATCCTAATTCTGTGATTT
The DNA here is from genome assembly GCF_000001405.40 of Homo sapiens. Classification (NCBI taxonomy): domain Eukaryota; kingdom Metazoa; phylum Chordata; class Mammalia; order Primates; family Hominidae; genus Homo; species Homo sapiens. The sequence goes on along the minus strand of NC_000011.10, from coordinate 63,311,341 downwards.
TCTTTTGTTTCTGAATCATCTTATCTACTAGTAATTTATTGATAAATTTGTAACTTTTTAAAGGACTTCCCAAAAATATCAGATTGCTCAAGAGATTACATGTCCCCACAAGTTAATTTTGAAATAAAATGCAAATTAATGCCATAATTATAATTGAGATTCATGTATCTAATATATGTTCTTGCTGGTTGTAGGGAAAAAAACCCTTCTGGTGTGTTCTTTTCCTGTATTTTTTTTTCTGAATTTCCCCACCAATCAGCTCATGAAGGCTTCTTAAAATTTGGTCACTTTTGTGTAGCAATCATTTTTATGCCTTTTCCTTGAGATTTTTTTTTCTGGAAAAACAAAACAAAACAGAAACAATAAATTGAAAAAGAACAAACAAAAACAAACGTTCAGAAAAAATCAAAATTACTTTGTATGTCCTCTATGCACCATTGCAAGCTGAACCTCTGACCATCAGCATTTATTTATTTATTTTTTAACTTTATTTTAGGTTTAGGGGTATATGTGCAGGATTGTTATATAGCAAACAGTGTGTCACAGGGGTTTTGTGTACATATTATTTAGTTACCCAGGTAATAAGCATAGTACTCCATAGGTTTTTTTTAATCCTTTCCCTCCTCCCAATCACCACCCTCAAGTAGGCCCCAGCATCTGTAGTTCTTTGTGTCCATGTGTTTTTGTAGTTTAGCTCCCACTTATAAGTGAGAACATATGGTATTTGGTTTTCTGTTCCTGCATTAGTTTGCCTAGAATAATGTTTTCCAGCTCCACCCATGTTGCTGCAAAGGACATGTTTTTTTTTATGGCTGCATGGTATTCCATGGTATATATGTACCACATTTTCTTTATCCAGTCTACTGTTGACGGACACTTAGGTTTGTTCCATGTCTTTGCTATTGTGAATAGTGCTGCAATAGACAAACATGTGCATGTGTCTTTATAGTAGAATGAATTATATTCCTTTGAGTATATACCCAAAAATGGGATTACACCATCAGCTATTTATAAGTCAGTATTTCTAGCGAATCACACTCACTCTGTAAAAGGTCCTGCTGCCTGTGCAGATCCAAAGGGAGTTTTGAAAATTGCTACTCTCACTTGGTCTTTTTAGACCTGTGGTAAATGGCATCTTTGAAAGTTAAGGGGTGAATTAAAAAATTTAAGAAATCTCACCATTAATTATGGGTTACATTGTGTCCCCCCACCAAAGAAAATTTATATGTTGAAGTCTTAACTCTAAATACCTCAGAATGTGACATTATTCAGAAACAGTGTTGTTGCACATGTTACTAGTTAAGGCAAGGTCATATTGGAGTAGAGTGGGACCCCTCACTCAATATGACTGGTGCCCTTATAAAAAAGGAGGAATTTGAGGCCAGACGTGGTGGCTCATGCCTATCATCCCAGCACTTTGGGAGGCCAAGACAGGTGGATCACCTGAGGTCAGGAGTTCAAGACCAGGCTGATTAACATGATGAAACCCTGTCTATACAAAAATACAAAAACTAGCCTGACATGATGGTGGGTGCCTGTAATCCCAGCTACTTGGGAGGCTGAGATGGGAGAATAGTTTGAATCCAGGAGGCAGAGGTTGCACTCCAGCCTGGGTGACAGAGCGAGACTCTATCTAAAAAAAAAAAAATAGTTGGGGGAAATTTGAATGTAGAGACACACACGTGGGGAAAAATGCCATGTGAAGATTACAGTTGGGAAACTATACCCAAGGATCTACCAGAAGTGAGAAGAGGTGTCTGGAATAGATTCTTCCCTACAGACTTCAGTGAGGTCAAGTCCTTTTCAATAAATTGATCTCAGACTTCTAGCTTCCAGAACTGTGAGACAATAAATTTCTTTTCTTAAGTGCCTAAGTTTGTGATATCTTGTTATGAAAGACATAAGAAGTGAATATGCTATTTTTATTATTTTAACATTATTTCTTGTCACCAATCAAATTAAACCCAAACAAGAATATCCCAAGAAAAATTATAATAAACTCTCAAAGAGCAGACAAATAGAGCGTCCTGAAAGCACCAAGAAAAAAAGAAGCAAATAATATATAAGGGAGATCCAATATGCCTGGAAGCAGACTTGTAGCTGAAAATGTGCAGGCCAGAAAGGATTGAGATGATATATGCAGAATGCTGAAGGAAAAAAAAAAAGACTGCTGTCCAAGAATACTCTACCCAGAAAAGCTATATTTCAGAAATGAGTTGAGATAAAAAGACTTTCCCAGGCAAAAAAAAAAAATGCTGAGGGAATTCATCACTATCTCCTACAAGAAATGCTAAATGGAGTTTTTTGAACTTAAAGAAAAGGGCATTAATGTGATTGTTACTCTAGTACTGTAATTGTGGCATGTAAACCACTTACTTATATCTTTAGTATGAAAACTAAAAAAAACCTATCAAAAATAATAACTACAATAATTTGTTAAGAGGTGGGCAAAATAAAAGTGTAAATCATGACAAAAATCAAAACGTGGAAGGAGAGTTGAATTGTACCAGATTATTCTGTTTCTTCTCTTTTCTTTGTGATCAGTGTCAAGTTGCTATCATTTAAAATAACTTGTTATAATTATATAATTTTGTATAAGCCTTGTGGTAACTGCAAAGCAAAAACCTATAATAGATATGCTAAAATTAAAACACAAAGAATCAAAATATACTACTAGAGAAAACCACAAATAAAAACTGTAAAAGTGAAAGCAGGGGAAAAAAATGTACAAAACAAGTAGAAAATCGGTAACAAAATGGCAGTGTTAAGCCCTTACCTATTAATAATTACCTTGAATGTAAATGGACTAAATTCTGCAATTAAAGACGTAGAATGATTGAATGGATTTTTTTTAACTTAATTATATGCTGCCTATAAGAGACTCATTTCAACTATAAGGACACACGTAGACTTGAATTGAACAAAAGGAAAAAGTATTTCATGCAAATGAAAACTAAAAAAGACTAGGAGTAGCTATGCTTATATCAGATAAAATAAACATTATGGTCTTGTTTCTTTTTGCAGTTTTTTTTTTTTTTTGCCAGAAACTGCAAAAAGAGATAAGACCATATATAATACTTAAGGGGTCAATACAGCAATAGGATAAAACAATTATAAATATATATGCCCCAACATCAGAGCACCTAAATATATGGAGCAAATATTAATAGACCTAAATGGAGTGATAGTCTGCATAAAATAATAATAGGAGACTTTCAGCAATGGACAGATCATCCAGATAGAAAATCAACAAAGAAATATTAAAATTAAATCACATCCTAGATCCAACATTTACAGAACATTTCATCCAACAGCTACACAAGACAAATTCTTCTCAGAAGCACACAGAACATTTTTCAGGTTAAATCCTATGTTAGGCCACAAAACAAAACTCAACAATTTTTTTTAAAATCAAAATAATTTCAAATATCTTTTCTGATCACAATGCAATAGAACTAGAAATTAGTAACAGAAAGAAAGAACTTTGGAAAACTTACAAATACATGGAAATTAAACAACATGCTCCTAAACAGTCATTGGGTGAATGAAGAAATAAAAACAAAATTTAAAAATTTCCTGAGACAAAAGAAAATGGAAACACAACATACCAAAACCTATGGGATACAGCAAAAGCCATTCTAAGAGGGAAGTTTATAGCATTAAATATCTACATCAAAAAAATTTAAAGATCTCAAATAAACAACCTGATATTAAACCTAAAGGAACTAGAAAAACAAAAACAAACTAAAACCAAAATTAGTAGAAGGAAATAATAAATATCAGAGCAAAAATAAATAAAAAAGACAAAAATACAAAAGATTAGGAAAATTTGTTTGTTTTTTGAAAAGACAAACAACATCAACAAGCCTTAGCCAGACTAAGAAAAAAGAGAGATGACTCAAATAAAATTAGAGATGGCAGAGGAGACATCACCACTGATATCACAAAAAGGATCCTTAGAGACTGTTATGAACAAATACAAACCAAAAAATTAAAAAACAGAAAAAAAAAACAAACAGAAAAATCCCTAGACACATACAAACCTACTAAGACTGAATCATGGAGAAGTAGAAAACCTCAACAGGCCAATAAAAAGATAAGGAAATTGAATCAATAATAAAAAGTCTCCCATTAAAGAAAAGCCCAGGACTTGATGCCTTCACAGGTGAATTCTACTAAACATTTAAAGAAGGAATTCTAAAATAGCAAAAATATACAAATGGAATTATATCAAACTAAAGAGGCTTTATGCCGCAAAGAAAACAATCAATGAAGTGAAGAGACAGCCTGCAGAGTGAAATAAAATATTCACAAACTACGCGTCTAACAAGGGACTAATAACTAAAACACAAGAGGAGCTCAAGAGTAAAAAACAAAGTGTGATTTGAAAATGGGCAAAAGATCTGAATAGACATTTCATAAAAGAAGACACATGAATGCCCAATAGTTATATGAAAAAATACTCAACATCACCAATCATTGATAAAAAACAAATTAAAGCCACAATGAGATGTCATCTCATTCCAATTAGAATGGCTATTACCAAAAAGTCATAAAATAGCAAATGATAGTAAAGATGTAGAGAAAGAGGAATTTATACATGATTGGTAGAAATGCAAATTAGTACAGCCATTATGGAAAACAGTATGAAGGTTCCTCAACAAATGAAAAGTTAACCACCATAATATCCAGCAATCCCACTATTGAGTATATATCCAAAGGAAATGAAATTGGTATGTCAAAGAAATATTTGCATTCCCATGTTTTACAGCACTATTCACCATAGGCAAGATATGGAATTAACCTAAGTGTCCATCAACAGATAAAGTAGATTTTGAAGAGAGAGAGATATATATATACTCAGTGGAATATACTTAATGGAATACAATTTGGCCATAAAAAAGAATGAAATCCTGTCCACTTAACATGGATTATGATGTGTTAATGACAACATGGATTAACCATGTTAAGTGAAATAAGAGAAGCACATGACAAATGCTGCATGATCTCACTCATATGTAGAATCTTTCAAAAGTTGATTTCATAGAAGTTGATAGTAGAATAGTGGTTGTCAGAGGCTAGGGAAGGAAGAAGGTAGGGGGAGATAGGAACAGGTTCATCAACAGGTACAAAGCTACAGTTTGTTAGGAGAAAGAAATTATAGGCTAGGCACGGTACTCACACCTGTAATCCCAGCACTTTGGGAGGCTGAGGCAGGTGGATCACGAGGTCAGGAGATCGAGATCATCCTGGCTAACAGGGCAAAACCCTGTCTCTACTAAAAATACAAAAAATTAGCTGGGCGTGGTGGCGGGCTACTCAGGAGGCTAAGGCAGGAGAATCACTATAATCCGGGAGGCAGAGGTTGCAGTGAGCTGAGATTGTGCCAGTGCACTCCATCCTGGGCAACAGAGTGAGACTCTGTCTAAAAAAAAAAAAATTCTAGTGTTCTATGGCACAGTACGGTGACCATAATTAGCAATAATGTATTATATATTTCAAAAGAGCTATAAGAAAGGATTTGAATGTCCTCACCCCAAAAAATGATGTGTTTAAGATTATAGATATGCTAATTACCATGATTTCTATGTATCAAAACGTCACACTGTTCCCCATAAATATGTGCAATTATTTTGAGTCAATTAAAAACAAAATAAAAGGCCAAGGCAGGGGGATTGCTTGAACACAGGAGTTCAAGACCAGCCTGGGCAACATGGTGAAACCCAATCTCTACTAAAAATACAAAAATTTAGCCATGTGTAGAGGCGTGTGCCAGCTACTCAAGAGGCAGAGGTGGGAGAATCACCTGAGCCCAGGAACTCGAGGCTTCAGTAAGCTGTGATTGCACCACCGCACTTCAGACTGGATGACAGAGGAGACCCCATCTTTAAATATACAAATAAAATGAAACTTTAAAATTAAAAAATAAAAATACTTTTTCCTAGTTTCTTATTTTCTCTATCCTCAAACCTTCTATTACTCATGGCAGCAAGGTTGACTGAATTTCACAGGCAACTAAACAAGAGTTATCTCCTTTACTATCTTTTCAAGGAGGATCTTTAACTCTTTGTGATATTTCTGAACATTCTTCCTTCACTATTTTGTTTCCTTCCCCACCATATCCCAAGCTCTATGAATCCAAGAATCATTAAATACCATCATGAGCGTGTGTCTTTCATGAGGAAAGGTAGTATGTGCCATCACAACATAGCTCATTTTTATCTCTTTATCACTAAAACTACCAATGAGGGTGTCTCTGTACTCTAGAGTTGGAACTCAGAATGGATAGAGCTGGCCCTGCTGCTAATGAAAGGCAATGGCCCAAGTGGAAGTAGCTCAGGAAAGGCTAAGCTTTCACAATAATCTCAAGGATCCACATGGAGTTTTTCATTTCTTATCACGGATATAGAGTACACTGCTTCTCTCAGGACATGGCTAAAAGATTCACTCACTGATTTTCCACATCCTTGATGGTGTCAGGCAAAGGCAGATTCTTGGTTTCTGGTAGGAGGAAGACAATAAGGCCACCAATGATGGGGAAGATTCCATAAATGATCCATGGCAAAGTGGTAAAAAATACCGTTAAGGTCATCAAGAGGGGAGCCAGTGCTGCTCCAATCCTACTAGCCGTTAAATCTATTCCTGAAGCTCTTGCCCTACAGATAAATAACAATACATGATAATCAGAAAAAAAATCTACACATGTAATTTGTGACATATTATTTTGACTTGACTGCAGAAGACAATAAAACACAATCATTAGGTACATGGGCAAACAGCTGCTTTTGAGATTTTCTCTATGATTTTCTAGCTGTTTTTAATCAGGTTCAGTGTGAGTTAAGACTCCTTTTCATCATTTTAAACAGACAGTTACACATGACACCTACGCTGATGAGTGGTCCGAAAGATTAGTGAGATGATACATTAAAATACTGTCTAGCACAGTAGATAGTGCAAAGTCAGCTTGCAATAATCATTGGCCATAATTTTTGTTAGTGTATTATTAGTATTATAAATGATTGCTTTTAAAATAATAAACAGGTCTCAGCTTTATTCCCTCAGTAAGTATTGTTTAGTGGGAAATTCTTATTTTGGGCTCAGGTGGAGCATCTGTATCTCTTATACCTGAGAACAGTGGGGATGAGTTCAATGAAGTGAACAGCAACACTGGAAAAAGTAGCAGCAGAACAGCCGATTCCCAGACATGCCAAAGCCACACGCAGGGTCTGCATTTCTGGCAAAAGGAAGAGACCAGTGAGACTCTGATATCTGGGCCGAAGGAAGCAACATCCACCAAACTTAATTTAAAAACAATCTATCGAGTATTTGCATGTTTGAAAAATACTGTAGAAAACTGAATAGTGCCAGAGAACATCCAGAGGTTGATAAGCTGAGAAATTATCAGCTTAGAATTATCAACATAGGTGGCAAAAAGTGCATAATATTATCTGCATTAATGCAGGAAATCTCTCTGTATATCTAAGATTTTTCAGAGAGGGAGGAGAAACGGTGACTCTAGCAGAAATTTTTTCTTACTTATTCTGTCCAGTATTCGCTATGCCCATTCTATAGAAGGTAGAACCAGCATGTGGACAATTACTGAGGAGTCTGAGACTCAGCACTGTACTTGAGAACTTTACAATTAAAGTGCAGAATTTAAAGGGACCAGCCATCCTAGATTTCCCAGGGATGAAGGGGTTTTAGTGAAGTTAAATTTTTATTGATAAAACCAAGAAAGTCCCAGGTAAATCTGGGTAACTCAGTCAATCTAGTACAGACACAGTATTGTCACGAGTTGGAATTGTACAAGAGACTAATGAAAAAACTCCTTTGTAAGTGGGCAGAGTAGAGAGGCTAGATCCAGAATAATAGGCATAAGGAACCAAGCAATGGAACTTCTGCTTGGGGAAAAATAAATTCAGAATTTGGAAACCATTAAAAGGAAGTTTCAGAGAATGTTTTCTGCCTAATATAGAAAGAAAGAGAATTATAGATTTATAAGATTAGAAAGTGCTCGATGTAAGTCAGGAGATATACATTATTGATAATATTCAGGAAGAGGAATCAAGTTCCCCAATCTATTATGCGGTAAAATACATTCTTGTATTGGGAAGCAGGGAAGGCATAGTGCCTACTAAGGTTCCCCTAATCATTACATACAATCATCATATTAACTTATAAAATAGTCTAACAGGGAGTGAAATAGGCTTTTAATCTGCCTAGTTTATTGTCCCTATCATATATTCTTTCTCTGCTTGTAAACAAAGGATTTCTACTTCGTTAAAGTCAAAAAGGTTTCCCCTAATCAAGGGCTGCATTCATGGTGACTTAACATCACGTCCAAGTGTGGCTACACGGATAGCAGTGAGTAGACTGGTCACTGAAGACATAGTAATGAGGAAGAACCTAGACAGAGCCCACACAAAGGAAGCAATCATATCGTGTCCTCAAATGGGATATAATCGCAAGGCCTAGACATGCCATGCTTGTTATCAAAAGTGTGATTAACCAAAGGGCAAGTGATCAATTGATCTCCTAGAGAAACCGTCAGGAATGAATGTCACCACTATCCAGCTGCTTCCAGAGTTGATGAAGATAAATACACATCTGAGCTGCCCCTGGCTCTTTTCTCAATTATTAGCCAAATTCGTTTTACACGCTCATATTGCTTTGAGGGAATATGTAGCCTTTAAATGGCACTCCTCTTTATTCCTGGTTTTAGGCAAGTGTGACCAATACAATTCCTGAAGAACAAAGAGAAGACATTTTCTTTCCCCCAAAGTCCAGTCTTCTCTCACCTTTGGGCACAAACGTGTTGGCCAAAATGGAAAGGCCCACCAGGAACATGAACAATATCTGGCTTATTCGACGGCCCATATGATTTAGTGTCAAAAGAGCAAGACATCGAACTATGAGAGCGACAGCTCCATAAAGTACCTGCAACAGGAAAATGTTGCTCCCCACATGCTGAAGATTGACCATGGTACCATAAAAAGGTATTGTGTTTGCAAATCTGTGGTGAACAAAATAGAAGAGACACATGTCATAAGGTTTAGAGCCTATGTCCCGCAGTTGATTATCATATTGGCCCAGGCAGTTATTGGTCAGTGTTAAGGAATAAAGGCTCGGTAAAATTTGTAGAGTTCTTTGTTTTAAAGATGGTGATCTTAGAGCTATCATGAATAATTGCATGACATTACATAAGAACAGGACTCCTGTCAGTCATTCTTTTGTCCAAGTTCCCAAGCAGATAGTTGATAATGACAGGGAAACTTAACCTGAATCAGTCATCAAACTCAATGGTATATAAGCATTGAACACAGAAGAATTAAAGCTTGAAAATTAGGGAAATAATTCATTTTCTGAGAGCTGTCAGTATGCTGTAAGTGCTCTCTCTCTTCTCCCCAGTGCTACTACAGTGAAGAACTTTCCCTTTGCTAGAGAGTAAGGCTCCAAAAAGACTACGTGCCTGGCAGCACTGTCTGGGAGCACAGTGTTCTGGTGCCTGACACAATTCCAAGACATTTAAGGTGAGAAACAGTGGCTATCTCCTGAGGGGTCAGAGCAGAGACAGAGAATGTGATGAGTGAATAAGCACACTGTATGGACACAGAGGCAGGGATACATGTGTTTCTCTCATAGACCATCTGTGTGGGCTCTTTCCAAGTAAGAGCTGACCAGGAGCCATTTTAAGTAAAAAAATGACCATTCAACCACTCCACGTCTTTAATTGCAGAATTTAATCCATTAACACTTAAGGTAATTATTGATAGGTAAGGGTTTAACACTGCCATTTTGTTACTTGTTTTCTACTTCTTTTGTAGATTTTTTTTCCCCTTTGTTTCACTTTGACAGTTTTTATTTGTGGTTTTCTCTAGTAGTATCTTTTGGTTCTTTGTGTTTTAATTTTAGCATATCAATTATAGGTTTTTGCTTTGCAGTTACCACAAGGCTTGTAAAAAATGTTATATAGTTATAACAAGTTATTTTAAATGATAACACGTTGACACTGATCGCAAAGAAAAGAGAAGAAACAAACAAACAAAAAAATCTGGTACAATTCAATGCAGAGGATGCCTGAGGAGGATGTTTCTCACTAAAGAGGTTCATATCTCATTCCCCAGAGCTAAGAAAAAGTGTCAGAATCCAGGCAAACAAACCTACACCAACTTCACCATAGGAAATAAAATCAGAGGTTCCTACCGAGGATCTTCAATATACCCAGAAAGCATCTACAGAGAACTAGTCCACATTAATGATCTACCACACCCAGAAAGAGCTAGCTTTAGACATTATGGCAGAAGAAACTACCATAGATCATAGCAATTCCAAGCAAGTAAGTCCTTTTCTGACCACTATCTCTACTTTTTTGACCCACTCTGACTGTCTAGGATTCAGAAGCCAGAGTCTGTAATGTAGTGGATAGGGGAAAAGTGATAAAGCACAATGCAATTAAATGAAGTAGCCACCTATAGGATATGCCTAGGAAGAGGTAAACTGTATAATTTAATAGTACTGTCTTCAGCTTGGAAGTGGACATACGCTCTCCTGTAACACTTTTTATAAGTTTTCAAAAATTTAGAATTATATTTAAAATTTTTCCTACTGACACTACCAAAGTAAGTACTTACATGTCCCCAAGAGACAATGTACAAGCTTGCCTACAGAAGCCCTTCTGCGAACACCCGAAATTGGAAATATGTAAAAGTCCACCAACAAAGAAGTAGGTAAAGAAATTGTTCTGTATTCATCTATTGGAATACTGAAACACTGGGAAGGAGAACAACCTACTATTACAAGCAACAGCACTGATAAATCTTGAAGGAATAAAGTTGAGGAAAAGGAGCCTGTGACAAACGGAGCCATGTTATCTTTTACATTTTGTGAAGGTCAAAATCAGGCAATAATCCTTCATGGTGATGGAGGCCAGAACTGTTCTTAAGTTATTTTTGGCAGGGGCAGTTTTTATTGCTGTAGATGATGCACAAGGAGGCCTTCCAAGGTTTTTCTACATCTTGATCTGGGTGTTGATTACATTTTCTTTTTTCTTTCTTTTTTTTTTTTTTCTTTTGAGACAGAGTCTTACTCTTTCACCCAGGCTGGAGTACAGTGGCACAATCTTGGCTCACTGCAACCTTCACCTCCCGGGTTCAAGCAATTCTTATGCCTCAACCTCCTAAGTAGCTGAGACTACAGCTTTGCACCACCACTCCTGGCTAATTTTTGTATTTTTAGTAGAGACGGGGTTTCACCATGTTGGCCAGGCTGGTCTCGAACTCCTGACCTCAGGTGATCCACCTGCCTTAGCCTCCTAAAGTGTTGGGATTACAGGCATGAGCCATCACGCCTGACTTGATTACACTTTTTATGTATAAAAATATTCATGGAGTTGTATACATTCATAATCTGTGCACATTACTAAGATTTGTTTCAAGTAGAATTGAAAAAAATAAAGAAAATTAAACAACACAATTTACCTCAGTATCAATCACCAATGATGAGACTGGTAGGATGATGTGAGTCTACATAACCCTCTGCCTCTCTTCAAATGTAGCAGTTACCTGTGTATTTTCTTCATCTTTTATCTACAAATCAGTCCTAAACACACACACACACACACACACACACACACTACTGTTGCAACCTTTGAAATAAGAAAGTGATTCATGTCACCAAACTTTTAATGCTCCTCATATACTATACGAAGCCTACCTCAAAAATACCAGGATACAGATCCTTTTACGCATACTGGGGTTGCGGAACAAGTCACACACAGTAGTTTTGGTCTGTGCTGCATCCAGCTCCTCCTGCATGGTGGATCTTACAACCTTCAATAATAAACATTTATCATTTATCAACATCATCCCAGGCATTGTTGTGAGAACTGGCACTTAGTAGGACAAGAGAAATATGTTCCCTTTCTCTCGAGTGTGATATATGATATGCAATTACAGAAGTGAAAGCGGTGTGAAGAAAAATGAAGGAGAACATTAAAGGAGCCTCCAGGAAATTATGCAGCAATAAAGACATTTGAAAATAAGGCCCCAAAGGGTTATAGTGTATCCACAAGGATGCATAGGTTGTAGATTCAGATCAGGAAGTGAACTAAAGAAAGAGATAGTTACATAATTCCCAAAGCTTCTTTTATATGAGATGGCCTTGAAAAAATAAGAACCGAGCTTGTGTTCTCAGCTAGCTGCCCTTCTTAGAAGCAGTTAGTCTGTCTCAATAAGGAGAAGGCAGATGTCAGCGTATGTCTTCCCTTCAACCCAGTAACCACCTTCCCTTTCCTACTCACCTCTATGTTCAGGGTTTCTTCAGCATTCTTTATTCCATTTGTGCGTGCAACTTTTCTAAGTGCCTTTAAGCCCTCATCTAGTTTATTGGTGATTATCAACCACCGAGCAGATTCCACCAGCCACCTGATACAAGAAAAATACACAAGTGCAGTCATCTCTGTCTTTCTTATTAGTCATATGATTATTGGCTATGGATGCCTTTTGTCTTCCATTTATTATCCACCACTTAGTTGTATTGAAAACACAAAGTCCTATTTTATTATACAAATACTAGGAAAATATGACCATGATCCTGCAATACACCTTCAAGGTTTAGCAACAGACTTTGGAGACAAATCACTTCTTTGTTTGATCACAGGAAAATTTTCAAAGAAGTCTGTGAAGCTTAAGCTTTAGGGTCCCTACATGCGTAAGTTCTTTCCAAAGTTTGGCGTGAGTTCTAGCAAATTTATGTTCATGATATGTATTGTTTAAGAAAAATAAGTCTTCAACTTATGTAAGGTTAAAGCTGCTCAAAGGTTGGAAGTACTTCTGCCACTACCAGCTATGCTGGTAACTTACTATGCAAGTGAGTCACTCATTTACATCTACTTCAGTTTCCTCATCAATAAAACAAAAACAGCAGTGCCATATTCCTTACTGGGTTGTTATGAAGATGAAATAAGATAATGGAAGAGTCTGACATGGATTATACTCTACTGTCTATCGGAATTCATCTCACTGTGTGAAATATATAGTAATATCTCAATATTCCAGTAATTTCTAACTGAATCTGATGCTTCCATAGATTGGTTTCAAATGTAGAGATGAAATTAGCCACAAATAAATGTTTGTTAAAATTATCTAATGGAGGAGGAAGTGCTGAACACATGCTATAAATCACTCAGTCTGCCCAACTTTTAGTACTGGTGAAATGGTCCTGCACTATTGTCAAAGAGTTATATGAATACACTTGTGGTTTCTTCCAATTTCACCTATAAAAGTGAAAAACATTACACATATCACCATAACTTGATTTATTTCAAGGCAAAAATGAATCAAAGATATTCTTTTTGAAACATCTGAATCTATATGTTTAGTAAAAAAAAGATGGAATCATTCTATGTCTACAATAAAAGTTTTTCCAATTTTATGTCAGAACTCCCAGGCAGAAGAGCCATTGCTATTTACCATTTTTTCTCAAGCTGCACAGAGTGAATAAATGAGAACATGGGTCTAGGTCCAGAAGTGGCAATAAGAAAATCAATATGTTCTTATTCAATATTCATTTTCATCCCAGGACCCCATAAGGCAAAGTGAGAGAGAAAGCTCCTACCTTGAAAGAAGAAAGAAGACAAAGAAAGGTACAGACGCCACCACGTGCAGGGTTTGCCAGTCTCGGAAGACATAAGCCAAGCCTCCCAGGATTATCTGTCCAATACTAAGGGCACCAGATGACAATATTACTACCAGGGCTTTAGAGTTGGGCCTTATCCACTCAGTAACTGAAAGAAAACCCATATAGCATTTAAGGTCAAATAGAGATGAAATTTCAAGGTCAAATTAAAGGGTCATAAAATAGAGAAGATCACAATTATTGACTTACTGGGCAAAGAATTATTTGATATAATGATCATGGAAGAAAAACCTGCCAAGAAGCGTAGTACACAGTAAACAGGGAAGGTGGGAGCGAAGGCAGCGCAGGTGTCAGTAATGGCAAGCTGGAGCAAACACCATCTGAGAATAAATCTTCGCCCAAACCTGAGAAACAGCGAGTCATGTTAGATTATGACAGCAATAATAATTTATGGTAAAAACTTAAGAAAATGAAAGCTCACTCTAAAATTTGATAATATTTTAACTAATTATTTTGTGTACTTTAAATCCTGAAATATCAAGAGCTAAATTGACACAGAAATATCCTCAGAAGTAACCCTCCCTGTTTATAATATACACTAACAATATCAAAATCAAACCTTCATCACTTAATAATAAGAAGGCCTCTGATACCAACAGATACTGTAGAAAAGAAGCTACAATGTTGGAAATTGTAATATGAATAAGTATCTACTATATTGACATATGTATCCAGCATAGTAGAGAGTCTACATAGTATATGAAATACAAGGGAGCTAAATATGTATTTGGGTCTCTAAGACCATGCAGGCCAAGGCTAAACTTATGTATAAGATACATCAGTGGAACAATGCATCAAAGTTTCTGTTGGGTTGCCTAAGAGGCTCTCATAAAGAAACATGGACTCCCATTGTTGATCTGGGTTTATAGGCCTCTGTGTTCCAGCTAGAACAAAATATAAGAGAGCCACAACCCAGAAAGAGAAAAGTACAGAAACTTCTCAGAGGAAAAAAATACGTAGAAAGTAGAGTGAAGGGAGAGAGAAAGTGAAGGCTGAAAAGGGAAAGGAAATTTGGCATTTTACAGGGTGTTTGTAAAGACAGGTCTTAAAGGGGACAACTTGGACTAAATGGGGTGTGCTTATTGTATATGCCCAGTAATATTAACAAACAAAGTTTTGGGTTGGGAACTGTTCTACATTTGAAATGGAACTCTAGATATATTTAAATAGTATCTAGAGGAGTGGTATCAGCAAGATAGCTAAGTAGAGACTCCTGACACTCATTCCCCCCAACCCACACACCAATGAGAAAAAAACCAAGGCAACAAATAAACAGGTAAGATTTCACTAGAGTGTGGAAGGGAGAGCACTGCAATGCAGCGAGGGGGTGGAGACACACCTGTGGAGATTGGAAGTCCAGGAGGGCAGCATGGAGGCACCCAGCCTCTGTAGCAGAAGAACCCACCAGTCTCCATTGCCACCACAAACAGCAACAGTTCTTACCATAGGAGAATTTCATAGTCCGCACAAGTCCTGAGTCCAAAAGAGAGCTGCCGAAAATTTACCCAACTGCATTGCCCAGATTAGGGGCACAAAGTATTATTCCCCAGGTCACGCCTATCCCTTGTGAGTCAAGCTGTTGCAGCATGGCACCATCTTGAGACCAGAGCCACCTCTGGAGTGCATCCTGTCCTGGGGGCCAGTAGCCACTGCACCTCTCCAGCACTGGAACTCTATCTTCATTCCATGAAGCCCACATCAGTGACTGAACACCACAACCCCAGCAGTGCAGAGTCTGGGCTTAGGATCAGTGGTGGCTCTGGTCCTACAAAGCAGAGAAACAAATCCCACCACCCTCATTTTCATCTGGAAAAACAATCTGGCAATTCTGCCCAGGGTGAACCCACTGTTGAGCCAGCTAAACTGCTGCATACCCTTCCCCAAGGGGGAAAGACCCTGGAACTCTATGCAACTAACAGCCTTCCAGCCAGTAAAGCCTGCTCCTATGCTCCTCTTTCTAGAACCTGAGGATAGCTCCATGATGCTCCACCCCCTGCAGACAAGCCCTTGGTATGCCCAATGGCCCTGCACCTGCAATCAGGATGTCAGAACAACTGAAAGCTTCGCTGGCACTCAGACCTCCAGGCTGGCTGAGTAGCTGTGTGCCCATGTCCTGGGTCTGAGAAAACAGCCCTGTGGGGGACTACTGGCAGGCTTGCCACCAGCCTGGCAGAGCAACCTCATGTATGTGTTCCTGGCCAGAATAATAGCTCCATAAGTCTAACTTGGCTTAACTTGGCCAAATCACCACGTGCATGCATGCACCCCACATCTGAGAAACAGCCTGGCAAGCCGACCCCCAGCAAAGCCTTACCACAACCATAACCAACTCTTGCAGCCTATGCCACTAAGACACTAGCACATGTCACTAGCCTAGGTTAAAGCTGAAGAAACTACACAGAAAGAATACTACTGTGCCCACCTAGAACCAAAGCCTGACACACCCCATAAAACTGACGACACAAGACCCATTCATACAAATAAGCCTTTCCTTATGAAATCTCTTCATAAAATTGTAAGAGGCAACCTTTCCACTCAACCAAAGAAATCAATGTAGAGACAAATCAAACATTACAAAGGAAAGAAATTTGACACATTTAAAGGACCACAATAATTTTCCTGTAACCGGCCCCAATTATAGACAAATATACAAAATGCCAGAAAATGAATTCAAAATAACAATATTAAAGAAACTCAGGGAGATACAAGAAACTATAGACAATTCAATATAATTACAAAAACAATACATTATTTAAATGAAAAATTTAACAAAGACATAGATATAAAAAAGAACCAAACAGAAATCTTACAGTTGAATATTCAATGAATGAAGTAAAAAAAAATGCAACTGACAGCTTCAACCATAGACTGGAACAAGCAGAAATAATTTCTGAGCTTAAAGACAGTTTGCTAAAAATAATAGAGGCAGATGAAAGAAAAAAGAATTACAAAGAATGAAGAAAACCTACCGAATGTATAAACACCAGTAAGTGAATAAATATTTGCATTATGAGAATTCCAGAAGAAGGGAAGTGAAACGGTTAGAAAATATATTTTATGATACTTTATGATATGATAGCTGAAAATTTCCCAAGTCTTGGGATAAGCATGGATATCTTGGTACAAGAAGCTCAAAGAATGCCAAATAGAGTCAACTCAAACAGGTCCCCTAGCAGGCACATTATAGTCAAATTTTCAAAAAAGCAAAGATAAAGAAAAAGTACTAAAAGCAGCAAGAAGAAAGCATTGAGTCACACATAAAGGAATTCCTATTAGACTAACAGCAAATTTCTGAGTGGAAACCTTGGAGGGCAGGAGAAAATTGGATAATATATCCAAAGTCCTGAAAGAAAAAATTGTCAGAAAAGAATATTATACCCAGAAAAATTCTTCTATGCTTCAGAAATGAAAGAACTATAAAATCTTTCACAGACAAGTGAAAACTAAAGGAATTACCACCACAGAAACAGCCAAAAACATTCTCCAGGGAGTCTTACATCTTGAAGTAGAGAGATGGCAGTTACCATAATGAAAGCAAGTAAAACTATAAAGTACTAGGAGAACCAATAAACAAATGATAAAGACAGAAAGAGGAATCAAATCTAATCACCTCAGAAAAACACCCAACAAGCCTATCAACCAAAATAATAATAATAATAATAATAATAATAATAATAATAAATAAATAAATAAGTAATAATTTTAAAAAGCACCCAGGACCAAACAGAATCACAGCTGAATTCTACTAGAAGTACAAAGAAGATCTGGCAACATCCCTGCTGAAACTATTCCAAAAAATTAGGGAGGAGGGTCTCCTCCCTAACTCATTCTATTAGGCCAGCTTCATCCTGATACCAAAACCTGGCAGAGATTACAAAAACAACAACAACAACAAAAAAAAAAACACAAAAACTTCAGGCCAATATCTTTGGTGAATATCAATGCAAAAATCCTCAACAAAATACTGGCAAACCAAATCCAGCAGCATATCAGAAAAATTATCCACCATGATCAAGTATGCTTTATCCCTGGGATGCAAGGTTGGTTCAATATTTGTAAATAAATATATGTGATTCATCACATAAACTCAACTAAAGACAAAGACCACACAATTATCTAAATAAATGAAGAAAAGGCTTTTGATAAAATTCAACAACCTTTCATGTTAAAAACTCTCAATAAAGTAGGTATTGAAGGAACATGCCTCAAAAAAGTAAGATCCATGTATGACAAACCCACAACCAACATCTTATTGAATAAGCAAAAGCTCAAAGCATTCGTCTTGAAAACTGGCACAAGACACCACTCCAATTCAGCACAGTATTGGAAGTCCTAACTAGGGCAATCAAGCAGGAGTAAGAAATAAAGAGCATCCAAATAGGAAGAGAGGAAGTCAAACTATCCCTGTTTGCAGATGATATGATACTGTATCTATAAAACCCCATAGTCTCAGCCCAAAAGCTTTTTAAGCTGATAAACAACTTCAGCAAGTCTCAGGATAGAATATCAACGTGCAAAAATCGCTAACATTCTTATACACCAATAACAGTCAAGCTGAGAGCCAAATAAGGAAAGCAATGCCATTCGCAATTGCCACAAAAGAATAAAATACCTAGGAATACAGCTAACTAGGGAGGTGAAAGATCTCTACAAGGAGAATTACAAAACACTACTCAAAAAAAAAAAAAATCAAAGATGACACACACAAAAATGGAAAAGCATTCCATGCTTATAGGTAGAAAGAGTCCATGTTATAAAAATGGCTATACTGCCCTGATATGATTTGGCTGTGTCCCCACCCAAATCTCATCTTGAATTGTAGTTCCCATAATCCCCATGTGTTATGAGAGGGACCTGGTGAGAGGTAATTGAATCATGAAGGCATTATCTCCATGCTGGTTTCACTATAGTGAGTGAGTTCTCATGAGATCTGATAGTTTTATAAGGGGCTTTTACCCCCTTCACCCTCCACTTCTCTTTCCTGCTACCATGTGAAGAAGAATGTGTTTACTTCCCCTTCCACCATGATTGTAAGTTTCCTGGGGTCTCCCCAGTCATGCTGAACTGTGAGTCAATTAATCCTCTTTTCTTTATAAATTACCTAGCCTCAGGCAGTTCTTCACAGCAGGGTGAGAGTGGACTAATACATGCCCAAAGCAATTTATAGATTTAATACTATTCCTATTAAACTACCATTGAGATTCTTCACAGAGCTAAAAACTATTATTTTAAAATTCATATTGTTATGGTTTGGCTCTGTGTCCCCAACCAAATCTCACGTTGAATTGTAATAATCCCCATGTGTCATGGGAGGGAGCCAGTGGGAGGTAATTGAATCATGGGGGCTGGTTTTTCCCATGATGCTCTCCTGGTAGTGAGTAAGTCTCATGAGATCTGATGGTTTTATAAAGGGGAGTTCCCTGCACATGCTTTCTTGCCTGCCACCATTCAAGACATGAATTTGCTCCTCATTCACCTTCCACCAAAATTGTGAGGCCTCCCAAGCCATGTGGAACTGTGAGTTGATTAAACCTCTTTCTTTTATAAATTACCGAGTCCCAGGTATGTCTTTATTAGCAGCATGAGAATAGACTAATACTCCTACTAATTACAGTGGGGTAATTATGATAATGACAACCAGGCTGGGGAGCCCACAAGCATTTAGCTCACAGAGTCCAGGAGGGACTTAACACAATATCCCTAGCCAAGGTCTACACACCATTTCATATATTTGTATCTTCAAGGAGGATGAATTCTCTATTTTGATATTTTTGTATTCAGTATCCTATACAGAGATGCTGTTCAGAGATCTCTGTGGCAACAAAATGGCACTCACTAAACTCACTGTAATTCATTTCTGTATCTAACTCTCTGGGGAACAGAGCAGCACCAACAGTGTAAATTGCATATTGTAACTCAATAACACTTCTTTGTGAAAAAAATTAATTGTAAGCTGATAAAAACACTGCAGAGTAATGATAACCCTGATCTGGAGACACTCACCTGTCTGAGACATGGCCACCTATGATGCCTCCCACCAGCATTCCAGTCAGAAGTAGGAATTGAACCACTGATTTCAGTGACTGATAATCACATACCAGGTCCCACTGGAAGAGAAGGAAGCCAATACAGCATAGCTTCACAGCAGCTTTTGACTTCTCATTGTTCACTTGCTGCAATAGCTTTCAGTGGACACACTCTCTAGCCTCTTTTTACTACATTTTCTTACCTATACCATTCAAGTCTTGGCTTAAGCATGGATTTCTCTGGAAATCCTCACACAAAACCTTCCAGGTTATGTTAATGTCTGTCTTTATATTCATTCAGCACTGCATACCTCAGTGGTTCTCAATTTTTGTTACACATTAAACACATTAAGGAGACTTTTTAAACCATTGATGCTAGTATGAAATCCACTCTGATTTGCTTCTGTAACATGTAGCCAAAGCAGGCAGATTTTAAAAATAACACAGATGTTTCCAATTTGCAACTTAGGCTGAGAACAAGTGACCAGGAAGAATATTTTTCTAATCATTAGTCTTCTCTTCAAGCTAGTTTTGTGATAGCTGTATTTATATCTAGTTGGTTGAGTTCATTGCCTCAAATTCAATGTAAGTGCCTGACAATTAAAAAATAAGTAGCCAGGTGCGGTGGCTCACATCTGCAATCCCAGGACTTTCGGGTGGATCACCTGAGGTCAGGAGTTTGAGATCTGTCTGGCCAACATGGTGAAACCTTGTCTCCACTAAAAATACAAAGAAAAAAAATTAGCTGAGTGTCATGATGCATGTCTGTAATCCCAGCTACTTCAGAGGCTGAGGCAGGAGAATTGTTTGAACCTCAGAGGTGGAGGTTGCAGTGAGCTGAGATCTCACTATTGCACTCCAGCCTGGGCAACAAGAGTCAAGCTCCATCTCAAAAAAAAAAAAAAAAAAAAAAAAAAGAGCAATCACTATTTGCCAAAAGAGTGTCTGAGTGCTGACTACACTATCTACACAATAACTAGAGGCTTAAAGCATGTTTATTTTCTTCTAAACACCTGGATTGTGTATCCAGAACAGGTTAACAGGACCCTTTACCTTAGTCACAATGGTCGAAGGGAAGTAGCTTTGATCATATACCCAGCCATCCACACAGGGTTCTGTGTCTGCCTCACTTGTGCTGTGGATAGTCCCATTCAGGTGAAGAAGCTGCCACTGGGGATGGACAAAGCGACGACACTTCTCTGGCCTCAGATTTGAGTCTAGTGGGATAGAGATTCTCAAGAGGGCATCTTCACTGAGGATTCCAGTTTCATTACCAGATCCAGTATTATTGTCCAGCATGTGGACCCAGCAACGATGACCAGGAATGGCTGCAGCAAAGTTCTCTAGCAGTATATGAGGGATTAATAACATGAGAGAGGGAAGAATAAAAACCAGATGAAGCATCTGAAATCTCCCAAGGCCTCCAACTTGACTCAAGAGCTCCTCAAAGGCCATTGATTGTGAACACGTGACCCCCAAGAGGAGGCACAATGGCTTTACGGAGATAAGTTCAAAGGGAGAAAATATTTCCTTTTATTAATTCAAATTAAGCTTGTATTGATCCTCGCATCAATTTCTCATCCATGGGCCCGGACTCACCAGTGCAATACAGCCGTAGTGGAAAGAGCTTCCTCAGTTCTTTTGCTATCAGGAGGTAGATGTTATTTTGTAGTCATAGAGATCATTATTTCATAGAGATACTTCTAGCTGTTGACAATAAAATCCGTTTAAAGGTTTACTCTCTCCAAATATGTTTGTCCTCAAGTGACTCATGAAATTTACATTGGACTTTGGCATGTACATGTTCTCTAAATAAGCTAAAAGAAATCGGTTAAACAGTGTTGTTATTTCTAGGAAGTGAAATTTGAGAGACACAAAAGTAAACTGCTTTATAATTTTTCCATGAAAAGAGCAGAAAGTCAGGGTTTTTCTCCTTTAGTACTGAATTTAGATTAAAATGATGAATAAATGCAAATCCCAATTACCATGTTTTGCTTTTTAAAGCAAATTGGAATGTGATGCCATTACTATCTTTTGTTAACTGATATTATGCTTCAGGTTAAATCACATGAGGAACTCACATAACTTTAAATTATATGAAATATAAATAGAAGAGAAAGGCAGTGTTCAGCTCATATAGGAGTTTATTTCCTTGGGCTTATTTATTCATTTATATATAGCACATTGGAAGATCTTTTCCATGTTAGTTTTGGGAATCCAGATAAATTGTTTATTTTATTGTTATAAACTATGCCTCTATCTCTAGTGATGCTCCTCATTTTGAATTATATATTTTTTAACGTTAACATGGCTATGCCAGGTTTCTTATAGTTTGCATCAGATAACTTTCCCATGTTTTAGATTTTTAATGAAATGTTTTTTGAGATTATTATAGATTTACATGCAGTTGCAAGAAATAACACAAGGAGTAATCATATACTCATCACCCTGTTTCCTCTAATGGTAATATTTTACAAAACTGTAGTATAATATTGTATCAACATCAAGATGCTAGTATGATACAATGTAGTATAATACCAGGATCTTGATACTGATACAATCTACTGATTTTATTAATATTTCCCTTGTTGGTTTATCTGTATCCGTGTATGCATATAGTACTATACAATTTTATGTGTGTAATTTAGTGTGCCCATCATCACAATCAAGATAGTGAACAGTTACATCTCCACAGATATCCCTCCTTCTAGGAGAATAATATGGTATATATCCTTCTCAGGTTGGCTTTTGAAAAATCAGAAACTCTACAGATATTCATCTAAGTTGCTGTATATATGAATACTTTGTTCCTTTTTATTGCTGAATATTATTCCATAGAATGTATATACAATTGTTTGTTTTTTTAAAATCAATGTTATTGTGCATATTTAAGATAAGCAACATGATGTTATAAGATACATATGTATATATATAGATAAAGATATATAGAGATATATAAAATGCTAACTATAGTGGAACCAATTAACCTATCAATCATCTCACAAATGGGAAAAGTTACCCATTCCCCCCTTTGGCAAAAGCACATATAATCTATTCATTTATCAAAAACACAAGATACTGTTATTAATTACAGTTCTCCTGTTGTACATGAGATACTTCAACTTGTTCATCCTACATATAGGCTACTTTGTATCCTTTGACTTACATCTCCCCACTTCTTCCCACCCCTCACACCCCAGCCCTTGTAAACACCATTCCATTCCCTATCTCTATGTACTTGACCATACTTGACCTTATTATTTTTTTAGTTTTTTTTTATTATTATACTTTAAGTCTGGGATACATGTGCAGAACGTGCAGTTTTGTTACATAGCTATACATGTGCCATGGTGATTTGCTACACCCATCAACCCATCATCTACATTAGGTATTTCTCCTAATGCTATCCCTCCCCTAGCCTCCCACCCCCAGACAAGCCCCAGTGTGTGATATTCCCCTCCCTGCATCCATGTGTTCTCACTGTTCAACTCCCACTTATGAGTGAGAATGTGAAGTGTTTGGTTTTCTGTTCTTGTGTCAGTTTGCTGAGAAGGATGGTTTCCAGCTTCATCCATGTCCCTACAAAGACATGAACTCATCTTTTTTATGGCTGCATAGTATTCCATGGTGTATATGTGCCACATTTTCTTTATCCAGTCTATCATTGATGGGCATTTGGGTTAGTTCCAAGTCTTTGCTATTGTGAACAGTGCTGCAATAAACATATGTGTGCATGTGTCTTTATGGTAGAATAATTTATAATCCTTTGGGTATATACCCAGTAACAGGATTGCTGGGTCAAATGGTATTTCTAGTTCTAGATCCTTGAGGAGTCACCACACTGTCTTCCACAATGGTTGAACTAATTTACACTCCCACCAACACCTAAAAGCGTTCCTATTTCTCCACATCCTCTTCAGCATCTGATGTTTCCTGACTTTTTAATGATCTCCATTCTAACAGGCATGAGATGGTATCTCATTGTCTTTGTGATTTGCATTTCTCTAATGACCAGTGATGATGAGCTTTTTTTCATACATTTGTTGGCTACATAAATGTCTTCTTTTGGGAAGTGTCTGTTCATATCCTTTGCCCACTTTTTGATGGGGGTTTTTTTTTTCTTGTAAATTTTTAAAGTTCTTTGTAGATTCTGGATATTAGCCCTTTGTCAGATGGATAGATTGCAAAAATTTTCTCCCATTCCGTAGGTTGCCTGTTCACTCTGATGATTGTTTCCTTTGCTATGCAGAAGCTCTTTAGTTTAATTAGATCCCATTTGTCAATTTTCGCTTTTGTTGCCATGGCTTTTGGTGTTTTAGTTATGAAGTCTTTGCCCATGCCTATGTCCAGAATGGTATTGCTTAGGTTTTCTTCTAGGGTTTTTATGGTTTTAGGTTTTATGTTAAAGTCTTTAATTCATCTTGAGTTAATTTTTGTATAAAGTGTAAGGAAGGGGTCCAGTTTCAGTTTTCTGCATATGGCTAGCCAGTTTTCCCAACACCATTTATTACATAGGGAATCCTTTCCCCATTGCTTGTTTTTGTCAGATTTGTCAAAGGTCAGATAGTTGTAGATGTGTGGCATTATTTCTGAGGGCTCTGTTCTATTTCATTGGTCTATATATCTGTTTTGGTACCAGTACCATGCTGTTTTGGTTACTGTAGCCTTGTAGTATAGTTTGAAGTCAGGTAGTGTGATGCCTCCAGCTTTGTTCTTTTGGCTTAGGATTGTCTTGGCTATGCGGGCTGTTTTTTGGCTCCATATGAAATTTAAAGTATTTTTTTTTCAGTTCTGTGAAGAAAGCCAATGGTAGCTTGACGGAGATAGTATTGAATCTATAAATTACTTTGGGCAGTATGGCCATTTTCACAATATTGTTTCTTCATATCCATGAGCATGGAATGCTTTTCCATTTGTTTGTATACTCTCTTATTTCCTTGAGCAGTGGCTTTCTGTTCTCCTTGAAGAGGTCCTTCACATCCCTTGTAAGTTGGATTCCTAGGTATTTTATTCTGTTTGTAGCAATTGTGAATGGGAGTTCACTCATGATTTGGCTGTCTGTTATTGGTGTATAGGAATGCTTGTGATTTTTGCACATTGATTTTGTATCCTGAGACTTGGTGAAGTTGCTTATCAGCTTAAGGAGATTTTGGGTTGAGACTGGGTTTCCTAAATATACAATCATGTCATCTGCAAACAGAGACAATTTGACTTCCTCTTTTCCTCATTTAATACCCTTTCTTTCTTTCTTTGGCCTGATTTCCCTGGCCAGAACTTCCAATACTATGTTGAATAGGAGTGGTGAGAGAGGGCATCCTTGTCTTATGCCAGTTTTCAAAGGAACTGTTTTCAGCTTTTGCCCATTCAGTATGATATTGGCTGTGGGTTTGTCATAAGTAGCTTTTATTATTTTGAGATACGTTCAACCAATGCCAAGTTTATTTAGAGTTTTTAGCATGAAGGGGTGTTGAATTTTGTCGAAGGCCTTTTCTGCACCTCTTGAGATAATCACGTGGTTTTTGTCATTGGTTCTGTTTATGTGATGGATTAGATTTATTGATTTGTGTATATTGAACCAGCCTTGCATCCCAGGGATGAAGCTGACTTCGTAGTGGTGGATAAGCTTTTTGATGTGCTGCTGGATTCTGTTTGCCATTATTTTATTGAGGATTTTCACATCAATATTCATCAGAGATATTGGCCTGAAATTTTCTTTTTTTGTTGTTGTTGTGTCTCTTCCCGGATTGGTATCAGGATGATGCTAGCCTCATAAAATCAGTTAGGGAGGACTCCCTCTTTTTCTATATTTTGGAACAGTTTCAGTAGGAATGGTACCAGCTCCTTTTTGTACCTCTGGCAGAATTTGGCTGTGAATCCATCTGGTCCTGGACTTTTTTTGGTAGGTAGACTATTAATTACTGCCTCAATTTCAGAACTTGTTATTGGTCTATTCAGGGATTCGACTTCTTCCTGGTTTAGTCTTGGGATGGTGTATGTATCCAGGAATTTATCCATTTCTTCTGGATTTTCTAATTTATTTGCGTAGAGGTGTTTATAGTATTCTCTGATGGTAGTTTGTATTTCTGTGGGATTAGTGGTGATATCGCCTTTATCATTTTTTATTGCATCTATTTGATTCTTCTCTCTTTTCTTTATTTGTCTGGTTAGTGGTCTATCTATTTTGCTGATCTTTTCAAAAAACCAGCTCCTGGATTCATTGATTTTTTGAAGGGTTTTTCATGTCTCTATCTCCTTCAATTCTCCCTGATTTTAGTTATCTCTTGTCTTCTGGTAGCTTTTGAGTTTGTTTGCTCTTGCTTCTCTAGTTCTTTTAATTGTGATGTTAAGGTGTTGATTTTAGATCTTTCTCACTTTCTCTTGTGGGCATTTAGTGCAATAAATTTCCCTCTATATACTGATTTAAAATGTGTCCCAGAGATTCTGGTACATTTTGTCTTTGTTCTCATTGGTTTCAAAGAACATCTTTATTTCTGCCTTCTTTTCATTATTCACTCAGTAGTCATTCAGGAGGAGATTGTTCAGTTTCCATGTAGTTCTGCGGTTTTGAGTGAGTTTCTTAATCCTGAGTTCTAATTTGATTGCACTGTGGTCTGAGAGACTGTTTGTTAAGATTTCCATTCTTTTACATTTGCTGAGGAGTGTTTTACTTCCAATTGTGTGGTCAATTTTAGAATAAATGCAATGTGGTGCTGAGAAGAGTGTATCTTCTGTTGATTTGGGGTGGAGAGGTCTGTAGATGTCAATTAGGTCTACTTGGTCTAGAGCTGAGTTGAAGTCCTTGCTATCCTTGTTAATTTTGTCTCATTGATCTGTCTAATATTGACAGTGGGGTGTTAAATTCTCCCGCTATTATTGTGTGGGAGTCTAATTGACTTAGCTATTCTATGGCCTGTTTCTTCCCACATACATTTTAGAATTAAGATGTTTATATCTAAAAAATAACTTCCTGGAATTTTCATAAGAATTACATGAAACCTATAAAATCAATTTTTTACTACATCCTATTACATTTAACCTACCTATGTCCTTATATTTAAATCTACCACTTGTAGACAGCATTTAGATGGGACACCTATTCAATGCTGCCTTAAAACTGTGACTTTTAATTGGTATATTTAGTCCCTTTAATTGCAGTATTTAGTCCATTAAATTACATTTAATGTAATTCTCCATACTTTTGGAAATAAACCTGCTGCTCAGGTCTTATAAAGTTCTGTTAAAAGGCTTATAAAGTTAAAAATAAGCCTACTTAGTAAATAAAAATCACCAAATATTACCAAATATTTGTGTCCATAAGATTTCATAAAAGAATATGTAAATAGCAGCTGCATTTACAAAACATAAACTGAAAAAAAGCCATATGTCCAATAACAACATCCATCCAGCAATATGGATAAGTTGTTAACATCCATATCCAAATGTAATGTTACTCAGCAATAAAAAGAAATAGAATGCTGATAAAAACAAAAGCATGCATTAATCTCACATATACTATATTGAAAAAAGAAACTGTATGCAAAAATACAAAGTTTATAATTTCCATTTACATGATGTTCTAGAACAAGTATGATTAAGTCCTAGTGAAAAAAATATAGAATTGGCTTCTAGAAGGCTGATTAAAGGCATCTGGAACTCGCCATCTCCACAAAGAAGAACCAAAATAACAAGTAGATAATAACACCTCAAATAGATCATCTAAAAGGAAACACAAGAATTAAGCCAAGGAGTGACAGGAAACATCTAGGGAAGAATGAAGAAGGAAGCAGGGCAGTCTGCTTGATTAGCATTGTCTGTCAGCTAAGAGAGCCTCCGCAGTGTAGGAAAAGGGTAAGTTAGAGATCCCCAGTGGTTCACATTTCCTCCACAGACTCCTGTAGTCCTAGCCATGGGATAGCACCTAGAGCACTGTGGGTTTTCAGACTAACATAAGGAACTGCCTGAAGACTGTGCAATGGCATTGCTCCAGAGAGGGAGGTCATGCTGCATCTCACATAACCTCCCCCTCAAGACCTAAGCGGCTACAGCATGGCATCATTGGGGGAGCCCAGCCTATGGCACCATTTGGGAAACAGCCACCACTGCTGCTAGCAGCTGCCACCAGGCTGAAGCATGAACCACTGGTTGCTCCCAGTAGCAGCAGGTCACCCTGAATTTGCCTTCTCCGGGCCAAAGAGCAAGAAACTGGCAGCAACTTTGCTGTCTACAGTAGTAGGGTGGCACCATATTTGTATGTGCCTTGAGGGCACTCACTCCCCACTCACTGCCACCACTGTCACCCCCATCATAACACTCTGCAAAGGTCTGAAGATAACTCCATGCCTGCCCAACAAAGCCACCACCCATATACAATAGCAGAGGACCCAAGGACAGGACCACTAGGTCTGGCTCCGCCCACCACTCCCAGTGCCTGAGCACTCCATCCAAGGATCTGGGGAATCTCCTTGCAGTGTCCACTACTATTGGTACTTAGCACTCCTCCTAGAGCCTAAGAAGCAGCCCACACAGCCTGTCACTACAACCACAGCTAGCACCCATCTCTATGCATCACCTGTGGTCCTGGGGACTGGCCAGTGCAGTCCATCACTGCCACTGCTAACACCAATGCAGACCACTTGTGAGCCAGAGAATACTTCCACCACTGCTACTGCCATCACCCATTTCATGCATGCTGCCCAAAAGACCTAAGAACCTGTCCACTAGCATAACCCATTGTTGCTACTACTGGCAACTGAGCAAGTTGCCTGGAGGCCCAAGAATCAACTAGCCCATAACTGCTAACACCACTGCCAGCAGGCAATGCCCTGGAGTCCAAGGACAGGTATGCTTGGCCTGCAGCTGCCACAACTGTGACCTGAGCACTGGCCCAACTGGTGTCCCCATCTTCAACAAAATTTCACCACAGCCTCCACTTAGAGCCACTCCTGAGGCCACTGAGACAGTGCCCACTGACACTCTTTACAGTGTAGGAAATCATATGAAGACTATACTATTACAGCACCCAAAATCAAAGCCAAAATACCATACAAACCAAAACCATAGATAAACTATCAGAAAAGATGAGTTCATGTCCTTTGTAGGGACATGGATGAAGCTGGAAACCATCATTCTCAGCAAACTATTGCAAGGACAAAAAACCAAACACCGCATGTTCTCCCTCATAGGTGGGAATTGAACAATGAGAACATGTGGACACAGGAAGGGGAACATCACACACCAGGGCCTGTTGTGGGATTGTGGGAGGGGAGAGGGATAGCATTAGGAGATATACCTAATGTTAAATGACGAGTTAATGGGTGCAGCACACCAACATGGCACATGTATGCATATGTAACAAACCTGCACTTTGTGCATATGTACCCTAAAACTTAAAGTATAATAATGAAAAATAAAAGAAAAGAGTTCTCCCCTATGAAAGCAGATTAAAAAAAGGAAATGATGGTTATACCACATCCACAGATATCAATATTATTAATATAAGGATACAATAAATATGAAAAAGCAAGGAAATGGGATACTTTCTAAAAATCACAATAATTCTCCAGCAACAGATTCAAATAAAAAAGAAATTTATAAAATGCCAGGAAAAAGATTAAAAATATTAACATTAAAGAAGTTCAATAAGATACGAGAGAACACACAAAGAATATAAAGAAATCACAAATACGATTCGGGATATGAATCAGAAAATTGCCAGAGAGATAGATATGATTAAAAAAAGAACCAAATCGAAATCCAGGAACTGAAGAATTCATTAAATGAAATTAAAATATATGCCCAAAGGCTTCAAATGTAGACGAGATCAGGTAGAAGAAAAAATTTCATAATGTGAAACAGGTCTTTTGAAATCACACACTCAGACAAAAATAACAGAGAAAAATAAGGTATGAATAAAGGCTTTGTGACATATGAGACACCACAAAGTGATCAAACATTTGAAATTTTAATGTCCCAAAAGATGAAGAGCAAATGAAAAAAATATGAAGCCAATTTGACAAAATAGTAGGTGAATATTTCCCATGTCTACCAAGATATTTAGACATCCAGATATAGGAAGTGCACACATTCCCAAATAAATACAACTCAATATCTTCTCCATGACACATTCTTGTCAAACTGTCAAAAGTCAAAGACAAACAGGGAGTTCTAAATTCAGCAAAAGAGAAGCATTTCATTCCTTATAAGGGAACCCCCATCAGGCTACCAATGGATTTCTTAGCAGAAACTTCACAGACCAGGAGAGAATAAGATGATATATTCCAAGTGTCGAAAGAAAGAAAAATCTTTCATCCAAGGATACAATGCTTAGCAAAGTTATACTTCATAAATAAAAGAGAAATAGTCTTTCCCAGACAATCAAAAGCTGAGGTAATTGATAAATGCTAGACAAATCCTACAAGTCATGCTTAAGGGATTTCTAAACCTGGAAGTGAAAGAATGTTATCTATTAATACTACCCTGAATACACATGAAAGTATAAAACTCACTGGTAGAGCAAACAGACAGTTACCACTGTCAAAAGCCAACAAACCACACTGATAAACAATAAGAGAGAAAGTAAGGAACAAAGAGCATACAGAATTACCAGAAATCAAGTAATAAATGGTAGTAATAAGCCCTCATATATCAATAACAACCTTGATTGTAAACAGATTAAACTTTACACTGACAAGATATAGACAGGCTAAATGGATTTTTAAAAATTACCAACTATATTCTGCCTGTAGGAAAATTATCTTCTCTGTAAAGACAACATGTATAATGAAAGTAAGGGGATAGAAAATGGTATTCCATGTAAATGGAAACCAAAAGTGAGCAGGGTGACTATACCTCTATTGCATACAACAGACTTTAACTCAAAAACAGTACAAAGAGACAAAGAAAGTCATTATCTAATGATAAAGGGATCAATTCAGCAAGAGGGTATAACAATTCTAAATAGAATATGCCCCACCCTGGGGAACCCAGGTATATAAATTGAATATTACTAGATCTAAAAAGACAGGTAGATTTCAATATAGTAATACTTGGGAACTTCAGCACCCCAACCACAGCATTAGACAGAATATCTAGATAGACAATTAATCAAAAAATGGATTTAAACTGTTCTTTAGACCAAATGAACCAAATAGACATTTACAGAACATTTCATTCAACAGTTACAGAACACACATTCTTCTTATCAGTACATGGAATACTCTTCAGGGTAGACCATATGTTAGCCAACAAAACAAGTCTCAATAAATTTTAAAAAGTTAAAATCATATCCAATATCTTCTCAGACCACAGTAGAATAAAACCAGAAATCAAAAACAAGAGGAACTTTGGAAACTATACAAACACACGGAAATTAAATGACATACTCTGGAATAATCAGTGGGTCAAGAAAGAAATTAAAAAGTGAAATTCAGAATGTCTTGAAATAAATGAAAATTAAAACACAACACATTAAAGACTAAGAGATACAGCAAAAGTTTTGCTAAAGTGAAGTTTATAGCAATAAATGCTTATTTCAAATAAGGTTTCAAATAAACAATATCACAGTGTACCTCAAGGAACCTGAAAAGGAGGAATAAATCAAGCCCCAAAATTAATAGCAAGAAAGAAATAATAAAGATTGGAAAAGAACCAAACAATATAGAGACTTTTTAAAAAGCACAAAGCCTAATGAAATGAAAGATTGGTGTTTTGAAAAGACAAACAAAATGGACAAACTGCTAGCTACACAACCAAGAAAAGAAAAGACACAAAATCCAAATAAATAAAATTAGAAATGAAAAAGGAGACATTACAATAGCGATCACAGGAATACAAAAGATTGTTTGAGACTATTATGAGCAACTGTACACTAAGAAACTGGAAAACCTAGAGGAAATGAATAAATACCTAGATGCCAACAATCTACCAAGATTAAATCAGGAAGAAATAAAAACCTGAACATATCAATAAAGAGGAAAAATTTGGAATCAGTAATAAAAATTCTCCCAATAAAGCAAAATTTAGGACTAGATGGTTTTACTGACAAATTTTAACATTCAAAGAACTAGGCATACTTTACAATGGCTGACTAGAAGCAGATATCATGTGCTGCTCTCACAGAGAGGAGACAAAGTGGCAAGTAAATAGCAGATCTTCAAGAGAATCATCTAGGACACCATACTGGATTTCACTGAGGAAGTGAGGGGACCCACAGAGGAAAAAAAAGGAGCAAAACTGGGCAGCTGCCCACCTAGGACTGGTATGAAGCTAGAAGAAGCTCCCTAACATGGGGAAAGGGTGAGTGAATGAGAGTCACAAGGGGGTCCACACTTCCCACACAAGTCTTCATAACCCTGAACATGCTTGAATCCCTCAGACCCCACCCATCAGGCTTCTAGCCTAACACTGAGAGCCTCCTGGAGTTTTTGCAAAGACACCACTCAAGTCCACATGGAGATCTACGGGTCCTAGATCCCTGAGCAGCCCAGAATCAGCTGCCGTATCCCCAGTAGAGGCCAAACTCACAGTGTGGAGAAGCAGTCAGGCTACCCCACTCCTTGCTAGGCAAGGCTTGACTCAGTCTTCCACTACAGCCACTCCATCCTTGTCTGAATTCTGTGGATGGGCACAGCTCAGCATTACCCCAGAAACAGCCCATATGGTAAAATGTGTAACCCCTGCCCACACTGCTCTGAGCCAAACAAAACTAGCTGACTTGGGCTGCCAGCACAGCAGCCCAGCCCTTGCTTGAATTCTACGGGTGGGCAACTGGAGGTAGAACTGGAGAATTATCCAACCAATTCCAACTCTTACCAGCATTCTTCCATGAACCGCCTGGATGGCAGACCATGTGACTCATGCCCCACTGCTCTGAGCCACGCAAGGCTTGGCTTGGGCTTCCAGTGCAGTAACCCCACCCCTGCCTGAACATTGCAGTGGGTTGCAGCTCTGCAGCTCTGCAAAACTCCCAGAGGAAACAGACAATGCTTGGCACTTTTGTGTGCCTCCGACAGTGAAGTTCAGCATCATTTGGGTGGGAGGGAAGTGCAATCATGCCATATACCTCACAGCCACCAGTCTCCTTTGCCCCAGGTGGAGGTTCCAGCCATCTCCAGTGAATGGCCCACAGCAAAGCCACTCTGCCCTAACCTGAACATCTCATCTGAAGCCCACAGCCCTTCTAAAAACCCAACCCCAACAGGCCTGTGATATTTCTTCAGACTCCCACCACCTAAGCATTCTGCCTTCCCCTCCCTGAGAGTTTGGCTGGTGACCCAGGAACCCACCCACCACCCAACACAGCCAACACCTAAACTCTGGGCTAGCCTGACCATAGTCCAGCGCCTTCAGGACTCATACATGCTGTCCAGAAGGTTATCTAGGGGCCTGGGAACTGAAGAACTACCTAACCCATTCCAACTCTGCTTGCACTTAACACCTTCCCTCAAGGCCTCGGGTCAGGCCAACCCAGCTGACACCACCATAACCAACATTCACTCACTCACAAGCGCCCAAAGGTGAAGCCCCAATTTTACAAGAAGCAGCAGTGCTGCTGCATCAGAGAACAGGTGGGTCTAAATGCTATCTGTTTCAGATAAAGTGATGAGAATGTGCACCAGAATCACTCCCACAGAGAGTCACAAAACAGGCATTTCCCATGACTCTCAACCACATTGCAGCCAAGAGACAGACTACAGTATTTTTCTGACTAGGAGTCATGAGCCCTGAAACAGGGGTGTGATAGGGAAACAGATCATATTCCTGCCTATCTAAGACAGAGCAGGTGCAGTCCAGTCAAACTTCCCCCCAGAGACTTCAAGGCACTTTACCAGGAGCTCTTCCCAACCACCCTCATCAGGACAGGTGTCTTTACTTGACATTAGGATATTTGTGCACAAGCCAGGAACCCCAGCTCTGCCCAACTGTGTCCCCTCAACCCCATGGAACAGGAAGCTCAGGACACCAGGCACACCACTGTTCAGTTCTTCCCTTGAAATAACAGAGAGCACCTCACAGTAAACAAAAAACAGACTCATACCCATCTGCTTGTGCAGCAGCTGGCTCTTACCTGCAAACACCATCTACTGGCCTGTGGGTCAAACTTCAAAGACCAATACGAAACCTACTGATAGAAATGCACAGGAATAGAGAACCAGAGCCAAAAGACTCTACCCTGTCCAGATAAGAAAAAAACAGAATTCTGCCAACATGAA
This sequence comes from Homo sapiens, assembly GCF_000001405.40. Taxonomy (NCBI): domain Eukaryota; kingdom Metazoa; phylum Chordata; class Mammalia; order Primates; family Hominidae; genus Homo; species Homo sapiens. The sequence continues at coordinate 63,277,410 of NC_000011.10, read as the reverse complement.
TAATTTGGATGTTTTGACTCCATCAAATATTGCTCTAGCTCTGCAGCAATGGTCTCTAGCTAAAATGGGGGCAGAGAGATGACAGATGGAGAATTCAAAGCATGGATTGCAGGGAGACTCAATGAGATCCAAGATAAGGTTGAAAATTAACACAAAGAAATCTGTAGTGCAATCCAGAAAATAAAAATGTAGACATCTTAAAGAGAAAGCAATCAGAGCTAATAAAACTGAAAAGCTCACTTAAACATTTCAAAATATAATTGAAATCTTTATCAATATAATAAAACAAGTGGAAGAAAGAGTTTCAACTTCCTAAATTGATTGAAACCTGTCTCAGAAACTTTTTGATTTCCAGAAGGGACTCCTCCAAAACAAATTCTATGAAGCCAGCATCAGTCTGATACAAAAATCAGTTAAAGACAACAAAAATAGGAAACATCAGGCCAATATCCCTGATGATAACAGATACAAAAATCCTCAACTAAACACTTGAAAACTGAATCTAGCAGTACATGAAAAAGCTAATCCACCATGATCAAGCAGGCTTTATTCCTAGGATGCAAGATTGGCTCCACATGCACAAATCAATAAATGTAATCCATCACATAAACAATTTTTTAAAAAAAATCTCAATTATCATCTAAATAAACACACAAATAGCTTTTGATAAAATCCCTTATTCTTTCATGATAAGAGCCCTCCACAGACTAGGCATCAAAGGAATATACCTCAAAATAATAAGAGCCATCTGTGACAAGCCCACAGTAAACATCATAGAGAATAGTCGAAAACTAGAAGATTTCCCATTGAGAGCTGGAATAAGACAACTATACTCACTCTCACCACTCCTATTCAGCGTAGTACGCAAGTCCTAACCAGAGCAATCAGGCAAGAGAAATAAATAAAAGGCATCCAAATAGAAAAAGAAGAAAATTTATCTCTCTTCACTGATGATATGATTCTATACTTAGAAGACCCTAAAGCTGCCACCAAAAGGCTATTAGAGCTGATAAATGACTTCAGTAAAGTTTCAGAATACAAATTCAATGTACACAATTTACCAGCATTTCTATACACCAATAACATTTAAGTTGAGAGTAACATCAAGAATGCAATTCCGTTTAAAGTAGTTGGGAAAAAAACTAGCTTGGAATACATCTAACCAAGGAGGTGAAAGATCTCTACAATGAGAATTACAAAACAGTCCTGAAACAAAATCATAGACGGTACAAACAAATGAAAAAATCCCATGCTCATGGATCAAAAGAGTCAATATCATTAAAATGGCCACAAGTCCCAAAGCAATCTACAGACTCAACCCTACTCCCATCAAACTACCAAGGTCACTTTTCCCAGAATTAGAAAAAAAAACTATTCTAAAATTCATATAGAACCAAAATAGAGCCTGAATAGCAAAAGCAATTCTAAACAAAAAAGAACAAAGTTGAAGGCATTACACTACCCAACTTCAAACTACACTGTGAGGTTACAGGTACAAAAATAGACACAGACCAATGGAATAGGATAGAGAATCCAGAAATAAACCTGCACCAACCAAATCCAGCAGTACATCAAAAAGCTAATGTACCATGATCAAGTAGGCTTTATCCCTGGAATGCAAAGTTGGTTTAAGATACAGAAATCAATAAATGTATTCACCACATAAACAGAACTAAAAACAAACACCACTTGATCTTTCCAGAAATTATGGGTCCAACTGGCTGCAAGTCCATAGATATCCCCAGGACCTATTATTCAATCAGAGAATAGCAGATTTCAGCACCCTTCCCTAGTTGTGACCAAAATCCTAGGGGAACTGCTTTCCCATGCTGGACTTTCCAGAGGTCCCAACTGGTTCCCTTAGGGCTTATAGTTACATCCAAAGACTTTGGTATCCCCAAAGAAACTATCAAAAGAGTAAACAGACAACCTGCAGAATGGGAGAAAAATATTCACAAACTATACATCTGACCAAGTCTGATCTCCAGGATCTATAAGGAACTTCTACCCCAAAGGGGGTAGCCTAAGGCTTGTGCCTGAGCCCCTAGTATTTCAGCCTTCTGTAATGCCTCATCTTGCTCCTTATGCAGTACCAACTAGTTCAATTTTTCACTAGTCTGTATAGGGGACACAAAGAGCTAAATATGGACAAAAAGCCTACAAATATCCCAAAAGACCTAAGAAACTTTGTAACTGATTTTTTAAGTGTGGGAAATTGTTGTATTTCATTAATGGCTACACCTGGGATAAGGCATGTCTTACCAACCAAGTGACACTGAGGAACTTTACAAGAAATCCTGGGCCTTGTATCTTTTGGGAATTAATGGCTCATCCTCTGGATTGGAGAAGGGTGTACAATGAGTCAAGGTGTTGCTATAGCACTGACAAGTCTTCAGAGGTTAGCACAAATCATCAATGTAATGAAACCATTTAACGGTAGGTGGCAGTGGGCATAAAGTTAAATATCTAGAAGTAATTCCATGACAAATAGTGGGGCTATGTAGAAAACCCTGGGACAACACATGGACTCTCCATTATTGACCATTCCAAGTAAAAGGGAATTGATCCCATGTGTCAGGGTATAAAGCAATAATGAAGAAAGCATTGGCCAAGTCTAATATAGCATGGCAAGTGCCTAGAGTTTGTATTAGTTGTTCTATCACTTGAGCTATATTAGGAATACCAGCATGTATCTCAGGAATCACCTTATTTAATTTCTGGAAGCCTACTCTCATGTGCCAGGTGCCATCAAGTTTCCTTACCTGTCACATAAGACTGAAAGAACTCAGCTGGCCATATAATATTAACTTCAACAAGCTTCTGTACCGTGGCTGTAATCTCTTCCATCCCACCAGGAAGATGGTAGTGTATCATACTGATAATGCACCCTAGGGGAGGGATGTATATAGGTTCCCATTTTGATTCCCTTCTCAAAATAGCTTTTACTGCCCAAACTTGTGTGGAATTCTCCCAAAGATATTTGTAAAGTTGAAACCAAAGTCTAATCTTTTTAGTCACTTGCTTCTTATAGAGTTTTTTAACCCACACAGCTGAAAGCCATACTGCCAAATGCTATAACTTGGTCTTCACTAGCTTCCTTATAGATAACACCTCTGATGTATATGTCACCATGGTAACAATTGTTTGCTTTTTCAGGAACTTAGGGGCAGCCTTTGTCCAGCTTGAACTGGTTGAGACCACCAACCCTTCAACTGAGTCTGTTCAAATGCCCAAGCGACCTTTTAATGTCATAGGGCCAAAAACTTCTCCCTCAGATCCTGCTAATACTGCCATTTTCTGAATATGTGTCCTATGAAGATCTATGAACTCCGAATATGTTTGCGCAGATCACCAATTACCTCATTTACCTCCATTGCTAATCACCTTTTCCCACACCTTAGACCATTCTGCTTTTTTATCCCATAAATATTCCAAGCCCTATCTACAGAAAGGCAGATTTGAGAGCTATTATGTCATCTCCTGACTGGGTGGCCCTGTGAATAAATCTTTTCTGTATTGCAAAACTCACTAATCAGTGATTGGCTTTCCATGCAACTGGCAGAATGGGCCTAGTTTTGTATCAAAGTTCATCCTAAAAGGATGTCCATACCAAAGATATTTTCTGGAATAGGTGAGATTAAAACAGTATACTAACCGGGGGGACTCCACTCAACACCAAGGAGGAGAGGAGTTTGTTTTACTCAGATTGTTCACCCCTGTAATAATCTATAGCTGCCCAATTACCAGGGTATATCTCTGGATTTCCATGAATTAAGATACAGTCTACATCTGTGTCTATTAACGTTAAGGTTCTTTGTTTTTTTTGAAGTCCACTAGATTTTGAGCTTCACATGGCACCTCTAGTTGCCCCCTGTTGCTCACAAATGGAAGCAACCTTAGCCCTACCCCTAGTCTCCAGGCTGGGGAGGCTTCCACCTCTGGAACATGGTAATTGAAGTAATTTTATGTAAAGTTTCTTTTCTTTTGGTGGGGCACTAAGAAGGAGTCTAAACTAATGATCAGGAGGAGGTCTTTCCAAAGGCCCACTAATATGGCATTGGGTTGCTGGTCTATGTTTTTCTTTGTCTAGCACAGGTGAGATCAGATCATACCACACTTGTTTCCTGGTAATCCTATCTGGGCCTTTTAGACCTCCTTTTTTCAGGCTGGCAGGTTTGGCTTCTCCATTTTTTCCTTTTTCTTTAGTAACCAGTTGGACCTTATCTCTTCACTTTTCAGTTTCTCCAGGATCAGCTATAGCTTCCTCCATATTATATACATCTTGTCTCACAAGGGAGCTCAAGAAGGATATGAAAGAACCATGCCAATCATAAAGGGCACCTTGCAATGACTGATTTTTATGCCCATGGCAAACACAACTTTATCTGGTCCTAAAGTTGTTAGGCATATATGACCTGATGCTTGCCAAACTCCCATAAATCGCCCTGTGCTTTCTCCAGATATTTTCATGCTGAAATCTGACCCAGGAAGTCATTTGGCCAAGCCTCCATCATAGCCAAGATAATCCAGTCCGTAAGACTATGATTGCCCTCAAGAATTCTAGCATTATGCAAATGTTTCCTCAAAGGAGGATGAGAGGTTATATTACTAATTTTTTCAGCTTCACTCCCTGCTAGGGAAATGCCATCCACACCAGTATCCCATACTGCACCATCCATGTGGCTATGCCTTCTCTCAGCAACTACGCAAACATTTTTCCTATGTACAATAATTCTGCCAAGATGTACTCTCAGACAGTTAAGTTTTCTGAAAAGGCTGTCTGATATTGCCCAGCTGCATGTGTTAGGCATTTGCTTTCTGCTGTATGAGCGGTCTTGCTCTCAAAAAGGGAGGTTGGTTATCCTCTCCCTCCCTGAAAGAACCTATGTGTCTTCATCTGACTCACCAATGGGTCCCCACAAATTTCAGGTCTTAACATTCCAGTCCATAGACCTAAAACCATAAAAAACCCTAGAAGAAAACCTAGGCAATACTATTCAGGACATACGCATGGGCAAAGACTTCATGTCTAAAACACCAAAAGCAATGACAACAAAAGCCAAAATTGACAAATGGGATCTAATTAAACTAAAGAGCTTCTGCACAGCAAAAGAAACTACCATCAGAGTGAACAGGCAACCTACAAAATCGGAGAAAATTTTTGCAACCTACTCATCTGACAAAGGGCTAATATCCAGAATCTACAATGAACTCAAACAAATTTACAAGAAAAAAACAAACAACCCCATCAAAAAGTGGGCGAAGGATACCAACAGACACTTCTCAAAAGAAAACATTTATGCAGCCAAAAAACACATGAGAAAATGCTCATCATTACTGGCCATCAGAGAAATGCAAATCAAAATCACAATGAGATACCATCTCACACCAGTTAGAATGGCGATCATTAAAAAGTCAGGAAATAACAGGTGCTGGAGAGGATGTGGAGAAATAGGAACACTTTTACACTGTTGGTGGGACTGTAAACTAGTTCAACCATTGTGGAAGTCGGTGTGGTGATTCCTCAGGGATCTAGAACTAGAAATACCATTTGACCCAGCCATCCCATTACTGGGTATATACCCAAAGGATTATAAATCATGCTGCTATAAAGACACATGCACACGTATGTTTATTGCAGCACTATTCACAATAGCAAAGACTTGGAACCAACCTAAATGTCCAAAAATGATAGACTGGATTAAGAAAATGTGGCACATATACACCATGGAATACTGTGCAGCCATAAAAAATGATGAGTTCATGTCCTTTGTAGGGACATGGATGAAACTGGAAACCATCATTTTCAGCAAACTATTGCAAGGACGAAAAACCAAACACCGCATATTCTTACTCATAGGTGGGAATTGAACAATGAGAACACATGGACACAGGAAGGGAAACATCACACACCAGGGACTGTTGTGGGGTGTGGGGAGGGGGGAGGGATAGCATTAGGAGATATACCTAATGTTAAATGATGAGTTAATGGGTGCAGCACACCAACATGGCACATGTATACATAGGTAACAAACCTGCACGTTGTGCACATGTACCCTAAAACTTAAAGTATAATAATAATAAAATTAAAAAAAAAAACAAAAAAATTCCAGTCCAGTTTAGCAAGGACCACTCACACATTTGGCCAGTGCAGCTTCCTTCCTCCCTGGAAAACACAGCAGTAGGCTAGGATTTCCAATTGTGACTTTGAGTTTCGAGCTTATCCATCAGATTAGATGCTAACATGGATGTGAAATTTCTCATTTTTTTTCTAATTGTAATACTTTCTCTAGCTTTTGTACCTTCATCTCAGCTGCTAACTACACTTCTGTGGCCACTTGCAAATCTGTAACAGTGGCCAACCTACTGTTGACACCACCTAGCAACCTTCATTACCCCAGTGGTCAGACAGCTTTCTACTAGCAACCATTCTAGACCCGTTGGCACTTTTGAGGTGTTACCCTACTCACACAGTGGTCTACAGGCATCTAGTAAACAGAAAACATCATTCCATATAGATGAAGAGGACCACTCTGGAATTTCTTCTACTGATGTGTCCTTACTCTTGCCCAAACTTTGGTTCCTAGTCTCCTCCTGCATGGATTTCCAATTATTTTGTGAAAGGAACATATATGCAAAATGACCCCCCAAATGGGGAAGGAGTCATAAAACCAAAGAACAAGGGAGACAAATCCAGTTTGTGGGCAGAAGATGATTTATCGGGAAACTTATGGACAGACATATGGTCTTCAGTGGCAGCAAGACAGACAGATCGCCACACTGTTATTCCCAGGGCTTATAGACAATAGGGAAATACTGTATGTGCTCTATACAGACAATTAAAGGTGATGCTCCAGAACAGACAAGAATGCTATGTCTGTCATGGCCTATCATTCGTGTGATGACATTAAAATTGCTTTGATCTGGCCGGGTGCAGTGGCTCATGCCTGTAATCCTAGCACTTTGGGAGGTCAAGGCGGGTGGATCATGAGGTCAGGAGATCGAGATCATCCTGGCTAACACAGTGAACCCCATCTCTACTAAAAATACAAAAAATTAGCCTGGCATGGTGGGACACGCTTGTAGTCCCAGTTACTCGGGAGGCTGAGGCAGGAGAATCACTTGAACCTGGGAGGCATAGGTTGCAGTAAGCTGAGATCATGCCACTGCACTCCAGCCTGGGCAACACAGCAAGATTCCATCTAAAAAAAAATTGCTTTGATCTAAGGGCAGGATACATGATGAGTACATGTTCTTACATGAGAGATGGTAAATAAAGTAGAAATCAAGAGACATACCCAGGATTGGGGTTAATCAGCAGTCAACATGGTAGATTAGCATCCAAGATGAAGTCACTTTTATTTCCACAAGTTGGGAGACATCTCTGTCTGTCTGTATGTCAAGAGTTTGGTGATCCTTGGATGAAGCTTATCTTACAATACAGAATTCTTTTGTCTGTGTCCTGGGTTATCTTGCCTCCCTAGAAGGTAAAGAAGGTTCTGATTCAACTTATTTACTGAGAGGTATATTCAGATTTGAGGGCAGCATCTTCCTAGGGCATCTTTCTATGCAGACTTGTTGAAGAGGCCTCAGTTTTTACAGCAGTATTGCCCTACCAAAATTTCTCCAGTGATTCAGTATACAGTTTGCTTCCATTAAGCAAATAGAGATGTGAATACTAGTTTTGCCCCCTTGCAATATTGAAAGGTATCAATGAGATCAAAGGAAAGAACTGAGCACAGTAACAAATCAATTCAAACATCTTACAGAACTTAAATCAAGTTAGCAAAACAACTAGTAATGTTGGAAGGAAAGAAAATAATAGATGAAAATCAGAGCCCATAGGCACAAAAAACAGGGATAGCAGTGGTGGTGCCCAATGGGAATTTGACTTCAACAAGAAAGTGAGCAGCTTTCCTCTTTCTTCCATTGAAAGAATGAAAGTGTAAAAACTCTCATTACAGTACCTGGGCTTCTTTTGTCCAATTAATTCTAGAATCTGTGAAACAGAAGAAGCCTGGGTGCCATGAGGGTGGAATGAGAATTTTACAGGTGAGTGTTTGTATCATTACTCATAGTTTCCTAATTGCCACCAGTCTGATCCTCCACTGTGTACCCAACACTGGACTCCATGCCAGATTTTGTTAGGCTTTATACAGTGTTCACATCTTACTATCCCAGTCAACTTAATGGGGCATATTACAAGATTTCTCCATGTTACATTTCCCTGTAAACCAAGGAGGGTAATACCCATCTCACCGGGTTGTTGTGAGGAATAACACATGCACAGAAATCACCCACCCCAGTGTGTGACACATGGGAAATGTCAATATATTACTAGTGATCATTATTATCCTTACTAATGCTTTTTTCTCTGCATGCTTCTTTACATCCTTATTACTCTAGGGATACATCACTATTTTGATCTATAGAGCACTCATTCTCTTTCCTTTTTGTATCTATACTTGGTCATCATGGTACTTACTAATTTCCTCTTCTTTGGATTTTCTGTGTTTCATGGGAGATTTGGGGGATGGGGCACAATGGCTTCAGCTTCTTCTCTTCCAGCCATCTTGACTCTAGATAGGCCATCGTTGTTTCTCAGCATAAAAACAATCATTTAATTAATGAGATGAAAATAAGTATTTATTAAAGTGAGTAAGAGGCTTTTCCTTGGAGTTAGACTACCCTGGGTCCATATTTTGGCTCTACCACTTACACTCCATATATCCTTTGACAAATTATTTAGTGTTCCTAGGCCTCTGTTTTCCAAGGGGTAAAATTTAGATAATTTAGTGATAACTGAAGGAAAGAATACGTTAAAAGTGCTTACAACAGAATTGAATACTCAGTGAATTCACAACTGTAATCATCATTTTTTTTTTTATCATTTTACTCATGTGGCTCTGAATGGTTTGCTTTGCTGGAACATTGACTTCTCACTATTTTTAGTGGTCAGTAATTTTAGTAAAATAGAAACCTGATTTGTGCCCCTTCAAAATTCCTATGTTGGAATCCCGACCCCTAATACCTTCGAATATAACCATATTTGGTGATAAGTTAAAAGGAGGCCCATATGGTGGGGCCCTAATCAATACAACTGCTCTTCTTATAAGAAGAGGAAGAGAGCTAGGTGCGGTGGCTCACACCTGTAATCCCAGCACTTTGGGAAGCTAAGGCAGGCGGATCACCTGAGGTCAGGAATTTAAGACCAGCCTGCCCAACATGGTGAAATCCCATCTCTACTAAAAATTAAAAAAATTAGCCAGGCGTGGTGGTGCATGCCTGTAGTTCCAGTGACTCAGGAGGCTGAGGCAAGAGAATCCCTCGAACCCAGGAGGCGGAAGTTGCAGTGAGCCAAGATTGTGCCATTGTACTCCAGCCTTGGCTACAAGAGTGAGACTCCATCTCAAAAAAAAAAAAAAAAAAAAAAAAACAGAAACCCAGAAGAAGAAGAAAAAAGAAGAAGGAGAAGGAGAAGAAGAAGAAAAAGAGACACCAGGTATGCACATGCATAAAGGAAAGAACATATGAGGACACAGAAAGAAGGCAGCTATCCACAAACCAGAGAGAGAGGCTCAGAAGAAATCAAATCTGTTGATACCTTGCTCTTAGACTTCCAGCCACCAGAACTGTGAGAAAATAAATTTTTGTTGTTTAAGTCACCCAGTCTGTGGTATTCTGTTATGCAGCCCAAGCAAACTAAGACATTTCTAACAATTTACAACAGCATCTCACGATTCCTTAGATTTAATCTTTAGAATGAATCCATCAGAATCGTTTCCTGAAAAAGAATCCTTGCAGGCTGGGCAGAAATTTGCATTTTAACATGTTTCATGGATGATCATTTTGAAATTCAAGGATAAGAACCTCTAGTTAGTCTGCAGAATAAATTCTACAGGCTTTGCTTGTTTGGTTTGGCTCTTCATTCAATCAACCTACCTTCTCTCATTAATACCCTTCATGTTTTGCAGCTTCCAGCTTTTCAATATCCTATAGGTGCACAGTTATACCACACCATTTTGTTATAATTGTACACTTATTATTCCCTCATTTAGAAATTGGCTTTTTTTCATTCACTATTTCATTATCTCAAGAATCTTCCCCTAAGAATAGGTAAAAGTTAATTTCTACAGTGATGACTCCTTTGTCCCATGGCACCTACCCAGGAATCATTGAACAGTTTCTCTTTAATTCTTCCATAGGACACTGTCTATTTTCTTTATAGTTATGACATTACAGTATAATTATTTATGTACCTATCACTTATTAACTGGAATATGAAACTTTATAACATTGATGTCATATTTTACTTATAAACATATAAACATTTTACTTATAAACATATAAACAGATTAAGTATATAAATAAATACCATTGCTTTACAGCAATAGCAGCAGAAAGTTCAAAATGCTATTTGAAAAAATCAACAAATTTGGTGAAATAAACTATCACATAAAGACACTATTCCCTTCCTGTCTACCTCTTATCTTTATTTCCCTATCTCAAAAATCTTAACATCACTGTCACTGGTATGATTTGAACTGAAGCAGAACTTCAGTTACCAAAAGTCAATGTTTATACTTAACATTCCACCTGCTTTAATTAGACAAGAGCAAGACTCTTGTGTTCATTAGTGTTCACTAACTTTTAGTCAAAAGTCAGTCCTCAGCAAGAAAAAGCCATTCTCTTTGCACAAAGCATAATAAAGCAGTACACTTTTAAGTATCCAATATCCCTTTTCTGAAAAGAATGGCATACCATTGATCAGGTATAATTTTAGGTGTATTTTAGGTTGTGTGGAAATTATATCCACCTGAAAGTCCACTGTTGACTTCTCAGAAAGCTCAGAGATCAGGATCTTTCACAGAGTAGTCCTTTAAGAATATTCAGTTGTCAAAAGATAGATGTACCTTTGCCAAATAATTATATCTGTGACTTCGCTGAAACTATCTAGCTGCCTAAACTCAAAGGACTTGAGGAAAGTCCTTCCATTGCTCTTCTGCAGTGGTGTGACAGGGCCCACTGAGAAGAAAATGGTGTAAGGATCCACATGGCACTACTGTGACTTTGTGAAAGGGAACACTTTCTTCTTCTGAACTTATCTCTACAAAGTCATTGTGCTTCCTCTTGGGGATCACCTGTTCTGTCTCGATGGGTTTTGATATGCTCCTGGATCAAGTGGGTGGCCTGGGGAGATTCCAAATCTTTCATCTGATTTTCCTTACAATCTCCATCATTATACATTATCCTCATCTTCTATTGGAGAATTTCATTGCATTCATCCCTGGTCATCACTACTGGGTCCACATCCTGGACAATGACACCGTCTCTGACAATGACACTGGGACTCTCAGCCAGGTTGCCCTCCTGAGGATTTCCATCCCACTGGACTCAAACCTGAGGCCAGAGAAGTGTCGTTGCTTCATCCATCCCCAGTGGCATCTCCTTCACTTGAATGTGACCTTCTCAAACATGAGTGAGCCAAACACGGAGCCCTGTGTTGGTGGCTGGGTATACCACCAAAGCTCCTTCCTCTTCACCATTGTGACTGATGTAAAGGGACATGTTTAGATCTTCTGTTTATATGATCAAGATGTTTGGAGTTAACACAAAGAACAGACTTGCTTTATACCCTTAGTCCTCAGATGGTTACTGTTATCAGCTCTTTCTTCATTCCTTCAGCAGGTAGCAGCAATTGCTCACCAACTCTACAATACAGTCAAGCGCATTAGTATTGAGTGAATGAGCCAAACAAACTCAACATGAACCTCCTATTATATCGTCTAATTTAGTGAGAAAGACCTACAGTGTTTAAAGTAATTGAAATACTGTTTGGCAAACATTATGCTAGGTTAGTGTTCTCAATACTCATTGCAAAACTGATATCCACAGCAAGTAACCTCTGAGTACAGAATCCAGGGATCAGTATTTTTGAAGCACTTCAAGCGATTCAATGTGTGGCCAAAAAAAAAGATAGTTATTGTAGTAGTTGAATTATAAACTGCTAAGTGAAGTCAATGGCAAGGCCCTCATGTGGCCTACATGATGAAAAAAAGCCTTCCTGTAAAATTATGGGTTTCTAATATATTTTTTAAATTTAGGTAACTGAAGTTTTTTAAAAAAATTGTGTCCTTATATGTTTTTAATTATAATACCCAAAGAATGTGTATAACAACACAATAAAAGGTGGTCTGAGGGGAAAATGAATAAAGACATGTAGACACACGAATACAGACTGTTGGAAGGCTGGGAATTGAGAGGGAGAGGCAGCTGCATTTGAAAGCCTGAAATAAGTTTAGTTTTAGAATTTGGGCTACTAGAGCGTAGTGTCTATAGATGAATCTAGAGAGGGAGGCAGGACCCGCATAGCTGAGGATTGTGTACATATGTCAGTGTTTGGAGTCAGTTTCCATAAAAGAGCTGAAACTCTTCTCAAGCTCTGCTATGCTGATTTCCTTCTCTTCTAGTGGTACCTGGTATGTGAATCTCAGTGACTAAAATTAATCGGGTGGTAGTGGCACACTCCTGTAATCCCAGCTACTTGGGAGGCTGAGGCAGGAGAATTGCTTGAGCCTGGGAGGTGGAAGTTGCAGTGAGCTGAGATCGCACCACTGCACTCCAGTCTGGGTGACAGAGTGAGACCCAGTCTCAAAAAAAAAAAAAAAAATTAATGATTCAATCCCTACTTAGGGCTGGGTCACTGCTGGGAGGTCTAATATATGGCCATCTTTCAGACAGGTGAGTGTCATTTAACTTTCTTTGGGGCTATTTTTCAGGTGATATATTCATTTCTTTATTTTATAAATATTTAGTAAGCACTAACTGTATACTTTGCACTGTGCTATGTGCTGATCTCTCTTTCTGACTTCAGGAAGCTACAGCTGATTAAGAATACTTGGTGTTTGAATTAGAAATTATAGTTGGATATGATCTGTTCATTGTACTGCATCAACAAGGACAGAAAAAGACATCTAAATAGGATTCAAAGAAGTTTCAAGAAGGGATTTTTAGAGTAGTTTACAGGATTTTACATTTACATATAGAAGTTAGCTCAATACAGGGAGAGGAAAGCGGTTTGAGGCAGAAGGTGCCTTCCTGTTTGAAAGCACAAATTTGTGAAACAGTGTTATTGGCCTTGAAAATATTCTTAGCCACCTAGATCCTGTGAGATAAATCATTACAGACACTTTTAGACTGGCCATATTTTCCTACCTGCAGTGTAAGTGCTTATGTGCAGTGGATAGTCATTATAAAATCTGAGGGTTGTGCAAGCACTGTGGCACTCGCAGGATTGGAAGACATTGCACCTCTAACCTGGATGCTGATCCTGTGGAATAGCTTTAATAGGTAATTTTTGCAAAGTAAGAACCCAGGATGACTTGGCTTAAGGATGAGATATTTAGGGCTTTCTGTGTCCTGGCAGAGCTCCTTCTGGAGGAGGCAGTCAACCATGGCTGTCACTGAAGCATGTCACCCACAAGGACACTGAGAGGAGTTTAGATGCTCAATGCCATCTAATAGTCTCAGTTAAAACTTGTGACCTTTGAGTCTATCTCACTTACATATTACCTGTATATATTTCTGGGTTAGAGAGTTCATTTTCCCCTTGTGTTCAGACTTAGGCCTCTGTGCCATTAATTCAAATAGCAGAATTAATGAATTAATTAAACATTCGAATTTAAAAAGTGAATAAATAAGGTTTCTCAGGTCATAGGTCCAAGTTAATATCCATTAACAGTAAAAAGATGGGCAGAGGGGGCCAAGATGGCCTATTAGAAGCAGCTGCAGTTGGTGGCGCCCACCAAGAAGAGCAAAAATGGTGAGTGGATCCTGTGCCTTCAACTGAGGTATCCAGGTTCTCTCATTGGGACTGACTAGGCGGTTGGCATGATCCACTGAGAGTAAGAAAAAGCAAGATGGAACGAGGGCCCACCCAGGAGTTGCATGGAGTAAGGGGAGCCCCCACTCCCAGCCAAGGGAGGGAGTGAGTGATTGTGGTACCCTGCCTGAGAAACCACGCTCTTTCCACGGATCTGTGCAACCCATGGATCAAGAGATCCCTCGTGAGCCCACACCACCAGGGCCTTGGGACCCAAGCACAGAGCTGTGCAAGCTCTTGGTGGCTGCCCAGGTTGCAGCCAGTGGCAGCAGGACAGAGACTGCCTAAGAAGACAACCATCACTGTGGCTCCAGTCTGCTGTTCTCCCCTGCTGGTGCCAGGAAGACTGGGCAGTTTGGACCAGCAGGAATTCTCCGCAGCATGGAACAGCAGCTGTGGCAGATTGTGGCCAGACCCTCTGGTCCCAAATGATTCCATCCCTCTGATGTACTACATTATCATGTGTGAAATGTCCAGAAAAGTATTATTTCATTATAGCACACACTCAAAGTCCAGAATCTTACCATTTAAATGAGGTTCAAGTGTAAGTGAGACTACTTACATGGAGTTCTCTGGCTTTTATCTTTGTATTTGTTAATCTGTGAAACTGAAGAGACAAGACACTTGTCTCCAAAACACTCAACACACAATAATAATACAAGCATCCAATTACTACTGTAGACATTCCCGTTCAAAATGGAGGAGACGTGAGACACAAGGAGTTCAGAGCAATTATGAAGTGCACTTAGGCAAATATTAGAAGTTCCTTGAATAGGTCTGGAGGCATGAAAAATGAAAGCAATTTGGCTCTCAGCCACAGCCTCGTGCCACTTGGATCCAACATTTTTTTTAAAAGACAGAACATACCTCTAAGTGAATAGTATTCTCAGCTACCTTCCCACCCAGAGCATTTTGAGGACTACACAGCCTTTTTATTTTTGTACTGTCTTTGCCCCTTGCAGTCAAATTGGCAGCATTTTTCTGATAAAGATTTCTTTAAAAAGTTGTGGATGTTCTGTGAATCTCTTTGTGGTTTATCTTATTAGAGAAAATCTACCCCAACAAATATCTTTGAGATAAACTTTTCACCTTGGGCTTCTGCTGAGATGGTGAAGAAACAGTGCACCTAAGTATCCTAGAGCCTCTGTTGTTTGATTGAGGGGCATGTCCTTAATCTTTTTAAAGGCCCTTTGTTTCTCAGTAATACACAGAATCTTTGACCTTTCTGGGACCTTAAGAAATGTTGTACCGGGCAGACCTGGCAAGACGGCCAAATAGGAACAGCTCCGGTCTGCAGCTCCCGGTGAGATCAACATAGAAGGCAGGTGATTTCTGCTTTTCCAACTGAGGTACCCGGCTCGTCTCATTGGGACTGGTTAGACAGTGGGTGTAGCCCATGGAGGGTGAGCCGAAGCAGGGTGGGGCATTGCCTCACCCCAGAAGTGCAAGGGGTCAAGGAACTCCCTCCTCTAGCCAAGGGAGGCCTTGAGGGACTGTGCCATGAGGAACAGTCCCAGCCCAGATACTATGCTTTTCCCATGGTCTTCCCAACCCACAGACCAGGACATTCCCCAGGGTGCCTACACCACCAGAGCCCTGAGTTTCAAGCACAAAACTGGGTGGCCGTTTGGGCAGACACCAAGCTAGCTGCAGGAATTTCTTTTCATATCCCAGTGGTGCCTGGAATGCCAGCAAGACAGCCATTCACTCCCCTGGAAAGGGGGCTGAAGCCAGGGAGCCAAGTGGTCTAGCTCAATGGATCCCACCCCCATAGAGCCCAGCAAGCTAAGATCCACTGGCTTGAAATTCTCCCTGCCAGCACAGCAGTCTGAAGTCGACCTGGGAACTAAGCTTGAGCTTAGTGCGGGGAGGGGCATCTGCCATTACTGAGGCTTGAGTAGTTGGTTTTCCCCTTACAGTGTAAAAAAGCCACAGCGAAGTTCCAACTGGGCAGAGACCTCCACAGCTCAGCAAAGCCACTATAGCCATACTGCCTCTCTAGATTCCTCCTCTCCAGGCAGGGCATCTCTGAAAAAAAGGCAGCAGCCCCAGTCAGGGGCTTATAGATAAAATTCCCATCTCCCTGGGACAGAGCACCTGGGGGAAGGAGTGGCTGTTGGCGCAGCTTCAGCAGACTTAAACGCCACTGCCTGCAGGCTCTGAAGAGAGCAGCAGATCTCCCAGCACAGTGCACTAGCTCTGCTAAGGGTCAGACTGCCTCCTCAAGTGGGTCCCTGACACCCATGTCTCCTGACTGGGAGACACCTCCCAGCAGGGGCTACAGACACCTCATACAGGAGAGCTCCGCCTGGCATCTGGTATGTGCCCCTCTGGGATGAAGCTTCCAGAGGAAGGAACAGGCAGCAATCTTTGCTGTTCTGCAGCCTCCACTGGTGATACCAGTCAAACAGTGTCTGGAGTGGACCTCCAGCAAACTCCAGCAGACCTGCAGCAGAGGGGCCTGACTGTTAGAAGGAGAACTAACAAACAGAAAAAAATAGCATCAACATCAACAAAAAGGATGTCCATTCAGAAACCAATGCCAAAGATCAAAGGTAGATATACCTATGAAGATGGGGAGAAACCAGCACGAAAAGGCTGAAAATTCCAAAAACCAGAATGCCTCTTCTTCCCCAAAGGATCACAACTCCTCACCAGCAAGGAAACAAAACTGGGTGGAGAATGAGTTTGACAAATTGACAGAAGTAGACTTCAGAATGTGGGTAATAATAAACTCCTCCAAGCTAAAGGAGCATGTTCTAACCCAATGCAAGGAAGCTAAGAACCTTGAAAAAGATTACTGGAACTGCTAACTAGAATAACCAGTTTAGAGAAGAATATAAGTGAGCTGATGGAGTGAAAAACACAGCACGAGAACTTCGTGAAGCATACACAAGTATCAATAGCCAAATCAATCAAACAGAAGAAGGGATATCAGAGATTGAAGATCAACTTAATGAAATAAAGTGTGAAGACAAGATTAGAGAAAAAATAATGAAAAGGAACCAACAAAGCCTCCAAGAAATATGGGACTATGTGAAAAGACCAAACATGCATTTGATTGCTATACCTGAAAGAGAAAAGGAGAATGGAACCAAGTTGGAAAACACTCTTCAGGATATTATCCAGGAGAACTTTACCAACCTAGCAAGGCAGGCCAACATTCAACTTCAGGAAATACAGAGAACACCACAAAGATACTCCTTGAAAAGAGCAACCCCAAGACACACAATTGTCAGATTCACCAAGGTTGAAATGAAGGAAAAAATGTTAATGGCAGCCAGAGAGAAAGGTCGGGTTACCCACGAAGGGAAGCCCATCAGACTAACAGTGGATCTCTCTGCAAAAACCCTGCAAGCCAGAAGACAGTGGGGACCAATATCCAACATTCTTAAGCAAATAATTTTCAACCCAGAATTGCATATCCAGCCAAACTAAGCTTCATAAGTGAAGGAGAAATAAAATCCTTTACAGACAAGCAAATGCTGAGAGATTTTGTCTATGCCAGGCCTATCTTACACGAGCTCCTGAAGGAAGCACTAAACATGGAAAGGGACAACCAGTACCAGCCACTGCAAAAACATGCTAAATTGTAAAGACCATCGATCTATGAAGAAACTGCATCAACTAATGGACAAAATAACCAGCTAACACCATAATGACAGAATCAAATTCATACATAATAATATTAATCTTAAATGTAAATGGGCTAAATGCCCCAATTAAAAGACAGACTGGCAAATTAGATGAAGAGTCAAGACCCATCAGTGTCCTGTATTCAGGAGACCCATCTCACATACTGAGACACACATAGGCTCAAAATAAAGGGATGGAGGAATATTTACCAAGCAAGTGGAAAGAAAGAAAAAAAAAGCAGGGGTTGCAATCCTAGTCTCTGATAAAACAGACTTTAAACTAACACAGATCAAAAGAGACAAAGAAGGGCATTACATAATGGCAAAGGGATCAATGCAACAAGAACAGCTAACTATCCTAAATATATATATGCATCCAGTACAGGAGCACCCAGATTCATAAAGCAAGTTCTTAGAGATCTACAAAGAGACTCAGACTCC
The DNA here is from genome assembly GCF_000001405.40 of Homo sapiens. Taxonomy (NCBI): domain Eukaryota; kingdom Metazoa; phylum Chordata; class Mammalia; order Primates; family Hominidae; genus Homo; species Homo sapiens. The sequence goes on along the minus strand of NC_000011.10, from coordinate 63,259,452 downwards.
CAAAAATAATAGTGGGAGATTTGAACACCCCACTGTCAATATTAGATGGATCAATGAGACAGGAAATTAACAAGAATATTCAGAAATTGAACTCAGCTCTGGACCAAGAAGACCTAATAGACATCTACAGAACTCTTCAGCCAAAATCAACAGAATATACATTCTTCTCAGCACCACATCGCACTTATTCTAAAACTGACTACGTAATTGGAAGTAAAATACTCCTCAGAAAATACAAAAAAACAGAAATCATAACAAACAGTCTCTCAGACCACAGTACAATCAAATTAGAACTCAAGATTAAGAAACTCACTCAAAACCACACAACTACATGGAAACTGAAAAAAAAAAAAAAACTGCTCCTGAATGACTACTGGGTAAATAATGAAATTAAGGCAGAAACAAATAAGTTCTTTGAAACCAATGAGAACAAAGGCACAATGTACCAGAATCTCTGGGACACAACTAAAGCACTCTTTAGAGGGAAATTTATAGCACTAAATGCCCACAAGAGAAAGCAGGAAAAATCTAAAATCGACACCCTAACATCACGGTTGATAAAACTAGAGAAGCAAGAGCCAACAAATTCAAAAGCTAGCAGAAGACAAGAAATAACTAAGATCAGAGCAGAACTGAAGGAGATAGAGACATGAAAAACCCTTCAAAAAAATCAATAAATCCTGGAGCAGGTTTTTAGAAAAGATCACTGAAATAGATAGACTGCTAGCAAGACTAATCAAGAAGAAAGGAGAGAAGAATAAAAGACACAATAAAAAAGTGATAAAAGGAATATCACCAGTGATCCCACAGAAATACAAACTACCATCAGAGAATATTATAAACACCTCTACACAAATAAACTAGAAAATCTAGAAGAAATGGATAAATTCCTGAACAAATATACCCTACCAAGTCTAAACCAGGAAGAAGTCCAATCCCTGAATAGACCAATAACAAGTTCTGAAATTGAGGCAGTAATAGCCTACTAATCAAAAAATGTCCAGGACCAGATGGAGTCACAGCTGAATTCTACTAGAGTTACAAAGAGGAGCTGCTATCATTCCTTCTGAAATTATTCCAAACAATAGAAAAAGAGGGAATCCTCCCTAATTCATTTTATGAGGACAGCATCATCCTGATACCAAGATCTGGCAGAGACACAACAAAAACAACAAAGAAATTTCAGGCCAATATCCCTGATGAACACCTAGATGAAAATCCTCAATAAAATACTGGCCAACTGAATCCAGCAGCACATCAAAAAGCTTATCCACCATGATCAAGTTGGCTTCATCTCTAGGATGCAAGGCTGGTTCAACACGTGCAAATCAATAAACGTAATCCATCACATAAACAGGACCAAAGACAAAAACCGCATGATTATCTCAATAGATGCAGAAAAGGCCTGCAATAAAATTCAACACCATTCCATGCTAAAAAAAAAAAAAAAACTCTCAATAAACTATGTATTGATGGAACATATCTCAAAATAATAAGAGCTATTTCTGACAAACCCACAGCCAATATCATACTGAATGGGCAAAAACTGGAAGCATTCCTTTGAAAACTGGCACAAGAAAAGGATGCCCTCTCTCATCACTCCTATTCAAAATAGTATTGGAAATTCTGGCCAGGGCAATCAGACAAGAGAAGGAAGGGGAGGGGAGGGGAGGGGAGGGGAGGGGAGGGAAGGGAAGGGAAGGGAAGGGAAGGGAAGGGAAGGGAAGGGAAGGGAAGGGAAGGGAAGGGAAGGGAAGGGAAGGGAAGGGAAGGGAAGGGAAGGGAAGGGAAGGGGAGACAAAGAAAGGAAGAAAGAAAGAAAGAAAGAAAGAAAGAAAGAAAGAAAGAAAGAAAGAGAAAGAAAGAAAGAAAGAAAGAAAGAAAGAAAGGAAAGAAAGAAAGAGAGAAAGAGAGAGAGAGAAAGAAAGAAAGAAAAAGAAAAGAAAAAGAAAGAGAAAGAAAGAAAGGAAGGAAGGGAGAAGGGAGGGAGGGAGGGAATCAAATTTTCTCTGTTTGCAGATATCATAATTGTATATTTAGAAAACATCATCATCTCAGCCCAAAATCTCCTTAAGCTGACAAGCAACTTCAGCAAAGTCTCAGGATACAAAATCAATGTGCAAAAATCACAAGCATTCCTATACACTAGTAATAGACAAACAGAGAGCCAAATAATGAATGAACTCCCATTCACAATTGCTAAAAAAGAATTAAATACCTAGTAATACAACTTATAAGGGATGTGAAGGATCTCTTCAAGGAGAACTGCAAACCACTGCTCAGGGAAATAAGAGAGGACAGAAACAAACAGAAAAACATTCCATGCTCATGGATAGGAGGAATCAATATCATAAAAATGGCCATACTACCCAAAGTAATTTATAGATTCAATGCTATCCCAATCAAGCTACCATTAATTTTTTTCACAGAATTAGAAAAAACTACTTTGAATTTCATATGGAACCAAAAAAGAGCCCGCATAGCCAAGACAATCCTAAGCAAAAAGAACAAAGCTGGAAACATCATGCTACCTGACTTCAAACTACACTACAAGGTTACAGTAACAAAAACAGCATGGCACTTGTACCAAAACTGATATACAGACTAATGAGACAGAATAGAGGCCTCAGAAATAACACCACACATGTACAACCATCTGATCTTCGACAAACCTGACAAAAAAGCAATGGGGAAAGGATTTCCTATTTAATAAATCATGCTGGGAAAACTGGCTAGCCATATGTAGCAAACCCAAAACTAGACCCCTTCCTTACACCTAATACAAAAATTAACTCACGATAGATTAAAGACTTAAACATAAGACATAAAACTATAAAAATCCTAGAAGAAAACCTAGGCAATACCATTCAGGACATAGCAATGGGCAAAGTCTTCATGACTAAAACACCAAAAGTAATGACAACAAAAGCCAAAATTGACTAATGGAATCTAATTAAACTAAAGAGCTTCTGCATAGCAAAAGAAACTATCATCAGAGTGAACAGGTAACCTACAAAATGGGAGAAAATTTTTGCAATCTATCCATCTAACAAAGAGCTAATATCCAGAACCTACAAAGAACTTAAATAGGTTTTGAAGAAAAAAAACAAACAGACCAGGCATGGTGGCTCATGCCTGTAATGCCAGCACTTTGGGAGGCCAAGGCAGGTGGATCACCTGATGTCAGGAGTTCAAGACCAGCCTGATCAATATGAAGAAACCCCATCTCTACTAAAAATACAAAATTAGCCAGGCATGGTGGCACATGCCTGTAATCCCAGCTACTCAGGAGGCTGAGGCAGGAGAATCACTTGAACCCAGGAGGCAGAGGTTACAGTGAGCCAAGATCACACCATTGCACTCCAGCCTGGGCAACTAGAGTGAAACTTCATCTCAAAAAAAAAAAAAAAAAATCAGAAAGTGGGCAAAGAATATGAACAGACACTTCTCAAAAGAAGACATTATGCGGCCAATAAACATGAAAAAAGCTCATCATCACTGGTCATTAGAGAAATGCAAATCAAAACCACAATGAGATACCATCTTGTGCCTGTTAGAAAGATGATCATTAAAAAGTCAGGAAACAGCAGGTGCTGGAGAGGATGTGGAGAAATAGGAACACTTTTACACTGTTGGTGGGATGGTAAACTAGTTCAACCATTGTGGAAGTCAGTGTGGCAATTCCTGAAGGATCTAGAACTAGAAATACCATTTGACCCACCCATCTCATTACTGGGTATGTACCCAAAGGATTATAAATCATGCTGCCATAAAGACACATGCACACGTATGTTTATTGTGGCACTATTCACAATAGCAAAGACTTGGAACCAACCCAAATGTCCATGAATCATAGACCAGATTAAGAAAATGTGGCACATATACACCATGGAATACTATGCAGCCATAAAAAATGATGGGTTCATGTCCTTTGTAGGGACATAGATGAAGCTGGAAACCATCATTCTCAGCAAACTATCACAAGGACAAAAAACCAAACACCACATGTTCTCACTCATAGGTGGGAATTGAACAATGAGAACACATGGACACAGGAAGGGGAACATCACACTGGGGTCTGTTGTGGGATGGGGGGAGGGGGGAGGGATAGCATTAGGAGAAATACCTAATGTTAAGTGATGAGTTAATGGGTGCAGCACACCAACATGGAACATGTATACATATGTAACTAACCTGCACGTTGTGCACATGTACCCTAAAACTTAAAGTATAATAATAAAAAAAAATCCTTGTGATTTTTGCACATTGATTTTGTATCCTGAGACTTTGCTGAAGTTGCTTATCAGCTTAAGGAGATTTAGGGCTGAGATGATGGGGTTTTCTAAATATACAATTATGTCATCTGCAAGCAGAGACAATTTGACTTCCTCTCTTCCTATTTAAATATCCTTTATTTCTTTTCTTGTCATGTTGACCTGACCAGAACTTCCAACACTATGTTGAATAGGAGTGGTGAGAGAGGGCATCCTTGTTTTGTGCCAGTTTTCAAAGGAATGCTTCCAGTTTTTGCCCATTCAATATGATATTGGTGAGGGGTTTGTCAAAAATAGCTCTTATTATTTTGAGATATGTTCCATCAATATCTAGTTTATTGAAAGTTTTTTTCATGAAGCAGTGTTGAATTTTATCAAAGGCCTTTTCTGCATCTATTGAGATAATCATGTGGTTTTTGTCATTGTTTTTGTTTATGCAATGGATTACGTTATGATTTGCTTATGTTGAACTAGCCTTGCATCCCAGGGATGAAGCTGACTTGATCATGGTGAATAAACTTTTTGATGTGCTGCTGAATTCAGTTTTCCAGTATTGTATTGAGGATTTTAGCATCGATGTTCATCAGGGATATTGGCCTGAAGTCTTCTTTTTTTGTTGTGTCCCTGCCAGGTTTTCATATCGGGATGATGCTGGCCTCACAAAATTAGTTAGGGAAGAGTCCCACTTTTTCTATCGTTTGGAATAGTTTCAGAAGGAATGGTACCAGCACTTCCTTGTACCTCTGGTAGAATTTGGCTGTGAATCCATCTGGTCCTGGACTTTTTTTGGTTGGTAGGCTATTAATTACTGCCTCAATTTCAGAACTTGTTATTGGTCTATTCAGGGATTCAACTTCTTCCTAGTTTAGTCTTGGGAGAGTGTATGTGTCCAGGAATTTATCCATTTCCTCTAGATTTTCTAGTTTATTTGTGTAGAGGTGTTTACAGTATTCTCTGATGGTGGTTGTCTTTCTGTGAGATCACTGGTGATATTCCCTTTACCATTTTTTATTGTGTCTATTTGATTTTTCTCTTTTTTCTTCTGTATTAGTCTGGCTAATGGTCTATCTATTTTGTTGATCTTTTCAGAAAACCAACTCCTGGATTCATTGATTTTTTTAAAGGGTTTTTCATGTCTCTCTCTCCTTCATTTCTGCTGTGATATTAGTGGGTTTTTTGTTTGTTTGTTTTTTGTCTTCTGTTAGCTTTTGAATTTGTTTCCTCTTACTTCTCTAGTTCTTTTCATTGTGATTTTAGGGTGTCAATTTTAGATCTTTCCTGTTTTCTCTTGTATGCATTTAGTGCTATAAATTTCCCTCTAAAGAGTGCTTTAGTTGTGTCCCAGAGATTCTGGTACTTTGTGCCTTTGTTTTCATTGGTTTCAGAGAACTTATTTGTTTCTGCCTTAATTTTGTTATTTACCCAGTAGTCATTCAGGAGCAGGTTGTTCAGTTTCCTTGTAGTTGTGAGGTTTTGAGTGAGTTTCTTAATCCTGAGTTCTAATTTGATTGCACTGTGGTCTGAGAGACTGTTTGTTATGATTTCTGTTCTTTTGCATTTGCTGAGGAGTGTTTTACTTCCAATTATGTGGTCAATTTTAGAATAAGTGTGATGTGGTGCTGAGAAGAATGTATATTCTGTTAATTTGGGGTGGAGAGTTCTGTAGATGTCTATTAGGTCTGCTTGGTCTAGAGCTGAGTTCAAGTCATGAATATCCTTGTTAATTTTCTGTCTAGTTGATCTAATACTGACAGCAGGGTGTTAAATTCTTCCATTAATGTTGTTTGGGAGTCTAAATCTCTTTGTAGGTCTCTAAGAACTTGCTTTATGAGTCTGGGTGCTCCTGTATTGAGTGAATATATATTTAGGATAGTTAGCTCTTCTTGTTGCATTGATCCCTTTACCATTATGTAATGCTCTTCTTTGTCTTTTTTGATCTTTGCTGGTTTAAAGTCTGTTTTATCAGAGCCTGGGATTGCAACCCCATTTTGTTTGGGTTTTTTTGTTTGTTCATGTGAGATGGGTCTCCTGAATACAGAACACTGATGGGTCTTGACTCTTTATCCAATTTGCCAGTCTGTGTCTTTTAATTGGAACATTTAGCCTTTTTACATTTAAGGTTAATATTGTTATGTGTGAATGTGATCCTGTCATTATGATGCTAGCTGTTTAGTTTGCACATTAGTTGATGCAGTTTCTTAATAGTGTCATTGGTCTTTATATTTTGCTGTGTTTTGGCAGTGCTGGTACCAGTTTTTCTTTTCCATATTTAGTGCTTCCTTCAGGAGCTCTTGTAAGGCAGGCCTAGTGGTGACAAAATTCCTCAGCATTTTCTTGTCTGTAAAGGATTTTATTTCTCCTTTACTTATGAAGCTTAGTTTGGCTGGATATGTAATTCTGGGTTGAAAATTCTTTTTTAAAAAAGAATGTTGCATATTGGCATTCACTCTCTTCTGGCTTATAGGGTTTCTGCAGACAGATCCACTGTTAGCCTGATGGGCTTGCCAATTATTCCAGCACCCTTTGTTGAACAGGGTGTCCTTTCCCAACTTTATGTTTTTATTTGCTTTGTCAAAAATCAGTTGACTGTAAGTATTTGGCTTTATTTCTAGGTTCTCCTTTTTTAGTTTATTTTTTGAGACAGAGTCTTGCTCTGTTGCCCAGGCTGTAGTGCAGTGGCATGATCTCAGCTCACTGCAACCTACACCTCCCAGGATCAAGCAATTCTCCTGCCTCAGCCTCCCAAGTATCTGGAACTACAGGTTTGTGCCACCATGCCCTTTTGTATTTTTAATAGAGACAGGGTTTCACCATGTTGGCCAGGCTGGTCTCAAACTCCTGACCACAAGTAATCCATCCACCTCAGCCTCCCAAAGTGCTGGGATTACAGACATAAGCCACTGCACCCAGCCTATTTCTGGGTTCTCTATTCTGTTCCATTTGTCTATGTGCCAGTACCATGCTGTTTTGGTGACTATGGCCTCATAGTATAGTTTGAAGTCAAGTAATGGGATGCCTCCAGATTAGTTCTTTTTCCTTAGTCTGCCTTTGGCTATGTGGGCTCTTTTTTGGTTCCATGTTAATTTTAGGATTTTTTTTCTAGTTCTGTGAAGAATGTTGGTGGCATTTTGATGGGAACCATATTGAATTTGTAGATTGCTTTTGGCAGTACGGTCATTTTCACAATATGATTCTACCCACCCATGAGCATGGGATGTGTTTCCATTTGTTTGTGTCATCTATGATTTCTTTCATCAGTGTTTTGTAATTTTCCTTGTACAGGTCTTTTACCTCCTTGGTTAGGTGTATACCTAAGTTTTGCTTTTAGTTTTGCAGATATTGGAAAAAGGGTTAAGTTCTTGATTTGATTATCAGCTCGATCGCTGTTTGAGTATCTATGAGGCAAGAGATTCCTAGAGAGTTTTTTAATTCTGAAGAATATAATTTTTAGGTAATGGCTCATTAGTTGATAATTAATGTGAAAATAGGATCATTTGTTCACCAGGGCAACTGGTGCTGAAACAACTGCCTAAAATTTGGCCAAATTTGTTGTTTTGGGGTGTCATTCTTTATTAAGGACACCCTGGCTGAGGAGTGGAAAACAGTCACATTGCACAAAGTTCCATGATGCAAGATGCTTACAGTGCCATTTACACAGTCTACAAACTCCCATTACTATTTACTCAGTTAATCCCATGAACATTTCCAGGCAGTCAAAGGGTCTAGGGGTGATATGGTTTAACTGTGTCACCCGAATCTCATCTCGAATTGTAGCTCCCATAATCCCATGTGTCACAGCAGGGACCCAGCAAGGTGTAATTGAATCATGGGGTCATGTTTTTTCATGCTGTTTTCATGATAGTGAATAAGTCCCATGATATCTGATAGTTTTATAAAGGGCAGTTCCCCTGCACACACTCTCTTGCCTGCCGTGATGTAAGACATGCCTTTGCTCCTCCTTCACCTTCTGCTGTGATTGTGAGGCCTCCCAGCCATGTGAAACTGTGAGTCCATTGAGCCTCTTTTTCTTTATAAATTAACCAGTCTGGGGTATTTCTTCATAGCATATGAAAAATAGACTAATATAGCGGAATGGATGACCTCCTCCAGTACACTAGCACCTGGCAAAACACTGAGGACAGAAGGCCACCGTCTCCCACAGGTGGAATGTACCAGAGACCCAGGTTTGGCTTCGTACTGTCTTAGGGAGCCCTCGGTAGCCTTGCCAAGTTTGTGGGGTGCTGTTTCCCAAACCATAACTGGAGCTGGGTATGGAGAAGCACAGGTTCAGGATCTGTGAGAGCCTCTGCTTCCAGGAGGTCCCAGCAGATAGTCAATCATTTGTTGTTTTAATAGTGAGTGATGCAGGCCAAGAGGGGCAGTTCTTTGTTTATTTTATTTTGTTTTTTGTTTCATCGGAAGCTGTGAGGCAATTGATGACCATCATAAGTGGTTTAGAAACTCCAGAAGATGTATGAAGAAGTTGTCAAAGCCTTTACAGTGAAGATGTTTCTGACTTCACTCACAGAAGTGCCTGCTGATTTTAATTTGTAAGTAAATTTTGTAAATGAGGATGTGTTACCATCAGAACCCAAAAAGTGCTAAGAGATACTAGACTTCTATGTCTTTAAGGAGTGTGTCACATGAGTCTCCTTGGAGGAGGATGTACTCAAAGTAATGTCACACCTGTGTTCCTGGAGAAAGGTGAATATCCTCAAAATCTTGTCTGCAAAGATTGCATGGAATGACAAAGTTATGGAGATACCCCATGGGTATCCTGGAAAAGGTGTCCCTTTAGAGGTCAAGGCAAACTTTGACCTGAGAGGATGTTGAAATAGGAACTGAACAGTACATGAAAGGCAATCAATAAGAGCAAATATTTACTGGTTATTGCTTAAATAGAAGCAGTCAGTTTAATGAAATTGGACATTAAATATGAAAGCCTTGATGGATAGGATCATGACATTAAGCCTGCGTTAATCCATAGTGAGATATCTTTTATTTTATGTTTTCAGATTTAAGAACAGGCAAAATTGGGCTGCCAAATGGAGAAGCAGAGGAGAAAATCAGTCTTTTATTAATTAGCTTTTATATAATAAATTTGAATCCTTGAGGCCCTGTATTAATTTACATTGGGTCAGATTAACTATTTTAACTGGGGATTGAAGGGGTCCCCTTTTATCAAGCCAATTTATGTCAAAGGCTAAATTTATTATTTATTATGTTAGAGTATTTATGTTGAATATGGAATATTTTAAGGCAGTGGATTCTATGACTATGAGAAATTTAAACAAGGATACAGGTTTTTTCTAACTTTTAAGTTCGGGGGTACAAGTGCTGGTTTGTTACATAGATAAACTTGTATCATGGGACTATATCGGACAGATTATTTCATCACCTAGGTATTAAGCCTAGTACTCATTAGTTTTTTTTCTTGATTCTCTTCCACCTTTGGCCCTCCATCCTCCAAAAGGCCCCAGTGTGTGTAATTCCCCTCTACACATCCATGTGTTCCATCATTTAGCTCCCATTTATAAGTGAGAACATGCAGCATTTGGTTTTCTTTTCCTGTGTTATTATGCTAAGGATAATGGCCTCCAGCTCCATCCATGTCCCTCAAAAGGACATAATCTCATTCTTTTTTATGGCTGCTTAGTATTCCATGGTGTATATGTACCACATTTTCTTTATCCAGCCCACCATTAGTGAACATTTAGGTTGATTCCATGTCTTTGCTATTGTGAATAGTGCTGCAATGAACATACACGTGCATGTGTCTTTTTAATTGAATGATTTATATTCCTTTGGGTATATACCCAGTAATGGGATTGCTGGGTTGAATGGTATTTCTTTCTTTAGATCTTTGAGGAATTGCCACACTGTCTTTCACACTGGCTGAACTAATTTACACTCCCACCGATAGAGTATGAGCATTCGTTTTTCTCCACAACCTCACCAGCATGTTTGTTTGTTTTTACTTTTTAATAATAGCTGTTCTGACTGGCGTGAGATGGTATCTCATTGTGGTTTTGGTTTGCATTTCTCTAACAACCAGTAATGTGGGGCTCTTTTTCATATGATTGTTGGCTGCAGCTATGGCTTCTTTTCAAAAGTGTCTGTTCATGTCCTTTGCCCACTTTTCTATGGGGTTATTTATTTGTTTCTTGTAAACTTGTTAAGTTCCTTGTAGAGGCTGGATATTAGACCTTTGTCAGATGCATACTTTGCATAATTTTTCTCCCAGCCTGTTTACTCTGTTGATAGTTTGTGTTGCTGTGCAGCAGCTCTTTAGTATAATTTGATTCCATTTGTCAATTTTTGTCTTGTTTAAATTGCTTTTGGCATCATCATGAAATCTTTGCCCATGCCTACTTCTTGAGTGGTATTTCCTAGGTTTTCTTCCAGGGTTTTTACAGTTTTGAGTTTTACACCTAAGTCTTTAATCCATCTTGAGTTAATTTTTGTATATGGTGTAAGGAAAGGGTCCAGTTTCAGTCTTCTGCATATGGCTAGCCAATTCTGCCAGCAACATTTTTTGAATATGGAATCCTTTCCCCACTGCTAAAGTGAGGCAAACTCATTTTTCTTTATATATATTTAAGTATCTTCTCAAGATTATAGGAGCAGAGTGTTTAAATTTAGTGGAATCCTGGTGTATCATTGTAATTTGAGTCCCAGGGTTGATTAAGCTTGTGAAGTTCTGCCAATTGATGCATTTTAACAAATGTTAAAGTTAAGTTAAAGTCTATGTTATAGAGGCACAAAAGCCAATCAGTGTCTTTTTTAAATCATTTTGTTATATAAGTCCTTTAGTATAGAAATTTAGTATATAAATTTTGGATTTCTAATTGAGTCAAATTATGGAAGTTTGTTTTAACTTATTATATAAAATATACACATATACTTCATTTATCTATTTATTGTATTATGTATGTATATGTAATTTATTTAATTAGCTTTTATTTCCCCCCTGTATCTAGGGGCTTGTTTCTAAATCAGTAAGTAATATAGGGCTAATATCATGTTTGGTAGACCTGGTGTTTACTCAGGACTTAAGTTTAAAGTTCTTTTACTTATTTTTCAGATTCGTAGCCACCTACAGCTTTTTCCTTTTGTGCTGTAGTTTTGTTTGTTGTTTTTGTTTTTAGACTTTTAGTCTTCTGAAGTCGTGGCTCTTAGTTTTAATTTCTGATTTAAAAAAAGAGAGAGAGACAGGGTGCTGGTCCATCTAAGCAGTAGTCTCTCTCTTGAATCACCCCAGACTGCAAGATAATCATTACCTCCCTCCCACATAGGGACCTTGCTTTTTCTTTTAAGTAAATATTTAGAATAACTAGGCGCTAAAAAGTTTTTTTTTTTTTTTGAGACAGAATTTATTTTACTCTGTTGCCCAGGCTGGAGTGCAATGGCATGATCTTGGCTCACTGCAAACTCCGCCTCCCAGGTTCAAGCAATTCTCATGCCTCAGCCTCACAAGTACTTGGGATTACAGGCATGTGCCACCACACCTGGCTAGTTTTTGTATTTTTAGTAGAGACAGGGTTTCACCATGTTGGTCAGGCTGGTCTCAAACTCCCGACCTCAGGTGATCCACCCACCTCGGCCTCCTAAAGTGCTTGGGATTACAGGCAGGAGCCACTGCACCCAGCCTAAAAAGAATGTGTTCCCTCGCTCTCTCAATGTTTATGTGACAAGCTTCTGGTGGCTGTGAGTGGCCTCCCTTGTGAGCCTTGGCTTTCATTAGTGGTTCTCTTCAGCCCCATTTACTGACAGCCACCTCCTTCTTTTTTTTTTTTTTTAGGTCATGAGTTTATTGTCCAGTAGTCGGGCAGGCTTGTGCCTTTCCTTATTTGTCAGATTCTTTCATTTGCTGATTCTGTTTAAGCTCAAGGGTCAGTCACTGTGAAATGAATTTGCACCTCGTTTTCTCTTTAGGCTCCAAGACTCCCAAGAACTCCAGGGCTCCCACTTTCCCCATTCTGTGGGACTCCTTAGGGCCCAGAAGAGTGTGCTGTGCAAAGTTGGCTTTTAGAAAACTGGCTAGCTAGCTTGCTGGCTCCTCCACTTTCCTCTCCAAAACTTCAGAATTCACCACTCACTGTCCTACCAGAAATCCCCTAGAATTTTAAGGTCATGCTTACTCACAAAGTCTTGAACCCTTCTAAACACACTTCCCAAGAGACTGACTTATCTGGAATCTCATCTCTATAGAGAAGCAGCCTCTTCATCTCCCTTCAACTATCTTCCCATACTTCTCTGAACAATTTTTCTTGTCCTGCCAATTCAGTGTGATTGAAAACCTGAAAACCACTTAGCAGAGAATCTGGGCTTACATAGTGCTTGCCTGTGCAGTTGGAGACAGAGGAGGGAGAAGGAAGCACCGCAAATACTGCATGCTGCAGATTCATCTACTCACAGATTCAGACCTAGGAAAACTGTAGAGAAGACCCTCAACTCAGTGTCCATTCCAGAGAAGGGGGAAGATGGAGGAAAATGTTTCAAGATGAAAGGGCCCAATGCAGAGGATGCCCTGCTTTTGAAAAAGCTACAAGATGAGGATCCACATATAGCCTGCTGGAATTCCTTTTAGTCTGTTTCCTGATACCTGGTACCCAAGTGCAAATTATGACGTCCTAGTCTGCTGCATAAATGTCTGTACTGAACATCTTCCTTGTAGGGGAGGAAGGATCCCTTGGTTCAGTGTACTTTTTCCATCATAATGAGCATACCAGAGTCAAAATGGGAGCCCAGTGGCCTTCATGACCAAAAAGGTCCCTGGGATTGAGACCACCCTGCCTTCCACCTGAGAAGGAGTTTAGCCCTGTTCACCCTGCTTCTCTGTTCCTCACACTAATAGACTCCCAAGCAGAAACTGTATGGTTGTGAGTTATTGTGAAAACAAAAGTGTGAATCATTGTCTTTTATAGTTGTTGATTTTGTCCAGTAAACCCGAGGTAAAGAACACTCTGTCTCTGATGAATGTGATCAGAGGAAAAAGAGAAAAGAAAAAACAACAACCATGAATATGCAACCAGAAGAAGACAAACTACAGAAGGGTTTTTCCAATATGAAGAACTCTTATCTCAACCATCTATTTCAGGACTTGGAGTTTAAGCAATAAAATAATATACTATAAAAATGTTTACAAAATAGCAGTACACTCCGTGAAACACATGAATAAAACAAAATGAAAAATAAGAGACTCTTAAATTTTTTTCCATCTTCAACCTTCGCACTCTGAAACAAGAAATAATCTGTGTATAAAATAATTCTTCAAAGTAGCCCCATTCTGATTTTTCTTTTTTACTTAAAAAGGCAAATATTTTAACAAATGGCTTCATTACCTGTTCGATTACAATTGTGAAAAAAAAAAAAAAAGAGTTGTTGCTCCAACCTCTTTACTAACTGAATGCCTCTATCGCAAGGACAAAAAACCAAACACCGCATGTTCTCTCGCATAGGTGGGAATTGAACAATGAGAACACATGGACACAGGAAGGGGAACATCACACACTGGGGCCAGTTGTGGGGTGGGGGGAGGGGGGAGGGATAGCATTAGGAGATCTACCTAATGTTAAATGACGAGTTAATGGGTGCAGCACACCAACATGGCACATGTATACATATGTAACAAACCTGCATGTTGTGCACATGTACCCTAAAACTTAAAGTATAATAAAATAAATAAATAAAAAAATAACAATAAAAAAGAAAAAAGAACAGAAGAGGAAAAAAAATTCATGTACACTGAATACAACTTTGCAATAAAATTACCAAAAACAAAAAAGGAAAAGGAAACAAAATGCCACCCCCTGATGTTCAGCCATCTGTCTTTGCACCCGCAATAACTTTACTTTCCATGTCCAAAGAAGTATAAAGATGTAAAATTAGGTATTTAAAGAAATAAAATGAAGATCCTCTGTGTCATCAGAATGGTAACAGATCTTTGTTTTTAGGCTTTTCTGAGGAATGTTGTGATGGGGATGTCAGCAGAAAGAGGTGTCTCTTGTGTCCTGGTAGGAACACCAGAAATGTGTACCCAAGAATGTCAGATACCAGAGGTGAAGAGTAACCCAGATGGAGGCAGGGAGGGAGGGGGCAAGAGAGAAGAGGGGAGGAGTATTCAGCATGACTTGCATAAACCATGCCATCTATTGCTAGGGAAAAATTTTTCAAAGTGCTTTTCGAATGGAATGGTTTAGAACAATGCTAACCTGTGGAGCAGACATGCCAATCAGCACCAAAAATTAGTTTTTCCTAAGAAGGAATGCCAAGGTCACGTTACCCTTTTTAATACAATAAGAGAAAAGATTCCATTCTGGATGCCACCCCAGGTCTCCATCTGCCTCCATTTCATGTGAGTTTTGGTTACAGCCCATAGCTACATTTCCCCCATTAGATAGCAATACTGTGGTGTCCGCAATGAACTGCATTTGGAAGAAGCAAGATGTCACAGGACAAGAAATCCAGAAGCCAATCACCTGTGTCCAACTGGCAAAATAAAACATCTTATTTAGGTAGCAGCTAATGTAGACAGCAAGAGTACCCAACATAGAGATCCAACCACACTTCTGACTTAGTAACAGGTGGCTGAGAGTAAAGGTGCTTCTCCGTCCCAAATGGTTCAATCATGTTGAGAGATTGTTTTGTACTCCTTCCCCATCAAGTCCTTCCTTATTTCCAATTCCTTCTTGAGTTCATTGCTTTATAATCTAATCATGCCATAAATGGCATACACAGTTCCTTGAAATTATACTACAAGGGGGTGTATGTGCTAGCTCACAACATGAAAAAAAAAAGTCTCCTCTAATTTGTTTCCATATTGCAGACATACATATTCTCTAACTACCCTGCAGGTTTTCCTGCAAGCATTTTACCATTACTTTTACATAATCAAACAATAACTGTTCGAATATACGAGGGATTCCCTTATGCTGTACTTCAAATAAGCACCAAAGGCTTTTTCTTATTCTGTTTTTATAGGACTATTTTCTGTCACTTCTAAAAGATCTTTAAACACGAACTATGTGGGGGCAGAGGTTTTTTTTTTTAAGTTTCGCCCTAAGATACAAAGAACAAAACATAACCAGAAAGAAGGAGACAGCAGATTATGAATGCGCCTCTCAGCTGGACTGCCATCCTCACAGGTCGATATCTCACAGGTCTATAGGGGTGCTGGCTTGGCCCAGTTCATCCTCTGACTTGGATCTGTCCTGCTGGTCCTGATGGCACTGCTGCAGGCTGTTGAGGAAGACCACCTCAATATGCTCCCGGTTGGCTTTTGAGACAATCCACATCTGTGTTGGTGATCTTTGCCAGCAGCTCAGTCAGGGCATTGCAAGGGAGTGAGCTCACTTCCTCATGTTGCTGAAGTCCACAGATAGCTGCTCCTACACTTCCAGTTGCAACCATTGATGGCGGGTACATTGCATACAGAGCATTGAAGTTCTGGACTTGCTTGCAGATTGGAGACAGCTTCTCCCGCTGCTGGGGCAGCTTGTGCAAGATGTACTAAATGAAGTCATGAGGCGTGACAGCTGCCAGGTTCCACTTCAACTTTCCCAACACCACCAGTTCCCACTCCAGCAGCTCCTGAGGCTTGATGGAGTTGTCGGTATAAATGCACAGCTTTTTGGCAGTCAGTGGGCTGGACTCTTTGAGCCTGGAGGCCAGGAACATGCAGACAGCACCCAGGAGTTGCAGATGGGACTTTGAAGTTGGGATCCTGGCGAAGAAACAGTCCAGGTAAATCGTGGCCAGAGGGAAAACCTTTTCTTCACACTTCTGTTCCTCACAGACCTCCAGCATTAGTTAACAGGTGGCTGAGAGTAAAGGTGCTTTTCCATCCCAAATGGTTCAATCATGTTGGCCACCATCAGAAGTGGCCACCAATCAAATGGCCACCATCAGAAGTGGCCACCATCCTGTGCATGTACGGCTGGATGGCCTTCTGCACACACTTGAAGTAGGAGCATTACTGAAGGTAGCGCTTCTTGATAGCAAGCAGGTTCTTCAGGACACGGTCAACTTGGAGTAGGTTGCAGTCCCTCGTGGCTCTGAGGACCGGGTCTACCTCACAGCCCAGCAGCTGCATGGCCAGCTCTGTGACCCCTCACTCCCCTGCTTTCTCTGGACTGGAAAAGTGTGTTTGTTTTTGTTTTTGTTTTGGAGGGGGAAGGCAAAAGCATTCCCCTCATCTCCTTCCTTTGGCTCAATAGGGGGTTTTCAGAGGAGAGGTGAGGGCAGAGACAGAAGGTGGAGGAGAAGAGAGGTGAGGATTGGGCAGTGGGCGAGCAGAGCTTCCCTGCCTGCCTCGCTCACATCTCTCCTCCCCTTCGAACTCCACCTCCTTCTTTAGTGTGTCCCAAGGAACCTTATTTGGGTTGGGGCCAAAGAGCAATAGAAACGAGGGAAGGCAGCAACATAGGGATCACAGTCTATGAGGGTTAATATTGAGTGTCAACTTGATCAGATTGAAGGATGCACAAAGTATTGTACCTGGGTGTGTCTGTGAGGGTGTTGCCAAAGGAGATTAACATTTGAGTCAGTGGACTGGGAGAGGCAGACCCACCCTCCAGCTGGCTATATCACAATCACACAGGAAGAGGAAGTTTTAACTAGGCTGAAGTGATGGGGTATAGCTGAGTTTCAAATAACTTATGTCAGACCTAAAAAGGCATGCCAAGGAAGCAACGATATTAAACAAGTCTACTAAATATGACACTATTCTTAGATGGGAAAACAGGAGTCATGCAAGTGTTATTGCTGTATAGCAGTTCTGAAATCCAGCTGGGCAAATATCGAGTGCCCCTTGATAAAGACGCTATCCTACTCCTGCCAATGAGTTATTCTATACAGTTGTTGGTTCTGACATCTGGTCTCTGGGTTCTGCCTAAGAGACATCCTTCCTTTTATATTAAAGTTAGTATGTGGTTTTCGGTGTGTGGTTTTTTCCACCTGCTCTCTGAAAGTAGAATCCAGGGGTGGAGGGGGAGGTAAATAGCACCATTTCATTTTGTACATTCTCTGTTAGTTTCTGTCCCAACTAGCAGTGTTTCTGCCCATGTAATTCTATTAAACTTTTTCTTGGTCTCTTGTGACTCTTACTGGAATCTGCTCCATTAGACAAAAGCCACACCCAAAATATCTCCATTCATATAGATGGACTATGATATTCTGCTGAGAGGTAATGACATTAAGATTCTTAGAAACCTCATTTCTGTTTGACAGAGTTTGAATGTAATATCCTTAACCATCTTTAGAGAGCTTTTTGTCTGGGCTACAATCTCAGTTTATTGTCAGTACTTAACAAAAGGCCATTTAAGCTGCACAGTCTGGTGGTTCAGAGACCCTGTTGCCCACCAATGTTGTGCCTCACCTCAGTGCATACCCTCAGGTGCTTGGGTGTCTGTTGTGATCAGATGACAGAAGAAAATAGCCTTTCTAGGTTCAGATATAGAATGACTTGGTATATGGGAAAAGTAAAACTTAGTGAAGTAATGCTTCCCTCTGGGGGCCTTGATAGTCACTGATGACTGTTAACCCTCTCAATGCATTGAGCTTCAAGTAATACAACTGATTATCTACTTTGTGTATAAATAAGATAATCCTGAGGTAAGAATACAGAGACTAGGAGCTCCAGATGACTTTGTTTGATGGACTGGACCTATAAACAGAAAGATTGGATAATAGGAAGGAAAGAGGTCTGGGAAAGAGGCATGGGGATGCACCTGTGGAGTGGGCATGAGGTGTGAAGGTCTTTCTATTACATGGAACACCGTGGAAGAAGGAGAGAAGCACTAACCAATCAAATATCCATAATGACAGAGTTGAAGTCCACCAGGCTCTGTCATTAGCCTCTCCAATGCAAGCAAACAGGGTTCCTTCTGTGGCTCAATTCCAGACTTTTCTGAAGGGCCATTCCAGGTTCACATCTCCCCATGGAATGGCTTCAGGCCTGTTTTGCAACTATATTATGGTTCAACAATTAGCTCCAATCAATCATATTTCATCATGCACTTACATAAGAGCATGCCTTAGTAAACCCCTTGCACACACATTTCTGCCTCAGAATTTCTTTCCCAACCAAGACAAATACTAATATTTTCATGTGCCTGCAGTTAAACATGACAAGATAGCATGAATGTTGTTTCTGCATTTTGAGCTAAAGCCATATCAAGTCAGTCAATGCTACAAATTTTTTTTTATGGTCTCATTGTGTAAGTTAGTAGAATTGACTAGATTTGTGCTGGCTTGTTTGGAATGAGTAAAAGTAAATAGTCAAAGGATAAAGTGCTAATTTACTAGTTGCATAACAGGTTGGATGGGAGTACCATTTACACAGACAGGCCTTGCTCTCACAGGAGATGACAACCCCATGCATGTTACTGCTCCAGAAGACCTTCTAGTGAGACAAGATGTGAAGATGGAAAATGGTGATATTAATGATTATGACCTTGTGTAGGCTTAGGCCAATGTGAGAGTTTGGTCTTTATTTTTAACAAAAAAATTTAAAAAGCAAAAAATAAACTTAATAGAAAAGCTTATAGAATGAACAAGGATATAAAAAAATTCTTGTACAGCTGTGCAACATGTTTATATTTTAAGTGTTATTACAAAAGAGTCAAAAGTTTTTTAAAAACTAAAAAGTTTATAAAGTTACAAAATTACAGTAAGCCTAGGTTAATTTATTATTGAAGAAAGGAAAATGTTTGTTTATATATTTAGTGCAGCCCAAGTGTACAGTGTTTATAAGGTATATCTTATGATTTAAACTTGAAACAGATTTCATTATAATCTGTTGGAATTAACACAACAAAAACATTTTTCTTTGACTCTAATGAAAATGACTAACTTCCAGATCCCCAAAAGTGCCTTCACATTCACTCACCACTCACACACTGACTCACCCAGAGCAACTTCCAGTACTGCAAGATCCATGCTTGGCAAAACCCTATAAAGTGTAATTTTTTTATCTTTTATCTTTTATTTTTACTCTAACTTTTCTATGTTTAGATACGTTTAGGTACACAAGCACCAATGTATTATAATTGCCTACAGTATTCAGTGAAGTAACATACTGTACAGGTTTGCAGGATATGAGCAATAGGCTATACCATATAGCCTAGGTGTGCATTAGACTACACCATATAGGTTTGCGTAAGTACACTCCATGATGTTCACACAACAAAATCACATAATAATGCATTTCTCAGAGCATATTCCTGTTGTTTTGAGATGCATGACTGTGAACATTTTATATCAGAGTGTGAATATTTAAGTACCTATCCCTTACTCACTATAAGAACCTTGAAGACCTTATCTTGCACTTATTGTATCCCTGGAACGAGCCCCGAAAAGTTTCTCACAAATGCAGTGTGAATAAATCAACAAGCCTAGAAAAATGAGCTTGCCATGGCTTACTCTGCCCTCCTTCACTACCCTGACTCTGCCCTTTCTGAAAAACTTATGTTTGAAATGAGTTTCTGCTGTGATTTCACCTGAAGCAGAGAGCTGTTAAAGGGGAAGGACTGTACCATGTTTAAATTGCTCTAATTAGCTCACACTAACTCTTTAAGCCCAAATTCAATACTGAACAAGAAAAGCACTTACTTTCAGTACTTTCACAGGAAGATTTCTAAAAGTGCATCCCTTTTGATTGTCACAAATTACACATTCTGGAAAAGACTGCTAACAATATAGCATGTTTATTTTACTGTATTTACAGAAAATGTGGAGATCAAAGGTTGATGCTTTTGTGAGGTGCTGCTGATAACATAAATTTTCACAAAGTAGAACTTTAAACAGATTTCATTGACAACTGTTGGAGTATCCAAGCAAAATATTTTTCTTTGACTTTAATAAAAATTGCTATCTAATCCCCAAATGATAATAAGATGTGTAACCTTCCATGGTCCTGCTGCAAATGTGATGCAGGGCCTATTAAAAGAAAGTGGATCAACATACACTCAATGGGACTTCAGGAAAGGAAACATTTTTTCTCTTTGAACTTATCTGAATACAGTCATTTTGCCTCCTTTTAGGGATAATCTCTTCAGCCTCAATGGTATTTCAGGACTTCTTGGATCAAGTTGGTGGCTTGGGGAGATTTCAGATCCTTCAGATGGTTTTTCTTATCATCTCCACCTTTATAGTTTGCCCTCGTGTTGTATGGAGAATTTCACTGCATTCATCCTGGTCACCACTGCTAGGTGCACATCATAGACAATGTCATCGTCTTGGACGAAGAAACTGTGATCCTCAGCCAAGATGCCCTCCTGAGAATCTCTATCTCACTGGACTCAAACCTGAGGCCACAGAAACGTTGTCACTTCATCCATCCCCAGTGGCAGCTCCTTCACCTGAATGGGACATTCCTCAATATGAATGAACCAGACATGGAACCGTGTGTGGACAGCAGGGTGTACAACAGAAGCTCCTTCCTCTCCACCATCGTGACTGGGTAAGAGGCCCCAATTTCCTCCTACATACACAACTACAGTGTTTACAAATAACACAAGTAATTAACATGCTACCAGCATTTTGTCACATGTAGGTGCTTATTCTTCATTCTTTCAGCAAATATTAATTGCTTCTCTGTTAAATACCAGACCCCTATGCATTTTATAAGTCTAGTGATTTCAAAAGTAGACATGTACACTGCTATCATAGTGCTTTCATTCTTGGGAAGACCAAAGTTTAGGCAAGTATTTCATGTATTTTGTTATAAATTGTATGCCGAATCAGTAAGGCTCAGCCTGTGGTTGCAATTAAAAATACTGGGAGGTTGATCAAAACCCCCATGCCCAGACTGTACACCCAGAGTGGTCATAGGAGAAGGTCTGCAGTGATAATCACGAATCATTAAATTTTTTAAGGTTCACAAATGATTGCACTCTATGGCAAAATTTGAGAACCACACTTAGTATGGAGCAAAAGTGGTTGTTAATATAACCTACAGTTTTAGAGGCAGCTTCCTAGAGAAAGTTGTTGAAGCTGAGACCTGAATGATAAAGGTCAAATAGTAAAGAAAAGGGAGGCTACAGAGGAAGATAGAGGCCTGCTGTAATGAAACATTCAGGTCATGTTCAGGAGTTTTGATCAGGTTCCTCTGAGGCGTTTTAAGTTGCTATAAAACTCTACGATGCTGGTTTTTATTTCTTCTAGTGGGACCTGGTATGTGGATCTCAGTCACTGAATTTAGTGGCTACATTCTTATTCATGGAGTGGTGGTGAAAGGCATCCAATATGGCCATTTATCAGACAGATGAGCATCTCTGTTCAAAGATCACTATACTAGTGAGTATTTCCATCCACTGATTAAATATTTATTCATTGAGAAATATTTATTGCAAATCACACTGTCCTGGGGCTACCTTGGTCTTCAGGGATCTAGAAACACAAATGGAGTACTACAATCTGTGTGGTGAGGGCTATCCTGTCAGCACTGAGTGTTGTGTACAAGACACAGAAATGACATCTCCATTAAGCCTGACAGGTCAGGGTTTGGAAATCTGGTGCCACAACATGTGATTTAGAAATATGAGAACAGTTACTGTCTTAGTCCATGTTCTGCTGCTATAACAGAAGGTCACAGGATAGGTAATTTATTCACAATAGAAGTTTATTTGGTTCATGTTTATGGAGGCTTGGAAGTCCAAGAGTTTGGCATCAGCATCTGATGAGTAACTTTGTGCTGTATCATCTCACAGCAGAAGGTGGAAGGGCAAGCAAGGTCACAAGACAGAGAATGGGGGCTGGATTTCATCCTATCATCAGGATCCCCTCCTGCAATAACCCACCTCCGCGATATCCACATGAACCTATTCACCTCTTAAAGGTCTCGTCTCTTTTTTTATTTCAACTTATATTTTATATACAGAGGGTATATGTGCAGGTTTGTTATGGGTATATTATACCCAGGCAGTGAGCACAGTACCCAACAGTGGGGTTTTTTCAACCTATACCTTTCCTCCCTCCTTCCTCCCTCTAGTAGTCCACAGTGTCTATTGTTCCCATGTTTATGTCCATGTGTGCTCAATGTTTAGCTCCGACTTACAAGTAAGAACATGCAATATTTGGTTTTCTGTTCCTGCACCACCTCTTAATACAATCACAATAGCAATTAAATTTCAACATGAGTTTAGGAACAGACATTGAAACCATAGAAGTTACCTATGAGAACTGAAAGACAGATATTTCATGACATGGAATTCAGCCTGTTTGAAAATGAAGATATGGAGAACAGTGTTCTATGCTGGATACAAGGGAGCCACAGCCCAGACAGGGGAACCGGTAGATAGTTAGAAGATGAAAGCATTAGGTAAGCTAAGTGTGAAGAAACAGAGATGCATATAGTTAATAAAAAGAAGAAGGGGGTGGAGCCAAGATGGCCAAATAGAAACAGCTCCAGTCTACAGCTCCCAGGGTCAGCGATGCAGAAGATGGGTGATTTCTGCATTTCCAACTGAGGTACTGGGTTCATCTCACTGGGGAGTGCCAGACAGTGGGTGCGGGACAGTGGGTGCAGGACAGTGGGTGCAGCACACCGTGCATGAGCCAAAGCAGGGTGAGGCATCACCTCACCCAGGAAGCACAAGGGGTCAGCGAATTCCCTTTCCTAGTCAAAGAAAGGGGTGACAGACGGCACCTGGAAAATTGGGTCACTCCCACCCTAATACTATGCTTTTCCAATGGGCTTCACAAACGGCACACCAGGAGATTATATCCCACACATGGCTTGGAGGTTCCTATGCCCATAGAGCCTCACTCATTGCTAGCACAGCAGTCTGAGATCAAACTGCAAGGTGGCAGCAAGGCTGGGGGAGGGGTGCCTGCCATTGCTCAGGCTTGAGTAGGTAAACAAAGCTGCCGGGAAGCTCGAACTGGGTGGAGCCCACCACATCTCAAGGAGGCCTGCCTGCTTCTGTAGGCTCCACCTCTGGGGGCAGGGCACAGACAAACAAAAGACAGCAGTAACCTCTGCAGACTTAAATGTCCCTGTCTGACAGCTTTGAAGAGAGTAGTGGTTCTCCCAGCACGCAGCTTGAGATCTGAGAACAGGCAGACTGCCTCCTCAAGTGGGTCCCTGAACACCAAGTAGCCTAACTGGGAGGCACCCCCCATTAGGGGTGGACTGACACCTCACACAGCTGGGTACTCCTCTGAGACAAAACTCCCAGAGGAATGATCAGGCAGCAGCATTTGCAGTTCACCAATATCTGCTGTTCTGCAGCCACCGCTGCTGATACCCAGGCAAACAGGCTCTGGGGTAGAGCTCCAGTAAACTCCCACAGACCTGCAGCTGAGGGTCTTGACTGTTAGAAGGAAAACTAACAAACAGAAAGGACATCCACACCAAAAACCCATCTGTACGTCACCATCATCAAAGACCAAAAGTAGATAAAACCACAAAGATGGGGAAAAAACAGAGCAGAAAAACCGGAAACTCTAAAAATCAGAGCACCTCTCCTCTCTAAAGGAACGCAGCTCCTCACCAGCAACAGAACAAAGCTGGACAGAGAATGACTTCAATGACTTGAGAGAGGAAGTCTTCAGAAGATCAAACTACTCTGAGCTAAAGGAGGAAGTTTAAACCAATGGCAAAGAAGTTAAAAACTTTGAAAAAAATTAGATGAATGGATAACTAGAATAACCAATGCAGAGAAGTCCTTAAAGGACCTGATGAAGCCGAAAACAATGGCACAAGAACTACGTGACAAATGCACAAGTCTCAGTAAACAATGCGATCAACTGGAAGAAAGGGTATGAGTGATGGAAGATCAAATGAATGAAATGTAGCGTGAAGAGAAGTTTAGAGAAAAAAAGAATAAAAACAAATGAACAAAGCCTCCAAGAAATATGGGACTATGTGAAAAGAACAAATCTACGTCTAACTGGTGTACCTGAAAGTGACGGGGAGAATGGAACCAAGTTGGAAAACACTCTGCAGGAAATTATCCAGGAGAACTTCCCCAATCTAGCAAGGCAGGCCAACATTCAAACTCAGGAAATACAGAGAATGCCACAAAGATACTCCTCAAGAAGAGCAACTCCAAGACACATAATTATCAGATTCACCAAAGTTGAAACGAAGAAATGAAGGAAAAAATGTTAAGGGCAGCCAGAGAGAAAGGTCAGGTTACCCACAGGGAAGCCCATTAGACTAACAGCTGATCTCTCAGCAGAAACTCTACAAGCCAGAAGAGAGGGGGGGCCAATATTCGACATTCTTCAAGAAAAGAATTTTCAACCCAGAATTTCATATCCAGCCAAACTAAGCTTCATTAGTGAAGGAGAAATGAAATAATTTACACACAAGCAAATGCTGAGAGAGTTTGTCACCACCAGGCATGCCCTAAAAGAGCTCCTGAAGGAAGCACTAAACATGGAAAGGAACAACCGGTACCAGCCACTGCAACAACATGCCAAATTGTAAAGACCATCAAGGCTAGGAACAAACTGCATCAACTAACAAGCAAAATAACCAGCTAACATCATAATGACAGGATCAAATTCACACATAACAATACTAACCTTAAATGTAAATGGGCTAAATGCTCCAATTGAAAGGCACAGACTGGCAAATTGGATAAAGAGTCAAGACCCATCAGTGTGCTGTATTCAGGAAACCCATGTCACTTGCAGAGACACACATAGGCTCAAAATAAAGGGATGGACGAAGATCTACCAAGCAAATGGAAAACAAAAAAAGGCAGGGGTTGCAATCCTAGTCTCTGATAAAACAGACTTTAAACCAACAAAGATCAAAAGGGACAAAGAAGGCCATTACATAATGGTAAAGGGATCAATTCAACAAGAAGAGCTAACTATCCTAAATATATATGTGCCCAATACAGGAGCACCCAGATTCATAAAGCTAGTCCTTAGAGACATACAAAGAGACTTAGACTCCCACACAATAATAATGGGAGACTTTAACACCCCACTGTCAACATTAGACAGATCAATGAGACAGAAAGTTAACAAGGATATCCAGGAACTAAACTCAGCTCTGCACCAAGCGGACCTAATAGACATCTACAGAACTCTCCACCCCAAATCAACAGAATATACATTCTTTTCAGCACCACACCACTCCTATTCCAAAAGTTGACCACATAGTTGGAAGTAAAGCTCTCCTCAGCAAATGTAAAAGAACAGAAATTATAACAAACTGTCTCTCAGGCCACAGTGCAATCAAACTAGAACTCAGGATTAAGAAACTCACTCAAAACTGCTCAACTACATGGAAACTGAAAAACCTGCTCCTGAATGACTACTGGGTACATAACGAAATGAAGGCAGAAATAAAGATGTTCTTTGAAACCAATGAGAACAAAGACACAACATACCAGAATCTCTGGGACACATTCAAAGCAGTGTGTAGAGGGAAATTTATAGCACTAAATGCCTACAAGAGAAAGCAGGAAAGATCTAAAATTGACACCCTAACATCACAATTAAAAGAACTAGAGAAGCAAGAGCAAACACATTCAAAACCTAGCAGAAGGCAAGAAATAACTAAGATCAGAGCAGAACTGAAGGAGATAGAGACACAAAAAACCCTTCAAAAAATCAATGAATCCAGGAGCTGGTTTTTTGAAAAGATCAACAAAATTGATAGACTGCTAGCAGGACTAATAAAGAACAAAAGAGAGAAAAATCAAGTAGATGCAATAAAAAATGACAAAGGGGATATCACCACCAATTCCACAGAAATAGAAACTACCATCAGACAATACTATAAACACCTCTACGCAAATAAACTAGAAAATCTAGAAGACATGGATAAATTCCTTGACACATACACCCGCCCAAGACTAAACCAGGAAGAAGTTGAATCTCTGAATAGCCTGAATAACAGGCTCTGAAATTGAGGCAATAATTTATAGCTTACCAACCAAAATAAGTCCAGGACCAGATGGGTTCACAGCCGAATTCTACCAGAGGTAAAAGGAGGAGCTGGTACCATTCCTTCTTAAAGTACTACAATCAATAGAAAAAGAGGGAATCCTCCCTAACTCATTTTATGAGGCCAGCATCATCCTGATACCAAAGCCAGGCAGAGACACAACAGAAAAAGAGAATTTTAGACCAATATCCTTGATGAACATTGATGCAAAAATCCTCAATAAAATACTGGCAAACCGAATCCAGCAGCACATCAAAAAGCTTATCCACCATGATCAAGTGGGCTTCATCCCTGGGATGCAAGGCTGGCTCAACATATGCAAATCAATAAAAGTAATCCAGCATAAAAACAGAACCAAAGACAAAAACCACATGATTATCTCAATAGATGCAGAAAAGGCCTTTGACAAAATGCAACAACACTTCATGCTAAAAACTCTCAATAAATTAGGTATTGATAGGACGAATCTCAAAATAATAAGAGCTATTTATGACAAACCCACAGTGAATAACACACTGAATGGGCAAAAACTGGAAGCATACCCTTTGAAAACTGGCACACTACAGGGGTGCCCTCTCTCACCACTCCTATTCAACATAGTGTTGGAAGTTCTGGCCAGGGCAATCAGGCAGGAGAAGGGAATAAAGGGAATTCAATTAGGAAAAGAGGAAGTCAAATTGTCCCTCTTTGCAGATGACATGATTGTATATCTAGAAAACCCCATCGTCTCAGCCCAAAATCTCCTTAAGCTGATAACCAATTTCAGCAAAGTATCAGGATACAAAATCAATGTGCAAAAATCACAAGCATTCTTATACACCAATAGCAGACAAACAGAGAGCCGAATCATGTGTGAATTCCCATTCACAATTGCTTCAAAGAGAATAAAATACCTAGGAATCCAACTTAAAAGGGATGTGAAGGACCTCTTCAAGGAGAACAACAAACCACTGCTCAATCAAATAAAAGAGGATACAAACAAATGGAAGAACATTCCATGCTCACGGGTAGGAAGAATCAATATCGTGAAAATGGCCATACTGCCCAAGGTCTTTTATAGATTCAATGCCATCCCCATCAAGCTACCAATGACTTTCTTCACACAATTGGAAAAAACTACTTTAAAGTTCATATGGAACCAAAAAAGAGCCCGCATTGCCAAGTCAATCCTAAGCCAAAAGAACAAAGCTGGAAGCATCACGCTACCTGACTTCAAACTATACTACAAGGCTACAGTAACCAAAACAGCATGGTACTGGTACCAAAACAGAGATATAGACCAACGGAACAGAACAGAGCCCTCAGAAATAATGCCACATATCTACAACTATCCGATCTTTGACAAACCTGACAAAAACAAGAAATGGGGAAAGGATTCCCTATTTAATAAATGGTGCTGGGAAAACTGGCTAGCCATATGTAGAAAGCTGAAACTGGATCCCTTCCTTATACCTTACACAAAAATTAATTCAAGATGGATTAAAGACTTAAATCTTTGACCTAAAACCATAAAAACCCTAGAAGAAAAACTAGGCAATACCATTCAGGACATAGGCATGGGCAAGGACTTCATGTCTAAAACAACAAATGCCAAAATTGACAAATGGGGTCCAATTAAATGAGAGAGCTTGTGCACAGCAAAAGAAACTACCATCAGAGTGAACAGGCAACCTACAGAATGGGAGCAAAATTTTGCAATCTACTCATCTGACAAAGGGCTAATATCCAGAATCTACAATGAACTCCAACAAATTTACAAGAAAAAAAGAACCCCATCAAAAAGTGGGCAAAGTATATGAACAGATGCTTCTCAAAAGAAGACATTTATGCAGTCAAAAGACACATGAAAAAATGCTCATCACCACTGGCCATCAGAGAAATGCAAATCAAACCCACAATGAGATACCATCTCACACCAGTTAGAATGGCCATCATTAAAAAGTCAGGAAACAACAGGTGCTGGAGAGGATGTGGAAAAATAGGAACACTTTTACACTGTTGGTGGGACTGTAAACTAGTTCAACCATTGTGGAACACAGTGTGGTGACTCCTCAAGGATCCAGAACTAGAAATACCATTTGACCCAGCCATCCCATTACTGAGTATATACCCAAAGGATTATAAATCATGCTGCTATAAAGACACATGCACATGTATGTTTATTGTGGCACTATTCACGATAGCAAAGACTTGGAACCAACCCAAATGTCCACCAATGATAGACTAGATTAAGAAAATGTGCCACATATACACCATGGAATACTATACAGCCATAAAAAATGATGAGTTCATGTCCTTTGTAGAGACATGGATGAAGCTGGAAACCATCCTTCTCAACCAACTATCTCAAGGACAAAAAACCAAACACCGCATGTTCTCACTCATAGGTGGGAATTGAACAATGAGAACATTTGGACACAGGAAGGGGAACATCATGCACCGGGGCCTGTCTTGGGGTTAGGGGATGGGGGAGGGATAGCATTAGGAGATATACCTAATGTAAATGACTTGTTAATGGGTGCAGCGCACCAACATGGCACACGTATACATATGTAACAAATCTGCACGTTGTGCACATGTACCCTAGATCTTAAAGTATAATAAAAATAAATAAATAAATTTTTTTTAAAAGGGTGAACTGTATGGTAAATGAATTATACCTCAATGAGGTATACATTTTAAAGAATTTTAGTCCTAATCAAGGTGCAATTTTCTCCTATATTTTGTCTGCAATTCTTCCATAGCACATTGTGCGTCTCACATAATATTTACAATATCAGATTACAATTGTTTATGTACTCTATCTTACTCACTGAACTGCAAGATTTTTGAACCTGGTTGTACACATTATTCAAGATACTGACACAGAAAATGTCCCCACAAATAATATCTGAAAGAATCAATAAGCCAGTAAAAGTAAACCTCCATATGAGCTTAGCACTGGCTTACTACTCTGGTTCTTATCACTACCCACTCTCCCCACATTTGAAGTAATTTACTTCCAGTGTGAGTTTGTGGTATGCTTTGGCATGAAGCAGAACATCAGTCAACAAAATGGAAGGTTTGCACCATATTACTCATTTTAATTCAACTCAGATTGTGTTTATTAATCCTTAATCAAAAATTGGTACTTAACAAGAAAGACATTTGCTTTCTGTTCTTTTCACAGAGAAAAGAAAAAGCACTTTGCCTTTGAGTCCCACAGATTACACGTTCTGGAAAGACTGCATACCAAGTAGCAGATTTATTTTAGTTTGTTTACAAAAAAATGTGCAGACCAAAGTTCAATGCTGCTATTGGGGAGCTACTAAAGACATCAATAAGTAGATGTCTAATGTTTAAACACATTTCATTGAAAATGGTTGGAAGTATCTGAGCCAATTATTTCTTATGTGACCCTAAAGAAAACAGATACCTACCTGACCCCAAAACTACTTGAGGAAATTGCTTCCGTGACCCTGCTGCAGATGGGAGAGAGGGCCCATTAAGAAGAGAGTGGGGTCAGGATCAACACACACACTTAGTGTGATTTAAGGAAAGGAAATATTTTCTCTTTGAACTTATCTGGATACAGTCATTTTGTCTCCTCTTGGGGATCACTTGTCCAGCCTCAATGGCCTTTCAGGACCTCCTAGATCAAGTTGGAGGCCTGGGGAGATTCCAGATCCTTCAGATGGTTTTCCTTATAATGTTCAACGTCATAGTATACCATCAAACTCAGCTGGAGAACTTCGCAGCATTCATACTTGATCATCGCTGCTGGGTTCATATACTGGACAATGACACTATCCCTGACAATGACCCTGGGACCCTCAGCCAGGATGCCCTCCTGAGAATCTCCATCCCATTCGACTCAAATCTGAGGCCAGAGAAGTGTCGTCGCTTTGTCCATCCCCAGTGGAAGCTCATTCATCTGAATGGGACCTTCCCCAACACGAGTGAGCCAGATACAGAGCCCTGTGTGGATGGCTGGGTATATGACCAAAGCTCCTTCCCTTCCACCATTGTGACTAAGGTAAGAGGCCTCATTTTCCTCTCTTGTGTACATGACCTGGCTGTTTAGAATAACACAAGAAATGATTGTGCTTCCAGCCTTTAGTCACATGTAGGTGCTTATTCTTCATTCTTTCAGGAAACATTAATTGCTTCTCTACTGAATGCCAGATACCTGCACATTTAATGAGTCTAATGAATTCAAAAGTAGATGTGACCCTGCTATCATAGTGCTTTTATCCTTAGTAAAACCAAAATTTAAGCAAGCATTTATGAATAATGTGTTAAAAAATGTTCTGCTAAGTAAAGAATGCTCAGCCTGTGGTTGAAAATTATAAACCTCTGGGAAATCACTGAAAACCTCCAAGTCCAGACTATATCTTACAACAATCATATGAGAAAGTCTAGGGGTGAAATTTAGGCAACCAAAAATATTTAAAGGTTCTCAAATGATTTCACTGTGTGGCCAAGGTTGAGAACCATTTAGTATGGAATAAAACTGGGCACTAATAATATCTAAAAGTTTAGGAATAGCTTCCAAGAGAAAGTTGTGCTTAAGTTGAGACCTGAACAGTGAATATCAGGTAATGCAGAAAAGGGAAGCTAGGGAGGAAGATAGAATGAAACTTGCAGGCTATTTTAAGACATTTTGATAAGGTTACACTGAGGGGCTATAAGCATTGATATGAGGGTTTCCTTTTCTTCCAGTGGGATCTGGTATGCGAATCTCAACCACTGAATTCAGTAGCTAAATTTCTATTCATGGCTGGAATGATGGTGGGAGGCAACCTATATGGCCATTTGTCAGACAGGTGAGTGTCTATGGAGCATAGCTCTCTTCAAGGGTATTTTCATCAATTCATGAAACACTTTTCATCTAGAAATATTTTTGGAAATCACACTATCCTGTTGCTCCCTTGGTCCCCAGGGATTTGTAGACACAAAAGGAAAATTATGGTGAGTGTGGTGAGTGCTATTTTTTAAAATGTGTGTGCTGTGCACAAGACACAGAAATTTCATCTCCATCTGACCTGGGGGTGTTTCAAAATAGGGTTTGGATAAATCCCAGGGGAGGCAGAGCAAGATGACAGAACAGAAGCTTCCACTGATTGTCCTCCCCACAGGAATACCAAACTTGAAAACTATCTACACAAAAATGCACCTTCATAAGAACCAAAAATCAAGTGAATGATCATAGTACCTGATTTTAACTTCATTGAAGGGGGTAGGAAAGACAGTCTTGAATTGCTGACAACACTCCATCTCCATCCCCCAGCACTGGCCATGTGGCACAGAGAATCTGTGCACTTGGGGGAGGAAGAGCACAGCAATTACGGGACTTTGCATTGGGACTCAGTGCTGCCAACACAGGGCAGAACTCAGCCAGCACTCATGAAGGAAGCATTTAGACCAGCCATAGCCACAGAGGTGAATCACCCATCCCAGTGTCCAGAATATGAGTTTTGGTAAGCCTTGCCATCACAGGCTAAAGTGCTCTCGTCCTAAACAAACTTGAAAGACTGTGTAGGCCACAAGGACTGCAACTTCTAGGCAAGTTCTACTGCTGGGCTGGGCTAAGAGCCAGTGGACATGGGGAGCACAGGATCTAATGAGAAAACAGCTTGGGTGGCTAATGGAGTGCTTACATCACTCCCTCCCCAACCACAGACAATGCACCTTGCACCTCCAAAATAGACTCCTTCATTCCATTTGAGGAGAGGAGAGGGAAAAGTAAAGATGACTTTTTTTCACAACTTGGATACCAGCTCAGCCACAGTAGGAGAGGGCACTGGGCAGAGTCATGATCCCTTCATTTGAGGACCTAACTCCTGGATGACATTTCTAGACACACCCTGGGCCAGAAGGGAATCTGCTGCCTTAAAGAGAAGGGCCCAGTCCTGGCAGGAAATAGTACCTGCTAACTAAATATCCCTTGGCTCCTAAATAATCAGCAGTGGTAACCAGGTAATACATGTCATTGACCTTGGGAGAGACTCCGAGATATGCTGACTTCAGGTGTGGCCCAGCATATTCACATCTGTGGTGGCTACAAGGAGAGACTCCTTCTGCTTGAGAAAAGGAGAGGGAAGAATAAAGGGGACTTTGTCTTGCACCTTAGGTACCAGCTCAGCCGCAGTGGGGAAGACCACCAAGTAGGCCTTTGGGGTTCCCAATTCTAGGTCTTAGCTCTTGGGCAGCATTTCTAGACCTACTCTGGGCCAGATGGGAGCCCACTGCCCTAAAGGGTGAGTCCCAGGTCTGGAAGCATTCACCACAAGCTGACCAAACAGCCCTTGGACCATAAGTTAATAATCACCCTGGAAGTATTCCACATGGGCCTGTGGCGGTATTGGACACACAGACAGATTCCTCTTCTGGTGGAAAGGGGAGAGAAGAGTGGAAAGGATTTTGTCTTGTGGTTTTGGTGGCAGCTTAGCTGCAGTAGAATAGAATGATGGGTAGATTTATAAGGTTTCCAACTCCAAGCCCAGGCTCCTGTACAGCATCTCTGGATTTGCCTGGGGCCAAGGGGAACTTGCCACCCTGAAAGGAAGGACACAAGGTTGGCTGGTTTCACCACCTCCTGATTGTAGAACCCTAGGACCTTTAGCAAATATAGGTGGTAACAAGGAAATGCTTACCTTGGGCCTTGGCCAAGACCCAGTGCTATGCTGTCTTCAGGTCTGACCCAGGACAGTCCTAGTGGTAGTGGCCTCAGGGAGTTTTTGTCATCCCATCACTAGCTACAAGCAGCTCAGAACAGAGAGAAAGACTCCATTTGTTTGGGAGAAAATAAAGAAAAAAAACAAGAGTCTCTGCCTGCTGGTCCAAATAATTTTTCCAGATCTTATCCAAGACCACCAAGGCAGTCTGCAAGAACTACAGCATTACTATGTTTGGAGGCCCCCTAATGCAGATGTGGTTGCAGTGATCAAAAACTTAGATCACAACACTCAAGCCCCTTTGAATACCTGAAAAGTCTACCCAAGAAGGACGAGTATGAGCAAAGCCCAGACTGTGAAAACCACAATGAATATCTAACGTTTAAATGCCCAGGCACCAAAAAGCATCCACAAACATCAAGACCATCTAGGAAATCATGACTTCACTAAACAAACTAAATAAGGTACCAGGGACCAATATTGGAGAGACAGATATGTGACCTTTCAGATAGAAAATTCGAAATAATGGTATTGAGAAAAAATGAAGAAATTCAAGATAACACAGAGAAGGAATTCAGAATCCTATTAGATTAATTTACCAAACACATTGAAATAATTAAAAAGAATCAAGAAGCAGAAATTCTGGAGTTGAAGAAATGCAATTGACATATGGAAGAATGCATCAGAATCTCTTAACAACAGAATTGATCAAGCAGAAGAAAGAATTAGTGAGCTTGAAAACAGGCTATTTAAAAACACAGAGTCAGAGGAGACAAAAGTGAAAAGAATTAAAAAGAAGGAAGCACTCCCACAACATCTAGAAAATCATCTCAAAAGGTTAAATCCAAGGGTTATTGGCCTTCGAGAAGGCAGAGAGAGAGACAAGGGTAGACAGTTTATTCAAAGAGCTATTAAGAGAGAACTTCACAAATACAGAGAAAGATATCAATATTCAAGTACAAGAAAATCATAGGATATCAAGCAGATTTAACCCAAAGAAGACTACCTCAAGGTATTAATAATCCAACTCCCTAGGTCAAGGATAAATAAAGAATCCTAAACACGCAAGAGAAAAGAAACAAATAACATCCAATGGAGACCCAATATGTCTGGCAGCAGACTTTTCCATGCAAACCTTACAGGCCAGGACAGAGTGGCATGATATACTTAAAGTGCTGAAGAAGAAAAAAAACTTTTACCCTATAATACTATATTTGGCAAAAATATCCTTCAAATATGAATGAGAAATAAAGAGTTTCCCAAACAAAGGCTGAGAGGTTTCATCAACACCAGACCTGTCCTACAAGAAATGCTAAAGGAAATTATTCAATCTGAAAGTAAAGAACAGTAATGAGCCATAAGAAATTATCTGAATGTATAAAACTCCCTGCTAGTAGTAAATACACAGAAAATCACAGGATATTATGACACTGTAATTGTGGCATATAAACTAACTAAAACAACTTTTTTATTTTATTTTATTTTTATTTATGTATTTATTTATTTATTTTGAGACGGAGTCTTGCTCTGTCACCCAGGCTGGAGTGCAGTGGCACAATCTCGGCTCACTGCAAGCTCCGCCTCCTGGGTTCACGCCATTCTCCTGCCTCAGCCTCCCGAATAGCTGGGACTACAGGCGCCCGCCACCACGCCTGGCTAATTTTTTGTATTTTTAGTAGAGACAGGGTTTCACCGTGTTAGCCAGGATGGTCTCCATCTCCTGACCTCAAGTTCCACCCACCTCTGCCTCCCAAAGTGCTGGGATTACAGGCGTCAGCCACCGCCCCCAGCCTAAAACAACCTTTTCAAGATATAGATAGTACAATAAAATATAAACAGAAACAAAGGTTAAAAAGCAGAGAGATCGAGGTAAAGTATGCAGTTGTATTAGTTTTCTTTTTGCCTGTTTGTTTTTCATGTTTATGCAATCTCTATTAACTATCAGTTTAAAATAATGAGTTATAAGATATTAATTGTAGGCCTCATGGTAACCTCAAATCTAAAAACATACAATGGATACACAAAAAATAAAAATCAAGAAACCAAAACATATCACCAGAGAAAATCACCTTCACTAAAAGGAAGACAGGAAGGAAAAAAAGAAGAAAGAGAAGACCACAAAACAACCAGAAAATAAATAACACAATGGCAGGAGTAAGTCCTTACTTATCAATAATATTATTGAATGTAAATGAACTAATCTCTGCAATCAAAAGACATAGAGAGACTGAATAGTAAAAACAAAAACAATGATCTGTTGCCTACAAGAAATGCATCTTATCTATACACACATAGACTGAAAATAAAGGGATGGAAAAAGATATTCCATACCAATGAAAACCAAAAAAGAGCAAGATTAGCTACGCTTATATGAGACAAAATAGATTACAAGACAAAAAAACGTAAAAAGAGATGATAAAGGGGTCAATTCAGCAAGAGGATATAAAAATTATAAATATATACGCACAACATTGGTGCACTCAGATACATAAAGAAAATATTACATATCAAAGAGAGAGATAGGCCCCAATATAATAATAGCTGGAGATTTCAACACCCCACTTTCAATATTGAACAGATCTTCCAGACAGAAAATCAACAAAGAAACATTGGACTTAACCTGAAATAATTTCAGGTATCTTCTCTGACCACACTGGAATAACAGAAATCAACAAGACAGATTCTGGAAACTATACAAATACATAAAAATTAAAGAGTATGCTCCTGAATGACTAGTGGGTATGAATAGATTAAGAAGGAAATTGAGAAATATATTGAAACAAATGATAATGGAAACGCAATATACCAAAATCAATGGAATACAGCAAAAGCGGTACCAAGAGGGAAGTTTAGAGCTATAAGTGCCTACATCAAAAAGGAAAAAATAAATTTCAAACGAACAACATAATGATGCATCTTAAAGAACTAGAAAAGCAAGAGCATATTAAATCAAAAATTAACAGAAGAAAATAAAGATCAGAGCAATAATAAAGGAATTTGAAATGAAAAAAAGAATGCAAAACAGCAACAAAACAAAACTTGGTTTTCTGGAAAGATAAACAAAATTGGCAAACCTTTAGCTAGACTAAGAAAAAAGAGAGAAACCCTATGTAAATAAAATCAGAGATGGAAAAAAGAGACATTACAACTGATACCACAGAAATTCAAAGGGTCATTAGAGGCTACTATTAGCAATTATGTGCCAATAAATTGGAAAATATACAAGAAATGGGTAAATTCCTAGATACATACAACCTACCAAGATTGAACCCTAAAGAAATCCAAAACCAGAACAGACCAATAACAAGTAATGAGATTGAAGCTGTAATAAAAAGTCTCCAGGTAAGGAAAAGCCTGGGACCTGATGACTTCACTGCTGAATTCTACCAAACATTTAAAGAAGTCATACGAATCCCAATCAAACTATTCCAAAAAATAGAAACAGAGGAAATATATTAAACTCATAATACAAGGTTAGTATTACACAGATACCAAAACCAGACAAAGACACCTCAAAAAAAAGAAAACTACAGGCCAATATGCCTGAAGAACATTGATGAAAAAATTCTCCACAAAGTACTAGCAAATTGAATTCAGCAACACATTAAAAAGATTTTTCATCATGACCAAGTGGGATTTTGAACCAGGGATACAAAGATGGTTCAAAATACAAAAATCAATTGATGTGATACATTATATCAATAGAATGAAGGACAGAAACCAGATGATCATCTCAATACTGAATAAACATTTGATAAAATTAAACATTGCTTCATGATAAAAAAAAACTCTCAAAAAAAAACTGGGTATAGAAGGAACATACTTCAACATAATAAAAGCCATATATGACAGACTCATAGCTAGTATCACATGAAATGGGGAAAAAATTGAAAGCCTTTTCTCTAAGATCTGAAACACAACAAGGATGCCCACATTCACCCTTGCCATTTAAAATAGTACAGGAAGTCCTAACTAGAGCAATCAGACAAGAGAAAAATATAAATAGCACCCAACTGGAAAAGAAGAAGTCAAATTATCCTTGTTTGCAGACTATATGATCTTCTATTTGGAAAAACATAAAGCCTCCACCAAAAAACTATTCAAATTGATACCCAAATTCTGTAAAGTTGCAGGATAAAATATCAACATACAAAGATCAGTAGCATTTCTATATGCCAACAGTGAAAAACCTGGAAAACAAATCAAGAAAGTAACCCCATTTACAATAGTGACAAATAAAATTAAATACCTAGAATATAACCTAAGAAGTGAAAGATCCCTACAATGAAAACTCTAAAATGTTGGCGAAATAAATTGAATGGGACACCAAAAATGGAAAGATATTCATGTCCGTGGATTGGAATAATCAATATTGTTAAAATGTCCATACTACCCAACACAATCACAGATTCAATGCAATCTCTATCAAAATACCAATTACATTATTCTCAGATGTAGAAAACACAATTCTAAACTATATATGAAACCACAAAAGACCCAGAATAGCCAAAGCTATCATGAGCAAAAAGAACAAAACTGGAAGAATCACATTACCTGACTTCCAATTATACTACAGAGCTATCGTAACCAAAACAAGATGTACTGGCATAAAAACACATGCATAGACCAATGGAACAGAATGGAGAATCCAGAAAAAAATCCATACATCTACAGTGAACTCATCATCAACAAAGGTGCCAAAAACATACATTGGGGAAAAGGACAGTCTCTTTAATACACAATGCTGGGAAACTGGATATCCACATGCAAAAGAATAAAATTAGACCCCTATCTTTGGCCATATATAAAAATTAAATCAAAATGAATTAAAAATTTAAATCTAAGACCTCAAACTATGAAACTAATGCAAGAAAACATTGGGTAAACTCTCCAGGACATTGGACTGGGCAATGATTTCTTCAGTAATACACAACAAGCACAGGCAAACGATGCAAAAATGGAGAAATTGGATCATATCAAGTTCAAAAAACTTCTGTACAACAAAGGAAACAATCAACAAAGGGAAGAGACAACCCACAGAATGGGAGGAATTTTGCAAGTTACCCATCTGATAAGGGATTAATAACCAGAATATATAAGGAGTGTGCACAACTCTGTAGGAAAAAAAATCTAACAATTTAATTTTTAAATGGGTGAAGTATCTGAAGAGACATTTCTCAAAAGAAGACACACAAAAAACAAACAGGTATATGAAAATGTGCTCAACATCATTGGTCATCAGAAAAAATGCAAATCAAAACTACAGTGAGATATCATCTCACCTCAGTTAAAATCGCTTGTATCCAAAAGGCAGGCAATAATAAATGCTGGTGAGGATG
Organism: Homo sapiens; assembly: GCF_000001405.40. NCBI lineage: Eukaryota > Metazoa > Chordata > Mammalia > Primates > Hominidae > Homo > Homo sapiens. The sequence continues at coordinate 63,221,270 of NC_000011.10, read as the reverse complement.
TGGAGAAAAGGGAACCCTCATGAACTGTTGGTGGGAATATAACTTAGTACAACTCCCATGGAAAACAATTTGGAGGTTCCTCAAAAAGTTAAATGTAGAGCTACTATATGATTCAGCAATCCCACTGCTAGGTACACACCCAAAAAGGAAATCAGTATAGCAAAAGGAAAGGATATCTGCTCTCCATGTTTATTGCAGCACTATTCACAATAGCCAAGATTTGGAAGCAACCTAAGTGTCCACAACAGATGAATGGATAAAGAAAATATGGTACATATACAAAGTAGAGTATTATTCAGCCATAAAAAAGAATGAGATCTTGTCATTTGCAACAACATGAATGAAACTGTAGATCATTATGTTGAGTGAAATAAGCCAGTAAAAGAAAGACAAACTTCACATGTTCTCACTTATCTGTAGATCTAAAAACTAAAACAATTAAACTCATGGACATAGAGAGTAAAATGATAATTACCAGAGACTGGGAAGGGCAGTAGTGGGTGTGTCAGGGGGAAAGTGGGCATGGTTAATGGGTACACAAAAAAATGGAAAGAATGAATAAGACCTAGTATTTGATCACACAACACGGTGACTGCAGTCAGTAATAATTTAATTGTACACTTTAAAATAACTAAAAGAGTATAATTGGATTGTTTGTAACACAAAGGATAAATGCTTGAGGTGATGGGTGCCCCATTTACCCTAATGTGATTATAACACATTGTATGTCTGTTTCAAAATCTCTCATATACTCCATAAGTATACACACCTACTATGTACCCACAAAAACTAAAAATTTAAAATTTTTCCAAAGACAGAGTTTGGAAAGAAAGTGCCACAACATTTGGTTTAGAAAGATGAAACAGAGTTATCTATGGGAACAGAAAGGAACATGTTTCACGACATGGAATTCAGCCTCAGCAAGGGGTACCATGTGCAGTCCCTCCTGGACATTGTGTGCTGATGGCTTGTGCCTGGAGCATGATCATTAGATCATAGTTCCAAGTGTGATGGGGCAGACATTTTTCTAAAATCTGCAGGGTACATTTCAAGGTGTCATTGATGGTGTCCTGAGAAATCATGCCTGGATTCTTGATTTTTTTTGTCTTTGCAAAAACAGCTTTTTAGAGGTATTACAACCTCTACCTTACAACAAAAGGTAAGTAATCTAAGGACAATATTGTCACAGTCTGTGACATGAGAAGTTTGGGGTACCCTCTAACTTACCGTATGTCTTCTGAAATGGCAGGAAACCATTATCATCGCCCAACCATGTCTCCACTGATTGTGACGAGGGACTTGAGGTGCCCATTGCCATCCACCAGCATCACGTCTTCTGGTATCTCTCCTGAAACCCTGAATGTATGACAGTAAAAGTAACACTTAAAAGAGTTGAGAGTCAGAGGGTTGATTTCCAACAGTCCAGTAACCCAGCTCTCTGGGACAGTGCCATGAGAAAATGCAGATAAACCAATTTTAATGGATCATAGGGTGGTGCAAGATAAGGTAGTGGTACCAGGCAGGAGATGACAGTGGAGAACCAGCTGAAGTTGACGGGGCAAGGTAATCTAAGGATTTGGAGCTTTATCACAAACCTGGGGGGAAATATTAATTGATCATATGCAGAGACAGCCATGATCAAATTGATACTTTGGATATAACACACTCAACTGTTCATGATATCCCCAAACTAGAAATACTGTAGAATTTCATTAATAATAGAATGAATAAATAAGATGCAGGATATTCACATAGTGGATTTTTATACAGAAAAAGGAATGAAGAACTTACTCTGTACCATAACATGGATGAATACCAAAATCATTTTGTTTGCCACAAGAACAACCAAAAATGATTGCACACGATACCACTTCACTTATGTAAACGTCAAAGAAAAGCAACGATGGTGTTGGGAGTCAGAAAGGTGATTCTCTTTAGGATTTCATTGGGATTGCATTAAATCTATATAGCAGTTGGTAAAATTGCCATTTTAAAATATTGAATTTTATAGGCTGTGAATGTAATAACACTCTCCATTAATTTATATTTTCTTAAATTCCCTTTGCAATATTTTATGGTTTATAGAAAAAAGTCATGCATTTTTCCATTAAATTTATTCTAATTAACTTAGTTTTTGAGGCCATAAAGTTGTTCATCACAATTTTAATTTCTAATTAGTCATAGCTACTATATATGAAGGTAATTGTCTTTTTCTATATTAAGCTTACATCCTTCCAACTTGATAATTAGTTCTAGTAGCATTTTGTGGATTCCCTAAAATTTTCCACTACAAAATCATGCCATCTGCAAGAACATGTGAGTGCATGTGTGTTTTTGGTAGAACAATTATTTTTCTATCTTTTGCTTTTTATTATCTTTCTGGCAGTAGCTAGGACCTTCAATACAGTAACAAATGACAATTGGCAAGAGCTGAAATTCTGCCTCACCACATGCCACATTGTCCAAGTTGTCTACAGAGAGGTCCTCTTTCCCAGAAAATAATAAAACACAGAATTTCCTTTTTATTTTTTTAACCCTCCCCTGAAAATCTTAACCCACTCTGATGTATTGTTTCATGGATGTTCCTTTCACATCCATTTACCTATGGCCTGCACAGTCCTAGAATTTCATGTATAGAATTAGATCTCTTGCCTCCCAGCCACTATACAGACTCTCTAGTGTGCTAAAGTACATAGGAGAGAACTTGTGTTCATGGTGCACTGTATGTTAATACAGGAGATATTTCTCTTTTTTTAATTTCAACTTTTATTTTAGATTCAAGGTGTGCATGTGCAGGTTTGTTACATGAATATATTGCATGATGCTGAGGCTAGGGGTATGAATGAACCCATCACCCAGGTAGTTAGCATAGTACCCAATTGGTAGTTTCTCAAACCCTTTTCCCCTCCCTCCCTGCCAACTCTTGTAGTCCCCAGCATCTATTGTTCCCTTCTTTATGTCCCTGTGTACTTAACGTTTAGCTCCCCCTTATAAGTTGAGGACATTGTAATGTTTGGTTTTCTGTTCCTACATTAATTCACTTAGGAAAATGGCCTCCATCTGCATCCATGTTGCTGCAGAAGACATGATTTCATTCTTTTTTGTGGCTACATAGTATTCCAGTCTACCATTGGTGGGCATTGAGGTTATTCCATGCCTTTGCTACTGTGAATAGTGCTTCAATGAACATGTGAGTGCGTGTATCTTTTTGGTAGAACAATTTGTCTTCACAAGGGACATTTCTGGTGTGTTAACATTTCAACATCCCAGCCTGTCTTACATGTTTTGAATTTGTATCAATGATCTACTGGCAACAGATTGGAGAAGAAACTTTTATACACTCAGTATCTATTTACAAACAGAGAACATTCCTTCTGAGAAGACCTGCCATTGATTAACTGTTGATTCTTTAACGTTTTAAGTGTAAAGTTTCACTTGTTAAACATCCTTTAAGTTTCAAAGTGTGCTTTCCCTTTGCTAACATTTCCCAAAGGTTGTTATTGTTCCCATTATCTAATGTGCCCCTGTTTCTCAGGTTTGGGAGAAAGTTCGTGCTCAGATGGTCTTACCTCCAGCTCGCCATTGTAGGCACCTGTGCGGCCTTTGCTCCCACCATCCTCGTATACTGCTCCCTGCGCTTCTTGGCTGGGGCTGCTACATTTAGCATCATTGTAAATACTGTTTTGTTAAGTAAGTCAATATTTTCGATCCACATTTTCCAAGCCTTGGCTTTGACATTGAAGCTCCACCTGTATTTAAAGCTAAATCTTGTTTGTGTTTTCTTTCAGTTGTAGAGTGGATAACTCACCAATTCTGTGCCATGGCATTGACATTGACACTTTGTGCTGCTAGTATTGGACATATAACCCTGGGAAGCCTGGCTTTTGTCATTCGAGACCAGTGCATCCTCCAGTTGGTGATGTCTGCACCATGCTTTGTCTTCTTTCTGTTCTCAAGGTATTGAGCTTGCATTCTTCTTTTGCCATATGACATCCTTGAATGCAGATGTACATGGAATGAGGACATGAATTCCATTTGATCCTCTATCTAGCCTTGAGTACATTCTCCTAATCTGTGCTAAATATGCAATTCAAGAAGCAAAACACAAAGGGTTTCCTGATGAAATTAAGGACAGTTAATTAAATTTGAATATAAGATAATCAACAAATACTTCTGAAAAATATCCAAATATTGCAAGGGATGCAATAAAACTCAAAATTATTCACTGTTCATAGGAAATTTTATTTCACCCAAATATTCAGTATTTTATTTAACTGAATAAAACATAGGAGGTTCCATTTAATTCAAATTTCAGATAAAGAACAAATAATTTTTAGTGTAATGATATCCAAAATATCTCATGGGACATGCTTATACTAAAAAAATCATTGCTGCTCATTAGAAATTTAAATTTATCCATACCACTTTTTTTATAAGAAAATCTTTTTTAACTTTTATTTTAAGTTCAGGGGTACATGTGCAGGCTTGTTACATAGGCAAACTTGCATAATGAGGATTCGTTGTACAGATTATTTTATCACCTAGGTATTAAGCCTAATACCCGTTTGTAATTTTTCCTGATCCTCTCCCTCCTCCCACCTTTAGCTCCCACTTATAAATGGGAACATGTGGTATTTGGTTTTCTGTTCCAGCATTTAGTTTGCTAAGTATAATGGCCTTCAGCTCCATCCATGTCCCTGCAAAGGACACAATCTTGTTCTTTTTTATGGCTGCATAGTATTCCATGGTGTATATATGTACCAATTTTCTTGGTCCAGTCTATCACTGATGGGCATTTAGGTTGATTCCATGTATTTGTTATTGTGAATAGTGCTGCCATGAACATACGTGTGCATATGTCTTTATAGTAGAAGAGTTTCTAGTCCTTTGGGTATATACCCAGTAATGGGACTACTGGGTTGAAAGGTATTTCTTTCTTTAGGTCTTTGAGGAATCACCACACTGTATTCCACAATGGTCGAATGAATTTACACTCCCACCAACAGTGTAAAAGCATTCCTTTTTCTCCGCAACCTAGCCAGCATCTGTTACTTTTTGACTTGTTATTAATAGCCATTCTGATTAGTGTGAGATGGCATCTCATTGTGGTTTGATTTGCATTTCTCTAATGACCAGTGATATTGAGCATTTTTTCATAATAGTCGGTCATATGTGTGTCTTCTTTTGAAAACTGTTGCAAATGTTCATTACAGCTCTATCAACAATAACAAAAACATGGAATCAACCTGAATGCCCATCAATGACAGATTAATGAAAATGTGGTACTTACACACCATGATTATGCAACCATAAAAAAGAATGAGAGTATGTCTTTTGCAGGAACATGGATGGAGCTGGAGGGTATCATCCTTAGCAAACTAATACAAGAACACAAAACCAAATACATGGTTTCACTTATAAATGGGAGCTAAATGATTAGAACTTATGAACACAAAGAAGAAAACAATAAACACTGGGGTCCACTTGAGAGGGGAGTTTGGAAAGAGAGAGAGAAGCAGAAAAGATAACTATGGGTACTGGGATTAATACCTGGGTGATGAAAAAATATGTACAACAAACTTCCATAATACATGTTTACCTGTGTAACAAACGTTCACATGTGCCCCAAATCTAAAATAAATTAAAAAAAGAAAAGTGTCTGTCCATGTCCTATGCCCACTTTTATTTTATTATACTCTAAGTTCTGGAATACATGTGCAAAACGTGCAGGTTTGTTACACAGATATACATGTGCCATTGTGGTTTGCTACACCCATCAACCCACCATTGACATTAGGTATTTCTCCTAATGCTATCCCTCCCCTAGTCTCCCATCCCACAACAGGCCCCAGGATGTGATATTCCCCTCCCTGTGTCCATGTGTCCTCATTGTTCAACTCCCACTTATGAGTGAGAATATGTGGTGTTTGGTTTTCTGTTCCTGTATTAGTTTGCTGAGAATGATGGTTTCCAGCTTAATCCATGTCCCTGCAAAGGACATGAACTCATCCTTTTTTATGGCTGCATAATATTCTATGGTGTATATGTGCCACATTTTCTTTATCCAGTCTATCACTGATGGGCATTTGGGTTGGTTCTAAGTCTTTGCTATTGTGAATAGTTCTGCAATAAACATATGTGTGCATGTGTCTTTATAGTAGAATGATTTATAATCCTTTGGGTATATACCCAATAATGGGATTGCTGGGTCAAATGTTATTTCTGGTTCTAGATCTTTGAAGAATCACCACACTGTCTTCCACAATGGTTGAACTAATTTACACTTTTACCAACAGTGTAAAAGTGTTCCTATTTGTCCACATCCTCTCCAGCATCTGTTGTTTCCTGACTTTTTAATGATTGCCATTCTAACTGATGTGAGATTGTTGTGGGATTGTTAAGGAATCAGAGAGACTGATGGGGTTCAGGAGGATATTTATTATTTAGGTGCACTGGCCCAGTCAAATTAACATCCAAAGGACTGAGCCCTGAACAAAGAGTTAAGTTACCTTTTAAACATTTCGTGGGGTGGGGGGAGATCTGTGCAGGGGGAAGCATATTACAGAAGTGAGAAACAAAGACAGTTATTCAATTAATTGAGACATGCATTACATCATTTCTTACTTTTCAAGGAAAAACATGTTTTACAACTTGAGTTTATCTGTCTAGTGACCTTGCAGCTGCACAGCTAGAGAAACAGGGTCTTCACAATGCTTGGGAAAGGAGGAGAGATAAGGCTCACTAGCAACAGAAAAACAGGCAGTTAATTTTTAAAAGACTCCAGCTCTTTCTGTTTCTCAGGGGGAATTGGGTTTTCTTACATGCAACTGAGTTTCTGCTTACACATTCTTTAATTTCTTTTAATTCCTGTTCCATTCCTTCCTTTGGTGCTTTTTATAACAAAAGTGTTAATAGAAAGCACCACTGTTTGCCACCTCTTCACGGAGCTGCGCTTCTTCTACTGGCAGCGGCTGATATTTTGTTAATGCTATCAACTGCGCAGTAGTGTGTCAGGTTACTATTGCCTCTATAGTTGACTGTATACTCCTAACAAACTGGGTTAAAGGGCAAAGGAGGATGAGGCAGATACCAAGAATAAGCAAGAACCCACCAGAGGGTTTTGAATCCTCCAAAAGCTAAGAACCATCCTCCAAACAAGGAATCTGGGGACCACCTGGACCAAATCTGAACTGGAACATGGACCAACTTGTTCATTCTAGCTGTGATTTCCATGACAGCTAAGCCATTATCATCAATTTCTTGGCAACAGTTGGTTAAATTAAATTTTCCATGTACTCCTCCTTCTGAGGCTTTTAATTCAGCCTTCTGAGTGGAAGTCCCAGAAGGTAAGGCTTGAGCCTCGACTACCGAGTGTTGGATCACTACTACATACCTTGCATATCGCACCCCATCTGTTATGAAACTGCTACCATCAGTGAAGTATTCAACATCTGGCCTCTCCAAGGGGGTATCTCTGAGATCTTCCCGGCTCGAGAACACTTCGTCCACCATATTTATGCAACAGTGGGGAAGGTCCTGCCAGCAGTGAGGCAACCCACTGCCCTTCCAATCGGGTTTCTCCACAGACAGCAGGGTAGCTGGGTTCAAGGTATTTATAGTCTCTAGTGTTATCTGGGGATTTTCACACAGAAGTCCTTGATACTTTAGCATTCTAGAATTGGACAGCCAACGATGTCCTCTTGGCTCCATTAAGGTGACTACAGCGTGTGGCACCCGAACTATTAACTTCTGACCTAGGGCTAGCTTGTTGGCATCTTCTATAAGGATTGTGGTAGCCACCAATGCCCTGAGGCATTGGGCCAACCTAAGGCCATGAAGGTCCAGTAAGCTACCAGCTGATGCCAACAGCCCAACAACTGAGTTAAGACTCCCACTGCCATTCCCTTTCATTCATCCACATACAAAAAGAAGGGCTTTTTTTACATCTGGCAACCCAAGTGCTGGGGCCTGGATGAGAGCTTCCTTTATATCCTTGAAGGCCTTTTCCTGTTCCTTTTCCCATAGGAGGGGCTCTCTTTCCTTTCCTTTGATAGCCTCATATAAGGGAGGAGCCTTGCTATAAGGGAGAAGTTTGGAATCCAGATTCGGCAGAATCCTGCCACACCTAGAAATTCCCTGACCTGCCACTTGTAACTGGGGTGGGCAATGCACATACAGCCTCCTTGTGTGCACTTCCAAGCCTGGGCTGGCCTTGGGATACCATGAATCATAGATATCCAACCTCTCAAAAACAGACTTTTGCCTTGTCCTTGGACACTTTATAACCAGCTTCACACAGCAGGTGAAGAAGCCTCTCTATTCCTTGGAGGCATTCCTCCCTCATGGGGACAGTGAATAACAAATCATCAATGTATTGTAATAGCACACAATTGTCACTAGGTGGTGCAAAAGCCTCAAGATCTGTGGCCAAGGCCGCCTCAAAAATGGTAGAATTTTTTTTTTTTTAAATTATACTTTAAGTTTTAGGGTACATGTACACAACGTGAAGGTTTGTTACATATGTATACATAAGCCATGTTGGTACGCTGCACTCATTAACTCATCATTTAACATTAGGCTATCCCTCCCCCCTCCCCCACCCCACAACAGACCACAGTGTGTGATGTTCCCCTTCCTGCGTCCATGTGTTCTCATTGCTCAATTCCCACCTATAAGTGAGAACATGTGGTGTTTGGTTTTTTGTCCTTGTGATAGTTTGCTGAGAATGATGGTTTCCAGTTTCATCCATGTCCCTACAAAGGACATGAACTCATAATTTTTTATGGCTGCATAGTATTCCATGGTGTGTATGTGCCACATTTTCTTAATCCAGTCTATCATTGGTGGACATTTGGGTTGGTTCCAAGTCTTTGCTATTGTGAATAGTGCCACAATAAACATACGTGTGCGTGTGTCTTTATAGCAGCATGTTTTATAATCCTTTGAGTATATATCCAGTAATGGGATGGCTGGGTCAAATGGTATTTCTAGTTCTAGATCCCTGAGGAATCGCCACACTGTCTTCCACATGGTTGAACTAGTTTACAGTCCCACCAACAGTGTAAAAGTGTTCCTATTTCTCCACATCCTCTCCAGCACCTGTTGTTTCCTGACTTTTTAATGATCGCCATTCTAACTGGTGTGAGACGGTATCTCATTGTGGTTTTGATTTGCATTTCTCTGATGGCCAGTGATGATGAGCATTTTTTCGTGTGTCTTTTGGCTGCATAAATGTCTTCTTTTGAGAAGTGTCTATTCATATCCTTCGCCCACTTTTTGATGGGGTTGTTTGTTTTTTTCTTGTAAATTTGTTTGAGTTCATTGTAGATTCTGGATATTAGCCCTTTGTCAGATGAGTAGATTGCAAAAGTTTTCTCCCATTCTGTAGGTTGCCTGTTCACTCTGATGGTAGTTTCTTTTGCTGTGCAGAAGCTCTTTAGTTTAATTAGATCCCATTTGTCAATTTTGGCTTTTGTTGCCATTGCTTTTGGTGTTTTAGACATGAAGTCCTTGCCCATGCCTATGTCCTGAATGGTATTGCCTAGGTTTTCTTCTAGGGTTTTTAAGGTTTTAGGTCTAAGATTTAAGTCTTTAATCCATCTTGAATTAATTTTTGTATAAGGTGTAAGGAAGGGATCCAGTTTCAGCTTTCTACATATGGCTAGCCAATTTTCCCAGCACCAAAAATGGTAGGAGAATTCTTAAACCCTTGCGGCAGCCTTGTCCAGGCATATTGCAATTGCCCCCACTGGCAGGCAAATATAGGCTGACTTTGGGGAGCAAGCTTCAAACAAAAGAAGGCATCCTTTAAGTCCAGACATGTGAACCACGTGGCCTCAGCAGGAATCTGTCCCAACATTGTGTAAGGGTTGGGTACTATGGCATGGATAGTCACAGTGGCCTTGTTTACCGCCTGGAGATCCTGCACTGGCCTGTATTCACCTTTTGGCTTGCTCATGGGCAGCAGAGGAGTATTCCAGGAGGACTTGCATTTCACTATAATCCCATGTTCATAGAGCTGATTTAGATGTTTTGTTATTCCTTCAATTTCCTCTCTAGGTAGTGGGTATTGACGGACTCATACCGAGGCAGCATGAGGGTTAAGCTCTACTACCACCCAGGGGTCTGTTTGCAGCAAGTCCAGGGGGGTTTTCCTCAGCCTATACACGTGGTACCTTGAAAAGCATCCCCCACATATTGTGTAGGTCTGGCTCCAGTGGCCTTCTGGCACACAGTTCATAGAGCTGCCACTCCTCAGCCCTTGGGACAGTCAGGGTCAATACCCATTGCCTTTAGCACCTCTATCTCCAGGGTCATATTCCCTTTAGGTATAAAGGAAATTTGTGCCTGCAGTTTCTGGAGTAAGTCTCTCCCTAACAAGAGCACTGGACAATTTGGCATATATAGAAACTCATGCTGTACTTTTTGTGCCCCAATAACACATCCCCTGGATTTGCATAAAGGTTTCTTTTCTTTGGCCCCAGTAGCCCCTACGATAGTAGCACAGTTCTTCGTGGAGGGGCTAATTGGGTGAGTTACCACAGAGTAATCAGCACCAGTATCAACCAAAAAATCCATTAATCGGCCCCCTACTTCCATAGACACCATAGGCTCCCCATGGCCTAAAAATATGGAGCCCAGTCTGTCTCAGTCCTCAAAATTCTCAGCCCCCTAAGCCAATCAGGTCAGGATCTGCCTTTCAGACATGAATAGCAACAGAATGCCACACTCGGGTGTTAGACAATTGACCATCATCTCCATCCTTTTCCTTTTCGGGGCACTCATCTTTCCAGTGGCCCATTTGCCTGCATCTTGCACATTGGTTCCTGTCCAACCAAGACTGGCCTTCCTCTCCTGGTCTTGTCTTCCCCCTTCCTCAGCCTCTGCCTCAGCCATGCCCTCTAGCAAATCCAGGGTTAATTTCTGCTAGTGCAGCAGCTATAAATCAAGCTGTCTCTTTGTTTCTATTTCTGGTTTTTCTTTCTTCCTTTCTTCCCGGTTTATGTATACTTTGTTTGTTATTTCCAGGAGTTCACTAATGTGTTTCCCTGCAAAGCCTTCCGGCTTCTGAAGGTTTCATCTTATGTCTCCCTGAGCTTGCCTGACAAAGGTCATTTTTATCATATTTTGGTTTTCAGGAGCCTCTGGAATAATTGGAGAGTACAGCCTATATGCCTCGCAAAGCCTTTCATAGAATGCACTTTGGCTTTTGTCAGGCTTTTGGCACACTTCTGATATTTTACTCATATTCATTGCCTTCCTTCCTCCTGCTTTTTTCCCATTTGGGAGTGCCTTTCTATATAGCTGCAGCCATTCCATGTCCCTTGCCTCATTTGGGTATTGCTCCACAGTGAACTGGCATGGGTTAGGGGTGGCCTCTGGGGCTTCCCCTTCTAACCAGCTGAGAGCTGCCTGATTAACTCTCCTATGCTCCTCTGTATTAAATAAAGTTAGCAAAAGTTGTTGACAATCTGGTCAGGTTGGGTTGTGTGTCATAATAATAGAATTCACCAAATCAATGAGGGCCTGAGGCTTTTCTGTATAGGAAGGGGTGTGCTGTTTCCAATTTAAGAGATCAGTAGTGGAGAAAGGCTGATAAACGTAAACCCTAGAGCCACCTTGTGTCTGCCCCTGGTCATCATAAACTTGTATCCTGGTCTCTCAAAGTGGCATCTGCAAAGCCTGTGGTTCGCCTGAGCAGAGGTGCCCAGCTGCCTCGCCCTGTCCATCTTCCCTGTTTTTTTCTAACGGGGGCTTCTGTTACTCTTTCAGGGGAGACTGAGCCTCACTTTCCTCCAAGCCTGACTCTCCAGATGCTCCTGACTCTGCCTCCTGCCTTATTCTGGCCAAAGACGGGTAGACTGGCACATATGGGGGCCGACATTCTCTTTCCTCTGGTGGGGCCTGAAGAACTGGTTTTGGCTGAGGCTTCAGGGATTCCTTTTCCTGGGAGATGCTAGGGGCTTTAGGTTCCTCTGCTTTCTTTGGTTGGGTGCCCGAGCCACTAATGCCTTGCAGTATCCCTCTAGGCAGGGCTGTAAACAATTGGGGCTAGTTTGTGCCACACTGAGCCAAGAGTCTATATAGGGAAACTGGTCTGGGTATCCTGGTTGTCCTCCAACTCCAGTGACCACCTTAAACACACGGCCAATTAATTTCCTGTCTTTTGTACCTTCAGAGGGCCACCCCACATTGAAAGCAGGCCAATCTATCTCACAATACGTCCTTAATTTTTGAGCATCCAGTTTCATGCCATAATCACCTCTAAATCCTTTTTTTAAATACTTTATCATGCACTCCAAAGGAGTTGGTTTTGACACTTTCCCTCCCATTTCCTCCCTTGTGGCACACTTTCACTCTTGGGTCCACCAGACCGGGTCCTGTTATGGGAGTTTTGGATGCTGCTTAGCCAGGAACGTGCCTTCCCCTGTCACAGCCTGCTACAGCCATGAAGCTGGCCATGAAGCTGGTCCTATCAGCCATATGCAGCATCCTAGTTCTAATTTCCCCCACACTCACCTCCAAGCACACAGCCCCTGCTAAGGGATCTATGCCTCCTGTCACTCCCCACATTGGCCTCTCCCAACACTGTCTCTTTCACACACTTTCACACATCTCCCCTGCCCCAGGACTCCTCATCAGATGAAACAAGCCTCTCTCATGTCCCAGGTGAGCCTAGTTAGGCTCCCACATTCTCACACATACACACACCACTCCTACCCCAGGACTTCCTATCAGATGAAATGAGCCTCTCTCGTGTCCCGGGTAGGTTTACATGCACGCACACACTCCCAGTTCCTGTCTCCAGATCCAATGAACCACTTTCACTTTGTTAGTGGGGACATGAGGTTCATCCAAATTGGCAAGCGACTCCTGCCACCCCCAGCCATTCTGGGTTGGATTAGTGGTTGTTCCCTGGGAGGTGATGAAGCTCCCCTTTGTCCTTATGGGATGGGCTTCCCTGCCTTGGGCCCTTGCTCCTTACCATGGTTCCTGAAGTGCTGGTATCATACTGCAGCCCCACCCCTGGCTCCATTGCACTGCCAGGCAGGCTGCCAGGATGGGGGAAGAGCCAGTCTCCATCCAGGTGAAGCTCCCTCATGGTATGCCTTGGATGCCAGGTCTCCCATGGCCACAGGGCTGTAGTCCCACAGGCAAAGGAGACAGTAAATCTGTCATCTCCAATCCTGGATGAGTCCCCAGAAATGTTGCAGGATTGTTAAGGAATCAGAGAGACCAATGGGGTTCAGGAGGATAGTTATTATTTAGGTGTGCTGGCCCAGTCAGATTAGCATCCAAAGGACTGAGCCCTGAACAAAGACTTAAGTTACCTTTTAAGCATTTCGTGGGGTAGGGGGAGATCTGTGCAGGGGGAAGCATATTACAGAAGTGAGAAACAAAGACAGTTATTCAATTAATTAAGACATGCATTACATCATTTCTTACATTTCAAAAACAAACATGTTTTACGACTTGAGTTTATCTGTCTAGTGACCTTGCAGCTACACATCTAGAGAAACAGGGTCTTCACAATGCCTAGGAAAGAAGGAGAGATAAGGCTCACTAGCCACAGAAAAATAGGCAGTTAATTTTTAAAGGACTCCAGCTCTTTCTTTTTCTCAGGGGGAATTGGGTTTTCTTACATACAGCTGAGTTTCTGCTTACACATTCTTTCATTTCTCTTAATTCCTGTTCCAAGATGGTATCACATTGTGGTTTTGATTTGCATTTCTCTAATGACCAGTGATGATGAGCTTTTTTTCATATGTTTGTTGGCTGCATAAATGTCTTATTTTGAGAAGTGTCTGGTCATATCCTTTACCCACTTTTTGATGGAGTATTTTTTTCTTGTAAATTTATTTAAGTTCCTTGTAGATTCTGGATATTAGCCCTTTGCCAGATGAATAGATTGCAAAAATTTTCTCCCCTTCTGAAGGTTGCCTGTTCACTCTGATGATAGTTACCAATGCTGTGCAGAAGCTCTTTAGCTTAATTAGATCCCATTTATCAATTTTGGCTTTTGTTGCCATTGCTTTTTGTGTTTTAGTCATAAAATCTTTGTCCATGCCTATGTCCTGAATGGTAATGCCTAGGTTTTCTTCTAGGGTTTTTATGCCTTTAGGTCTTACATTTAAGTCTTTAATTCATCCTGAGTTAATTTTTGTATAAGGTGGACCCCTCAGTTTTCTGTATATGGCTAGCCAGTTTTCCCAGCACCATTTATTAAATAGGGAATCCCTTCCCCATTGCTTGTTTTTGTCAGGTTTATCAAAGATCAGATGGTTGTGGATGTGTGAAATTATTTCTGAGGGCTCTGTTCTGTTCAAGTGGTCTATGTATCTGTTTTGGTACCACTGCCATGCTGTTTTGGTTACTGTAGCCTTGTAATGTAGTTTGAAGTCAGGTAACATGATGCCTCCAGCTTTGTTCTTTTTGCTTAACATTGCCTTGGCTACGTAGGCTCTTTTGTAGTTCCATATGAAATTTCAAGTACTTTTTTCTAATTCTGTGAAAAAGTCATTTGTAGCTTGTTGGGGATAGCATTGAATCTTTAAATTACTTTGGGCAGTATGGCCATTTTTATGATATTGATTCTATCCATGAGCACAGAATATTTTTCCATTGTTTGTATTTTCTCTTATTTCCTTGAGCAGTGGTTTGCAATTCTCCTTGAAGACATCCTTCACATCCCTTGTGAGTTCTATTCCTAGGTATTTTATTCTCTTTGTAGCAACTGTGAATGAGAGTTCACTCATGATTTGGCTCTCTGTTTTTCTATTATTTGTGTATAGGAATGCTTGTGATTTTTGCACATTGATTTTGTATCCTGAGACTTTGCTGAAGTTGCTTATCAGCTTAAGAAGATTTTGGACTGAGACAATGGGGTTTTCTAAATAAACAATCATACTGTCTGGAAACAGAGAGATTTTGACTTCCTCTCTTCCTGTTTGAATACCCTTTATTTCTTTCTCTTGCCTGATTGGCCTGGCCAGAACTTCCAATACTATGTTGAATAGGAGTAGTGAGAGACACCACCCTCATCTTGTGCTGGTTTTCAAAGGGAATGCTTCCAGCTTTTGCCCATTTAGTATGATATTGGCTATAGGTTCATAATAAATAGCTGCTATTATTTTGAGATACGTTCCATCAATAACTAGTTTATTGAGAGTTTTTAGCATGAAGTGGTGTTCAATTTTATTGAAGGCCTTTTCTGCATCTATTGAGATAATCATGTGGTTTTTGTCATTTGTTCTGTTTATGTGATGGATTTGCTTACGTGGAACCAGCCTTGCATCCCAGGGATGAAGCTGACTTGATGGTGGTGGATAAGCTTTTTGATGTGCTGCTGGATTCAGTTTGCCCATATTTTATTGAGGATTTTTGCACTAATGTTCATCAGGAATATTGGCCTGAATTTTTTTGTTGTGTTTCCAACGGGTTTTGGTATCAGGATGATGCTGGCCTCATAAAATGAGTTTGGGAAGAGTCCCTTTTATTCTGTTGTTTGGAATAGTTTCAGAAGGAAGGGTACCAACTTCTCTTTGTACCTCTGGTAGAATTCGGCTGTAAATCTTTCTGGTCCTGGCCTTTGGTTGGTTGGTAGGCTATTAATTACTGCCTCAATTTCAGAACTTGTTATTGGTCTATTCAAGGATTCAACTTCTTCCTGGTTTAGTCTTGGGAGAATGTATATGTCCAGGAATTTATCCATTTCATCTAGATTTTCTACTTCATTTGCATAGGGTTGTTTATAATATTCTGTGATGGCAGTTTGTATTTCTATGGGATCAGCAGTGATATCCCCTTTATCATTTTTTATTGTGCCAATTTGATTCTTCTCTCTTTTCTTCTGTATTAGTCCTGCTAGCGGTCTATTTTGTTATTTTTTTCAAAAAACAGCTGCTGGATTCATTGATTTTTTGAAGGGTTTTCATGGTTCTATCTCTCATTTCTGCTCTGATCTTAGTTATTTCTTGTCTTCTGCTAGCTTTTGAATTTGTTTACTCTTACTTCTCTAGTTCTTTTCATTGTGATGTTAGGATGGTAATTACAGATGTTTCCCACTTTCCTCTGTGGGCATTTAGTGCTATAAATTTCCCTCTAAACACTGTTTTAAATGTGTCCCAGAGACTCTGGTACATTGTATCTTTGTTCCCATCGGGTTCAGAAAATGTATTTTTTTCTGCCTTAATTTTGTTATTTACCCAATAGTCATTCAGGAGCAGGTTGTTCAGTGTCCATGTAGTTGTGTGGGTTTGAGTGAGTTTCTTAATCCTGAGTTCTAATTTGATTGCACTGTGGTCTGAGAGACTGTTTGTTATGATTTCCATACTTTTGCATTTGCAGAGGAATGTTTTACTTCCAATTATGTGGTCTATTTTAGAGTAAGGGTGATGTGGTGCTGAGAAGAATGTATATTCTGTTTATTTTGGCTGAAGAGTTCTGTAGATGTCTATTAGGTTGGCTTGGTGCAGAGCTGAGTTCAAGTCCTGAATATCCTTGTTAATTTTCTGTCTCATTGATCTATCTAATATTGACAGTGGGGTGTTAAAGTCTCCCAATATTATAGTGTGGGAGTCTAAGTCTCTTTGTAGGTCTCTAAGAACTTGCTTTATGAATGTGGGTGCTCCTGTATTGGGTGCATTTATATTTAGGATACTTAGCTCTTCTTGTTGCATTTATCCCTTTACCATTATGTAATGCCTTTCTTTGACTTTTTTGATCTTTTTTGGTTTAAAGTCTGAAGTCTGTTTTATCAGAGACTGGGATTACAACCCCTGCTTTTCTTTCTATTTGCTTGGTAAATATTCTTCCATCCCTTTATTATGAGCCTATGTGTGTTCTTGCATGTGAGATGGATCTCCTGAATACAGCACACAGATGGGTCTTGACTCTTTATCCAATTTGCCCATCTGTGTATTTTATTTGGGGCATTTAGCCCATTTACATTTAAGGTTAATATGGTTATATGTGAATTTCATAGTGTCGTTATGATGCTAGCTGGTTATTTTGCCCATTAGTTGATGCCGTTTCTTCATATTGTCAATGGTCTTTACAATTTGGTATGTTTCTGCAGTGGCTGCTACCAGTTTTTCCTTTTTATATTTAGTGCTTCCTTCAGGAGCTCTTGTAAGGCAGGCCTGGTGGTGGCAAAATCTCTTAGCATTTGCTTGTCTGCAAAGGATTTTATTTCTCCTTCAATTATGAAGCTTAGTTTGGCTGGATATGAAATTCTGGGTTAAAAATTCTTTTCTTTAAGAGTGTTGATTATTGGCTCCCACTCTCTTCTGGCTTGTAGGGTTTCTGCAGAGTGATCCACTGTTAGTCTGATGGGCTTCCCTTTGTAGGTAACCTGACCTTTCTCTCTGGCTACCCCTAACATTTTTTCTGTCATTTCAACCTTGCTGAATCTGATGCTTATCTGTCTTGGGGTTGCTCTTCTCGAGGAGTATCTTTGTGGTGTTCTCTGTATTTCCTGAATTTGAATGTTGGCCTGTCTTGCTAGGTTGGGGAAGTTCTCCTGGATAATAGCCTGAAGAGTATTTTCCAATTTGGTTTCATTCTCCTCGTCACTTTCATGTACACCAGTCAATCATAGGTTTGGTCTTTTCACATAGTCCTATATTTCTTGGGGACTTTGTTCATTCCTTTTCATTCTTTTTTCTCTAATCTTGTCTTCACACCTTATTTCATTAAGTTGATCTTCAATCTCTGATATACTTTCTTCTGCTTGATCAATTTTGCTATTGATACTTGTGTATGCTTCATGAAGTTCTCATGCTGTGTTTTGCAGCTCCATCAGGTCATTTATGTTCTTCTCTAAACTGGTTATTCTAGTTAGCCATTCATCTATCCTTTTTTCAAGGTTCTTGGCTTCCTTGCATTGGGTTAGAACATGCTCCTTTAGCTCAGAGGAGATTGTTATTACCCACCTTCTGAAGCCTACTTCTGTCCATTTGTCAAGCTCATTCTGTGTCCAGTTTTGTTCCCTTGCTGCCAAGGAGTTGTGATCCTTTGGAGAAGAGGCATTCTTGGTTTTGGAATTTTCAGCCTTTTTGCACTGGTTTTTCTTCATCTTTGTGGATTTATCTACTTCTGGTCTTTGATGTCGGTGACCTTCAGATGGGGTTTTTGTGTGATTGTACTTTTTGTTGATGTTGATGCTATTCCTTTCTGTTTGTTAGTTTGACTTCTAATAATCAGGCCCCTCTGCCGCAGGTCTGATGGCATTTGCTGGAGGTCCACTCCAGACCCTGTTTCCCTGGGTATCACCAGCAGAGGCTGCAGAACAGCAAAGATTGCTGCCTGCTCCTTCCTCTGGAAGTTTCATCCCAGAGGGGCACCTGCCAGATGCCAGCTGGAGCTCTCCTGTATGAGGTGTCTGTCAACCCCTGCTGGGAAGTGTCTCCCTGTCAGAAGGCACCGGGGTCAGGGACCCACTTGAGGAGTCAGTCTGTCCCTTAGCAGAGCTCAAGCACTGTGCTCGGAGATCCACTGCTCTCTTCAGAGCCAGCAAGCAGGAACGTTTAAGTCTGCTGAAGCTGCGCCCACAGCCGCCCCTTCCCCCACGTGCCCTGTCCCAGGGATATGTGAATTTTATCTATAAGCCCGTGACTGGGGCTGCTTCCTTTCTTTTAGAGATGCCCTGCCCAGAGAGAAGGAATCTAGAGAAGCAGTCTGGCTACAGCAGCTTAGGCACTGAGCCGTGGTGGGCTCCGCCCAATTCAAATTTCCTTGTGTCTTTGTTTACACTGTGAGGGGAAAACCGCCTACTCAAGCCTCAGTAATGTTGGACACCCTTCCCCTCACCAAGCTCTAGTGTCCCAAGTCGACTTCAGCCTGCTGTGCTGGCAGTGAGAATTTCAAGCCAGTGGATCTTAGCTTGCTTGGCTCCATGGGGGTGGGATCTACTGAGCTAGACCACTTAACTCCCTGGCTTCAGTGCCCCCTTTACAGGGGAGTGAATGGTTCTGTCTCACTGGCATTCCAGGCACCACTGGGGTATTAAAAAAAAAAAAACTCCTGCAGCTAGCTCAGTGTCTGCCCAAATGACTACCCAGTTTTGTGCTTGAAACCCAGGTCCCTGGTGGTATAAGCACCCAAGGGAATCTCCTGGTCTGCGGGCTGTGAAGACCATGTGAAAAGCATAGTATCTGGGCCCAGATGCACCGTCCCTCACAGCACAGTCCCTCATGGCTTCCCTTGGCTAGGGGAGTGAGTTACCCAACCCCTTGCACTTCCCAGGCAAGGTGATGTCCCAACCTGCTTCTGCTCACCCTCTGTGAGCTGCACCCACTGTCTAACCAGTCCCAATAAGATGAGCCAGGTACCTCAGTTGGAAATGCAGAAATCACCCACCTTCTGCATTGATCTCGCTGGGGGCTGCAGACCAGAGCTGTTCCTCTTCAGCCATCTTGCCAGCCACCCCTCTTTGCCCACTTTTAATGGGGTTTTTTTATTGAAATTTTGTCTAACTTCCTTATAGATTCTGAATATCAGACCTTTATTGGATGCATAGTTTGCAAAAATTTTCTCCCATTCTGTAGGTTGTCTGTTTACTCTGTTGATAGTTTCTTTTACTGTGCAAAAGCTCTTTAGTTTAGTTAGATGCCATTTGTCAATTTTTGCTTTGGTTGCAAT
This sequence comes from Homo sapiens, assembly GCF_000001405.40. Classification (NCBI taxonomy): domain Eukaryota; kingdom Metazoa; phylum Chordata; class Mammalia; order Primates; family Hominidae; genus Homo; species Homo sapiens. Next base: position 63,201,629 of record NC_000011.10, on the reverse strand, counting down.
TGCTTTGGGTGTTTTTATCATGAAATCTTTTCCTGTGCCTATGTCCTGAATGGTATTGCCTAGGTTGTCTTCCAGGGTTTTTATAGTTTGGGATTTTACGTTTAAGTTTTCAATTTATATTGAGTTAATTTTTGTACATGGTGTAAGTAAGGAGTTCAGTTTTAGTCTTCTGAATATGTCTAGCCAGTTATCATAGCACCATTTATTGAATAGGGAATTATTTCCCCCATTGCTTGTTTTTGTCAGTTTTGTTGAAGATCAGAGAGTTGTAGGTGTTTGGTCTTATTTCTGTGTTCTCTGTTCTGTTCCATTGGTCTATGTGTTTGTTTTTGTTCCAGTACCATGCTGTTTTGGTCACTGAAGCCCTGTAGTAAAGTTTGAAGTTGGGTAGCATGATGGATGCCTCCAGCTTCATTTCTTTTGCTTAGGATTGTCTTGGCTGTTCAGGCTCCTTTTTGGTTTCATATGTATTTTAAAATAGTTTTTCCTAGCTCTGTGAAGAATCTCAGTGGTAGCTGAATAGGAATAGCATTGAATCTATAAATTGCTTTGGGCAGTATGGCCACTTTAACAATATTGGTTCTTCCTATCCATGAGCATGCAATTTTTTCTGTTTGTATCATCTCTGATTTCTTTGAGCAGTGGTTTGTAGTTCTCCTTGTAGAGATCTTTCACCTCCTTAGTTAGCTGTATTCCTAGGCATTTTATTCTTTTTGTGGCAATTGTGAATGGGTGTTCATTCATTATTTGGCTCTTGGCTTGGCTGTTGTTGGTGTACAGGAATGCTAGTGATTTTTGCACATTGATTTTGTACCCTGAGACTTTGCTGAAGTTGTCTATCAGCTTAAGAAGCTTTTGGTCTGAGACTATGGGGTTTTCTTGATATAAGACCTGTCATCTATGAACAGGGATAGTTTGACTTCCTCTCTTCCTATTTGGATGCCCTTTATTTCTTTCTGTTGCCTGATTGCCCTGGCCAGGAATTCCAATACTATGTTGAATAGGAGTGGTGAGAGAGGGCAACCTCATCTTGTGCCAGTTTTCAAGTGGAAAGCTTCCAGCTTTTGCCCATTCAGTATTATGTTGTTTGTGGGTTTGTCATAGATGGCACTTACTATTTTGAGGTATGTTTTGTCAATACCTAGTTTATTGACAGTTTTTTTTAATATTAATGGATGTTGAATTTTATTGAAAGCCTTTTCTGTATCTCTTGAGACAACCATGTGTTTTTGTCTTTAGTTCTGTTTATGTGATGAATCAAATTTATTGATTTGTTTATGTTGAGCCATCCTTACTTCCCAAGGATAAAGTCTACTAGATCATGCTGGATAAGCTTTTCAATGTGCTGCTGGATTCTGTTTACCAGTAATTTTTTAAGGATTTTTGCACTGATGTTCATCAAGGATGTTGGCCTCAAGTTTTCTATTTTTGTTGTATCTCTGCCAGGTTTTGGCGTCAGGATGATGCTGCCCTCATAGAATGAGTTAGGGAGGAGTTTCTACTCCTCAATTTTTTGGAATAGTTTTGGTAGGAATAGTACCAGCTCTTCTCTGTACATTTGGTGGAATTCAGCTGTGAAACCATCAGGTCCTGGGCTTTTTTTGGTTGTTATGTGTGAGAAACAAACTCACTTGTCCAAACCCAAAGAATGGACTCAGAGACACAGAGAACAGCGGAAGTGAGACTTTCAATGGTGATCTTGCAAGATTGGGTGTCTGGCACGCAGGCACATCCAGCACAGTATCAACAAGCAATTTATCCCATAGTGTGCAAGTCCCTCCCCTGGTTCCTCATAGGCTGAATATATGAGGTTACAATCTTCTCGGACGTCGCCTATTGATTTTTGGGTAGTGGCTTCAGGTGTTTTTTTAGGGTTGTCTTGCTGCATTTTTTTTGCAACCCACAATGCCTTGCAATCCTAATGAGCTCAGGGGCTTTTTACATATTTGACTTATGACCTAAGTAGCTGGGCAGGCTGATAAGAACACACAAAGTGAGCTACTTTGGAGACTAGTAAATTTTATCTTAGACTAAATGTCTTTGGTTCAAGTGAGGGCAGCTAAGTGAGGAGGGAGGCGGGAGGGGGAGGCTGAGAAGTAGGCATCAGCTATTCAAGCAGGGTCTTAGTATATCCTGTCTCTTCTGTAGTTCTAAGCCAATTCAAGGCACTTTGTCTTGGAAATGGACCACTGTATACATTATTTCCTTCAGTAGGTTATTTATTACTGCCTCAATTTCAGAGCTTGTTATTGGTCTGTTCGGGGATTCAAATTCTTCCTGGTTCAGTCTTGGGAGGGTTTATGTGTCCAGGAATTTATCCATTTCTTCTAGATTTTCTAGTTTATGTGCATAGAGGTGTTCATAATATTCTCTGATTGTTGTTTGTATTTCTATGAGGTCAATGGTAATATCACCCTTGATGTTTCTGATTTTGTTTATTTGAGTCTTCTCTCTTTTCTTCTTTATTAGTCTAGCTAGGGATCTATATATATATTATTAATTTTTTCAAAAAATGAATCTTTATTAGTTCATCTTTTGAACGGCTTCTGTGTCTCAATCTCCTTCAGTGCAGCTTTAATTTTGATTATTTCTTGTCTTCTAGTTTTGGGATTTATTTGCTCTTTGCTCTCTAGTTCTTTCAGTTGTGATGTCAGGTTGTTAACTTTAGATCTTTCCAACTTTTTGATGTGAGCATTTAGTACTATAAATTTCCACCTTAACACTGCCTTAGCTGTGTCCCAGAGATGCTGGTATGTTGTATCTTTGTTCTCATTAAGTTTCAAAGAATTTCTTGATTTCTGCCATAATTTCCTTACTTATCCAAAAGTCATTCAGGAGCAGGTTATTGAATTTTCATGTAATTGTATGATTTTGAATAAATTTCTTGTCTTGATTTCTTTTTTCTTTTTTTTATTATACTTAAAGTACTAGGGTACATGTGCACAATGTGCAGATTTGTTTCATATGTATACATGTGCCATTTTGGTGTGCTGGACCCATTAACTCATCATTTACATTAGGTATTTCTCCTAATGCTATCCCTCCCCCATCCCCCAACCTCATGACAGGCCCTGGTGTGATGTTCCCCACTCTGTGTCCAAGTGTTCTCATTGTTCGATTACCACCTATGAGTGAGACCATGTGGTGTTTGGTTTTCTGTCCTTGTAACAGTTTGCTCAGAGTGCTGGTTTCCACCTTCATCTATGTTCCTACAAAGGATATGAAGTCATCCTTATGGCTGCATAGTATTCCATGGTTTATATGTGTCATATTTTCTTAATCCAGTCTATCATTGATCGACATTTGAGTTGGTTCCAAGTCTTTGCTATTGTGAATAGTGCCACAATAAACATATGTGTGCATGTGTCTTTATAGCAGCATGATTTATAATCCTTTGGATATATACCCAGTAATGGGATCGCTGGGTCAAATGGTATTTCTAGTTCTAGATCCTTCAGGAATCACCACACTGTCTTCCACAATGGTTGAACTAGTTTACAGTCTCACCAACAGTGTAAAAGTGTTCCTATTTCTCCACATTCTCTCCAGCACCTGTGGTTTCCTGACTTTTTAATGATCGCCTTTCTAACGCTGTGAGATGGTATCTCATTGTGGTTTTGATTTGCATTTCTCTGATGGCCAGTGATGATGAGCATTTTTTCATGTGTTTTTTGGCTGCATAAATGTCTTCTTTTGAGAAGTGTTTGCTCATATCCTTCGCCCACTTTTTGACGGGGTTGTTTCATTTTTCCTTGTAAATTTATTTAAGTTCTTTGTAGATTCTGGATATTAGCCCTTTGTGAGATGAGTAGATTGCCAAAATTTTCTCCCATTCTGTAGGTTGCCTGATCACTCTGATGGTAGCATCTTTTGCTGTGCAGAAGCTCTTTAGTTTACTTAGATGCCATTTGTCAATTATGGCTTTTGTTGCCATTGCTTTTGGTGTTTTAGTCATGAAGTCCTTGCCCATGCCTAGGTCCTGAATGGTACTGCCTAGGTCTTCTTCTAGGGTTTTTATGGTTTTAGGTCTAACATTTAAGTCTTTAATCCATCTTGAATTAATTTTTGTATAAGGTGTAAGGAAGGGATCCAGTTTTAGCTTTCTACATATGGCTAGCCAGTTTCCTCCATTTCTTCTTTTTGCCAGGTTTGTCAAAGATCAGATGGTTGTAGATGTGTGGTATTATATCTGGGGACTCCGTTCTGTTCCACTGGTCTATATCTCTGTTTTGGTACCAGTACCATGCTGTTTTGGTGACTGTAGCCTTGTAGTAGAGTTTGAAGTCAGGTAGCGTGATGCCTCCAGCTTTGTTCTTTTGGCTTAGGATTGTCTTGGCAATGTGGGCTCTTTTTTGGTTCCATATGAGCTTTAAAGTCATTTCTTCTGATTGTTTGAAGAAAGTCATTGGTAGCTTGATGGGGATGGTATTGAATCTATAAATTACCTTGGGCAGTATGGCCATCTTCACGATACTGATTCTTCCTATCCAGAAGCATGGAATGGTGTTCCATTTGTTTGTGTCCTCTTTTATTTCGTTGAGTAGTGGTTTGTAGTTCTCCTTGAAAAGGTCCTTCACATATCTTGTAAGTTGGATTCCTAGGTATTTTATTCTCTTTGAAGTAATTGTGAATGGGAGTTCACTCATGGTTTGGCTCTCTGTGTGTCTGTTATTGCTGTATAGGAATGCTTGTGATTTTTGCACATTGATTTTGTATCCTGAGACTTTGCTGAGTTGCTTATCAGCTTAAGGAGATTTTGGGCTGAGATGATGGGGTTTTCTAAATATACAATCATGTCATCTGCAAACAGGGACAATTTGACTTCCTCTTTTCCTAATTGAATACCCTTTATTTCTTTCTCCTACCTGATTGCCCTGGCCAGAACTTCCAACACTGTGTTGAATAGGACTGGTGAGAGAAGGCATCCCTGTTTTGTGCCAGTTTTCAAAGGGAATGCTTCCAGTTTTTGCCCATTCAGTATGATATTGGATGTGGGTTTGTCATAAATAGCTCTTATTATTTTGAGATACAGCCCATCAATACCTAATTTATTGAGAGTTTTCAGCATGAAGGGCTGTTGAATTTTGTCAAAGGCCTTTTCTGCATCTATTGAGATAATCATGTGGTTTTTGTCGTTAGTTCTGTTTATATGCTGGATTATGTTTATTGATTTGCATAGGTTGAACCAGCCTTGCATCCCAGGGATGAAGTCAACTTGATCGTGGCAGATAAGGTTTTTGATGTGCTGCTGGATTCGGTTTGCCAGTATTTTACTGAGGATTTTTGCATCGATGTTCATCAGGGATATTGGTCTAAAATTCTTTTTTTTGTTGTTGTGTCTCTGCCAGGCTTTGGTATCAGGATTATGCTGGCCTCATAAAATGAGTTATGGAGGACTCCCTCTTTGTCTATTGATTGGAATAGTTTCAGAAGAAATGGTACCAGCTCCTCTTTGTACCTCTGGTAGAATTCGGCTGTGAATCAGTCTGGTCCTGGACTTTTTTTGGTTGGAGGGCTATTAATTATTACCTCAATTTCAGAGCCTCTTATTGGTCTATTCTGGGATTCAGCTTCTTCGTGGTTTAGTCTTGGGAGGGTGGATATGTCCAGGAATTTATCCATTTCTTCTAGATTTTCTAGTTTATTTGCATAGAGGTGTTTATAGTATTATCTGATGGTAGTTTGTATTTCTGTGGGATCCGTGGTGATATCCCCTTTGTCATTTTTTATTGCGTCTATTTGATTCTTCTCTCTTTTCTTCTTTATTAGTCCTGCTAGTGGTCTATCTATTTTGTTGATCTTTTCAAAAAACCAGCTCCTGGATTCATTAATTTTTTAGAGCTCTTTGTGTCTCTATCTCCTTCAGTTCTGCTCTGATCTTAGTTATTTCTTGCCTTCTGCTAGCTTTTGAATGTGTTTGCTCTTGTTTCTCTAGTTCTTTTAATTGCGATGTTAGGGTGTCAATTTTGGATCTTTCCTGCTTTCTCTTGTGGGCATTTAGTGCTATAAATTTCCCTCTACACACTGCTTTGAATGTGTCCCAGAGATTCTGGTATGTTGTGTCTTTGTTCTCGTTGGCTTCAAAGAACATCTTTATTTCTGCCTTCATTTTGTTATGTACTCGGTAGTCATTCAGGAGCAGGTCGTTCAGTTTCCATGTAGTTGAGTGGTTTTGAGTGAGTTTCTTAATCCTGAGTTCTAATTTGATTGCACTGTGGTCTGAGAGACAGTTTGTTGTGATTTCTGTTCTTTTACATTTGCTGAGGAGAGCTTTACTTCCAACTTTGTGGTCAATTTTGGAATAAGTGCGGTGTGGTGCTGAGAAGAATGTATATTCTGTTGATTTGGGGTGGAGAGTTCTGTAGATGTCTATTAGGTCCACTTGGTGCAGAGCTGAGTTTAGTTCCTGTATATCCTTGTTAACATTCTGTCTCACTGAGCTGTCTAATGTTGACAGTGGGGTGTTAAAGTCTCCCATTATTATTGTGTGGGAGTCTAAGTGTCTTTGTAGGTCTCTAAGGACTAGCTTTATGAATCTGGGTGCTCTTGTATTGGGTGCATATATATATTTAGGATAGTTAGCTCTTCTTGTTGCATTGATCCCTTTACCATTATGTAATGGCCTTCTTTGTCTCTTTTGATCACTGTTGGTTTAAAGTCTGTTTTATCACAGACTAGGATTGCAACCCCTGCTTTTTTTTTTTTTTTTTTTTTTTTTTTTTTTTTTTTTTTTTTTTTTGCTTTCCATTTGCTTGGTAGATTTTCCTCCATCCCTTTATTTTGAGCCTATGTGTGTCTCTGCACATGAGATGGGTCTCCTGAATACAACACACTGATGAGTCTTGACTCTTTATACAATTTGCCAGTCTGTGTCTTTTAACTGGGGCATTTAGTGCATTTACATTTAAAGCTAATATTGTTATGTGTGAATTTGATCCTGTCATTATGATGTTAGCTGATTATTTTGCTCGTTAGTTGATGCAGTTTCTTCCTAGCATCGATGGTCTTTACATTTGGCATGTTTCTGCAGTGGCTGATACCCGTTGTTCCTTTCCATGTTTAGTGCTTCCTTGAGGAGCTCTTTTAGGGCAGGCCTGATGGTGACAAAATCTCTCAGCATTTGCTTGTGTGTAAAGGATTTTATGTCTCCTTCACTTATGAAGCTTAGTTTGGCTGCATATGAAATTCTGGGTTGAAAATTCTTTTCTTTACCCGACCTTTCTCTGTGGCTGCCCTTAACATTTTTTCCTTCAACTTTGGTGAATATAACAATATGTGTCTTGGGGTTGCTCTTCTTGAGGAGTATCTTTGTGGCGTTCTCTGTATTTCCTGAATTTGAATGTTGGCCTGCTTTGCTAGGTTGGGGAAGTTCTCCTGGATAATATCCTGAAGAGTGTTTTCCAACTTGGTTCCGTTCTCCCCATCACTTTCAGGTACATCAATCAAACATAGATTTGGTCTTTTCACACAGTCACATATTTCTTGGAGGCGTTGTTCATTTCTTTTTACTCTCTTTTCTCTAAACTTCTCTTCTCACTTCATTTCATTCATTTGTTCTTCAATCACTGATACCCTTTCTTCCACTTGATCGAATTGGCTACTGAAGCATGTGCATGCATCTCGTAGTTCTCATGCCATGGTTTTCAGCTCCATCAGGTCATTTAAGGTTTTCTCTACACTGTTTATTCTAGTTAGCCATTTGTCGAATCTTTTTTCAAGGTTTTTAGCTTCCTTGCAATGGGTTTGAACATCCCCCTTTAGCTCAGAGAAGTTTGTTATTACCGATCTTCTGAAGCCTACTTCTGTCAACTCATCAAAGTCACCTCCGTCCAGCTTTGTTCCATTGCTGGCAGGGAGCTGCAGTCCTTTGGAGGAGAAGAGGCACTCTGGTTATTAGAATTTTCAGCTTTTCTGCTCTTGTTTCTCCCCATCTTTGTGGTTTTATCTACCTTTGATCTTTGATGATGGTGACATACAGATGGGGTTTTGGTGTGGATGTCCTTTTTGTTGATGTTGGTGCTATTCCTTTCTGTTTGTTAGTTTTCCTTCCAACAATCAGGACCCTCAGCTGCAGGTCTGTTGGAGTTTGCTGGAGGTCCACTCCAGACCCTGTTTGCCTGGGTGTCACCAGCAGAGGCTGCAGAACAGCAAACATTGCAGAACAGCAAATGTTGCTTCCTGATCCTTCCTCTGGAACTTCGTCTCAGGGGGGCACCCAGTTGTATGAGGTGTCAGTCAGCCCCTATTGGGAGGTGTCTCCCAGTTAGGCTACTCGGGGTTCAGGGACCCACTTTAGGAGGCAGACTGTCTGTTCTCAGATCTCAAACTCCATGGTAGGAGGACCACTGCTCTCTTAAAAGCTCAGTTGGATATACAGAAATCACCCATCTTCTTCATCACTCATGCTGGGAGGTGTAGACTGGAGCTGTTCCTATTCAGTTATCTTGGAACAATCTCTTGTCTTGATTTCTAATTAGATTGTGCTGTGGTCTGAGAGACTGTTTTTATGATTTCAGTTATTTTGCATTTGCTGAGGGGTGTTTTGCTTCTGATTAAGTGATTGATTTTAGAATATGTGACATGTGGCAATGAGAAGAATGTATATTCTATTGGTTTGGGTGGAGAGTTCTTCAGATACATGTCAGGACCATTTGATCCAGTGCTGATGTCAGCTCCTGAATATCTTTGTTAATTTTCTGTCTTGATGATCTGTCTAATATTGTCAGTGGAGTGTTAAAATCTCCCACTCTTATTGTGTGGGAATCTTTCTTGTTGAAGGTCTCTAAGAACTTGCTTTATGAATTTGGGTACTCCTGCATTGGATGCATACATATTTAAGATAGTTAGATCTTCTTGTTGAATTGAACCCTTTGCCATTATGTAATGCCTTCTTTCTCTATTTCATGTTTGTTGGTTTAAACTCTGTTCTGTCAGAAAGTAGGATTGCAACCCCTGGTTTTTCTGCCTTTTTATTTTATTGGTTGATTTTTCTACATCCCTTAACTTTGAGCCTGTGTGTGCTATTGCATGTGAGATGGATCTCTTAAAGACAGCACACCAATGGGTCTTGTTTTTTTATCCAGATTTCCACTCTGTGTCTTTTAACTGGGGCATTTAGCTTATTTACATTTAAGGTTAGTATTGATACGTGTGGATTTGATCCTGTCATCATGATGCTAACTGATCATTTTTCAGACTTGTTCATGAGTCTGCTTTATAGTGTCTCTGTCCTGTGTACTTCAGTGTGTTTTTGTAATGGCTGGTAATGGACTTTCTTTTCCATATTTAGTGCTTCTTTCAGGAGCTCTTGTAAGACAGGTCTGGTGGTAATGAACTCCCTCAACACTTGCTTGTCTGAAAAGGGATCTTATTTCTCCTTCATTTCTGAAGCTTAGTTTGGCCAAATATGAAATTCTGGATTAGAATTTCTTCTCTTAAGAATGTTGAATATTCATCCCCAATCTCTTCTGGCTTGTAGGGGGTTTCATCTGAGAGGCCCACTATTAGTCCAATGGGCTTCCTTTTGTAGGTGACTTGGCCTTTCTTTCTAGCTGCATTTAACATTTTTTCTATCATCATTTCAACCTTGGAGAACCTGAATATTATGTGTTTTGAAGATGATCTTCTTGTGAAGTATCTTACTGGAATTCTGTGCATTTCCTGCATTTCCTGAATTTGAATGTTTGCCTCTCTAGCTAAGTTGGGAAACTTCTTATGGAAGATATCCTGAAATGTGATCTCCAAGTTGGTTCCATTCTTCCAATCCCTTTCAGGTACATCAGTCAGTTGTAGATTCAGTCTCTTCTGTTGCTTTTATTCCTTTTCATTCTTTTTTCTCTATTCTTGTCTGACTGTCTTATTTCACAAAGGCAGTCTGCAAGCTCTGAGATTATTTCTTCTTCTTAGTTTATTCTGCTTTTAATATTTGTGATTGGGGGGGTGGAGCCAAGATGGCCAAATAGGAACAGCTCCAGTCTACAGTTCCCAGTGTGAGCAACACAGAAGACAGGAGATTTCTGCATTTCCAACTGAGGTACCAGGTTCATCTCAATGGGGAGTGTCAGACAGTGGGTGCAGGACAGTGGGTGCAGTGCACTGAGCATGAGCTGAAGCAGGGTGAGGCATTGCCTCACCCAGGAAGCACAAGGCATCAGGGAATTCCCTTTCCTAATCAAAGAAAGGGGTGACAGAGGGCACCCAGAAAATCGGGTCACTCCCACCCTAATACTGTGCTTTTCAATGGTCTTAGCAAACGGCATACCAGGAGATTATATCCCATGCCTGACTCAGAAGGTCCTATGCCCACAGAGCCTCACTCATTGCTAGCACAGCAGTCTGAGATCAAACTGCAAGGTGGCAGCGAGGCTGGGGGAGGGGCACCCACCATTGCCAAGGTTTGAGTAGGTAAACAAAGCAGCTGGGAAGCTCCAACTGGGTGGAGCCCACCGCAGCTTGAGGAGGCCTGCCTGCCTTTGTAGACTCCACATCTCAGGGCAGGGTATAGCCAAACAAAAGGCAGCAGAAAACTCCGCAGACTTAAATGTCCCTGTCTAACAGCTTTGAAGAGAGTAGTGGTTCTCCCAGCACATAGCTGGAGATCTGAGAATGGGCAGACTGCCTCCTCAAGTGGGTCCCTGAACCCTGAGTAGCCTAACTGGGAGGCAGCCCCCAGTAGGGGCAGACTGACACCTCACACGGCTGGGTACTCCTCTGAGACAAAACTTCCAGAGGAACAGTCAGGCAGCAACATTTGCGGTTCACCAATATCCGCTGTTCTGCAGCCTCTGCTGCTGATACCCAGACAAACAGGGTCTGGAGTAGACCTCCAGCAAACTCCAACAGACCTGCAGCTGAAGGTCCTGACTGTTAGAAGGAAAACTAACAAACAGAAAGGACATCCACACCAAAATCCCATCTGTAAGTCACCATCATCAAAGAGCAAAGGTAGATAAAACCACAGAGATGGGGAAAAAACAGAGTAAAAAAAACTGGAAACTCTAAAAATCAGAGTGCCTCTCCTCCTCCAAAGGAATGCAGCTCCTCACCAGCAATGGAACAAAGCTGGACAGACAATGACTTTGACGAGCTGAGAGAAGAAGGCTTCAGATGATCAAACTACTCCGAGCCAAAGAAGGAAGTTCGAACTCATGGCAAAGAAGTTAAAAACCTTGAAAAAAAAATTAGACGAATGGCTAACTAGAATAACCAATGCAGAGAAGTCCTTAAAGGACTTGATGGAGCTGAAAACCACGACACGAGAACTACATGATGAATGCACAAGCCTCAGTAGCCGATTCAATCAACTGGAAGAAAGGGTATCAGTGATGAAAGATCAAATGAATGAAATGAAATCAGAAAAGAAGTGTAGAGAAAAAAGAGTAAAAAGAAACAAGAAAAGCCTCCAGGAAATATGGGACTATCTGAAAAGACCAAATCTACATCTGATTGGTGTACCTGAAAGTGATGGGCAGAATGGAATGAAGTTGGAAAACACTCTGCAGGATATTATCCAGGAGAACTTCCCCAATCTAGCAAGGCAGGCCAACATTCAAATTCAGGAAATACAGAGAACACCACAAAGATACTCCTCAAGAAGAGCAACTCCAAGACACATAATTGTCAGATTCACCAAAGTTGAAATGAAGGAAAAAATGTTAAGGGCAGCCAGACAGAAAGCTTGGGTTACCCACAAAGGGAAGCCCATCAGACTAACAGCTGATCTGTCGGCAGAAACTCTACAAGCCAGAAGAGAGTGGGGGCCAATATTCAACGTTCTTAAAGAAAAGAATTTTCAACCCAGAATTTCATATCCAGCCAAACTAAGCTTCATAAGTGAAGGAGAAATAAAATCCTTTACACACAAGCAAATGCTGAGAGATTTTGTCACCATTAGGCCTGCCTTAAAAGAGCTCCTGAAGGAAGCACTAAACATGGAAAGGAACAACCGGTACCAGCCACTGCAGAAACATGCCAAATTGTAAAGACCATCGATGCTAGGAAGAAACTGCATCAACTAATGAGCAAAATAACCAGCTAACATCATAATAACAAGATCAAATTCACACATAACAATATTACCCTCAAATGTAAATAGGCTAAATGCTCCAATTAAAAGACACAGACTGGCAAATTGTTTAAAGAGTCAAGACCCATCAATGTGCTGTATTCAGGAGACCCATGTCATGTGCAGAGACAAAGATAGGCTCAAAATAAAGGGATGGAGGAAGATCTACCAAGCAAATGGAAACAAAAAAAAGCAGGGGTAGCAATCCTAGTCTCTGATAAAACAGACTTTAAACCAACAATGATCAAAAGAGACAAAGAAGGCCATTACATAATGGTAAAGGGGTCAATTCAACAAGAAGAGCTAACTATCCTAAATATATATGTGCCCAATACAGGAGTACCCAGATTCATAAAACTAGTCCTTAGAGACCTAGGAAGAGACTTAGGCTCCCACACAATAATAATGGGAGACTTTAACACCCCACTGTCAACATTAGACAGATCAATGAGACAGAAAGTTAACAAGGATATACAGGAACTAAACTCAGCTCTCACCAAGTGGACCTAATAGACATCTACAGAACTCTCCACCCCAAATCAACAGAATATACATTCTTCTCAGCACCACACCGCACTTATTCCAAAATTGACCACATAGTTGGAAGTAAAGCACTCCTCAGCAAATGTAAAAGAACAGAAATTATAACAAACTGTCTCTCAGACCACAGTGCAATCAAACTAGAACTCAGGATTAAGAAACTCACTCAAAACCACTCAACTACATGGAAACTGAACAACCTGCTTTTGAATGACTACTGAGTACATAACAAAACGAAGGCAGAAATAAAGATGTTCTTTGAAGCCAACGAGAACAAAGACACAACATACCAGAATCTCTGGGACGCATTCAAAGCAGTGTGTAGAGGGAAATTTATAGCACTACATGCCCACAAGAGAAAGCAGGAAAGATCCAAAATTGACACCCTAACACCGCAATTAAAAGAACTAGAGAAACAAGAGCAAACACATTCAAAAGCTAGCAGAAGGCAAGAAATAACTAAGATCAGAGCAGAACTGAAGGAGATAGAGACACAAAGAACTCTTCAAAAAATCAATGAATCCAGGAGCTGGTTTTTTGAAAAGAGCAACAAAATAGATAGACCGCTAGCAGGACTAATAAAGAAGAAAAGAGAGAAGAATCAAATAGACGCAATAAAAAATGACAAAGGGGATATCACCACCGATCCCACAGAAATACAAACTACCATCAGACAATATTATAAAAACCTCTATGCAAATAAACTAGAAAAACTAGAAGAAATGGATAAATTCCTGGACACATCCACCCTCCCAAGACTAAACCAGGAAGAAGTTGAATCTCTGAATAGACCAATAACAGGCTCTGAAATTAAGGCAATAATCAATAGCTTACCAACCAAAAAAAGTCCAGGACCAGATGGATTCACAGCCGAATTCTACCAGAGGTACAAAGAGGAGCTGGTATCATTCCTTCTGAAACTATTCCAATCAGTAGAAGAAAAGGGAATCCTCCCTAACTCCTTTTATGAGGCCAGCATAATCCTGATACCAAAGCCTGGCAGAGACACAATAAAAAAAGAGAATTTTAGACCAATATCCCTGATGAACCTTGATGCAAAAATCCTCAATAAAATACTGGCAAACCAAATCCAGCAACACATCAAAAAGCTTATCCAACATGATCAAGTGGGCTACATCCCTGGGATGCAAGGCTGGTTCAACCTATGCAAATCAATAAATGTAATCCAGCATATAAAGAGAACCAATGACAAAAACCACATGATTATCTCAAAAGATGCAGAAACGGCCTTTGATAAAATTCAACAATTCTTCATCCTAAAAATTCTCAATAAATTAGGTATTGATGAGAGGTATCTCAAAATAATAAGAGCTATCTATGACAAACCCACAGCCAATATCATACTGAATGGGCAAAAACCGGAAGCATTCCCTTTGAAAACTGGCACAAGACAGGGATGCCCTCTCTCACCACTCCTATTCAACATAGTGTTGGAAGTTCTGGCCAGGGCAATCAGGCAGGAGAAGGAAATAAATGTATTCAATTAGGAAAAGAGGAAGTCAAATTGTCCCTCTTTGCAGATGACATGATTGTATATCTAGAAAACCCCATTGTCTCAGCCCAAAATCTCCTTAAGCTGATAAGCAACTTCAGCAAAGTCTCAGGATATAAAATAAGTGCACAAAAATCACAAGCATTCTTATACACCAATAACAGACAAACAGAGAGCCAAATCATGAGTGAACTCCCATTCGCAACTGCTTCAAAGAGAATAAAATACCTAGGAATCCAACTTACAAGAGATCTGAAGGACCTCTTCAAGGAGAACTACAAACCACTGCTCAATGAAATAAAACAGGATAAAAACAAATGGAAGAACATTCCATGCTCATGGGTAGGAAGATTCAATATCATGAAAATGGCCATACTGCCCAAGGTAATTGATAGATTCAATGACATCCCCATCAAGCTACCAATGACTTTCTTCATAGAATTGGAAAAAACTACTTTAAAGTTCATATGGAACCAAAAAAGAGCCCACATTGCCAAGTCAATCCCAAGCCAAAAGAACAAAGCGGGAGGCACCATGCTACCTGACTTCAAACTCTACTACAAGGCTACAGTCACCAAAACAGCATGGTACTGGTACCAAAACAGAGATATAGACCAATGGAACAGAACAGAGCCCTCAGAAATAATGCCACATATCTACAACTATCTGATCTTTGACAAACCTGACAAAAACAAGAAATAGGGAAAGGATTCCCTATTTAATAAATGGTGCTGGGAAAACTGGCTAGCCATATGTAGAAAGCTGAAACTGGATCCCTTCCTTACACCTTATACAAAAATTAATTCAAGATGGATTAAAGACTTAAATGTTAGACCTAAAAGCATAAAAACTGTAGAAGAAAACCTAGGCGATACCATTCAGGACATAGGCATGGGCAAGGACTTCATGTCTAAAACACCAAAAGCAATGGCAACAAAAGCCAAAATTGACAAATGGAATCTAATTAAACTAAAGAGCTTCTGCACAGCAAAAGAAACTACCATCAGAGTGAACAGGCAACCTACAGAATGGGAGAAAATTTTTGCAATCTACTCATCTGACAAAGGGCTAATATCCAGAATCTACAATGAACTCAAACAAATTTACAAGAAAAAAACAAACAATCCCAACAAAAAGTGGGCAAAGGATATGAACAGACACTTCTCAAAAGAAGACATTTATGCAGCCAAAAGACACAGGAAAAAATGCTCATAATCACTGGCCATCAGAGAAATGCAAATCAAAACCACAATGAGATACCATCTCACACCAGTTAGAATGGTGATCATTAAAAAGTCAGGAAACAACAGGTGCTGGAGAGGATGTGGAGAAATAGGAACACTTTTACACTGTCGGTGGGACTGTAAACTAGTTCAACCATTGTGGAAGTCAGTGTGGCAATTCCTCAGGGATCTAGAACTAGAAATACCATTTGACCCAGCCATCCCATTACTGGGTATATACCCAAAGGATTATAAATCATGCTACTATAAAGACACATGCACACGTATGTTTATTGTGGCATTATTCACGATAGCAAAGACTTGGAACCAACCCAAATGTCCAACACTGATAGACTGGATTAAGAAAATGTGGCACATATACACCATGGAATACTATGCAGCCATAAAAAATGATGAGTTCACGTCCTTTGTAGGGACATGGATGAAATTGGAAATCATCATTCTCAGTAAACTATCGCAAGAACAAAAAACCAAACACCGCATATTCTCACTCATAGGTGGGAATTGAACAACGAGATCACAGGGACACAGGAAGGGGAATATCACACTATGGGGACTGTGGTGGGGTGGGGGGAGGGGGGAGGGATAGCATTGGGAGATATACCTAATGCTAGATGACGAGTTAGTGGGTGCAGCGCACCAGCATGGCACATGTATACATATGTAACTAACCTGCACAATGTGCACATGTACCCTAAAACTTAAAGTATATTAATAAATAAATAAATAAAAAATAAAAATAAAAAAAGAAAATGTGGCACATATACACCATGGAATACTATGCAGCCATAAAAAAGGATGAGTTCATGTCCTTTGTAGAGACATGGATGAAGCTGGAAACCATCATTCTCAGCAAACTATCGCAAGGACAGAAAACCAAACACCACATGTTCTCACTCATAGGTGGGAATTGAACAATGAGAACACATGGACACAGGAAGGGGAACATCACTCACCAGGGCCTGTTGTGGGGTGAGGGGAGGGGGAAGGGATAGCATTAGGAGATATAACTAATGTTAAATGACGAGTTAATGGGTGCAGCACACCAACATGGCACATGTATACATATGCAACTAACCTGCACATTGTGCACATGTACCCTAAACCTTAAAGTATAATAAAAAAATAAAATAAAATAAAATACTTGTGATTGCATTATGAAATTCTTGTAGCGTGTTTTTCAGCTTTATCAGGTCAGTTACGTTCTACTCTATGATATTTTGTCTGTCAGGTCCTGCAATGTGTTACATGATTTTTAGCTTCCTTGCATTGGGTTACAGTGTACTCCTGTAGCTCAGTGAACTTCATTCCTATCCATATTCTGAATTCTGCTTCTGTCATGTCAGCCATCACTACTGCGTTTTCATTTGCTAAACCAATAACCCATAAGACAGGACATAGCAATAAATCATTGCCTGGGAGTTATTCATGTTCCTGACCATCCTTTCCTTAACAAGTATTGTAGAAACAGAATTATTACAAAAATGTTTTCTCCAATAGAGGAAAATATTTGAGTAGATATCCTTAATTGTGATCTATGTTTATATGTACATCCCTATAAAGAAATTTGTGATAAAGTTTGAGATGCTTTTAATTGTCGTAGGTGATATTGGATGATAGGAAGGGACATCAATTTACCTGTATACATTTCTAAGAACTGCATAGTTGCTCCAGTTAAAAACATAAAGGCAAAACGAACAATTTACATCTTGTCCTGTGCTCTCTCTTCCTTCTATTTACTTTACAAACCCTAATGTATGATTAACTATACCCCTTCCCTTAACAAAATCAGTTCAGTGGAGGAAGCCTATTTGGTCTTTACCTCAGAGAGATAATTACAGATTTAATACAGAGAGAAAGTTCAGATAGAGAGAAAGTGTACTCCTTGTCAGGCTCATCCATTAGTTCCTCTTATCTCTGTAACAATCATACATGATAACATTGTCCCATTTACATAGATGAGCAAACTGAGGAAGATTTAGGTAAATGACTTGCTAATATATCCAGTTTTGGTCATAGATGGTATGGCCAGAAATGAATCTAGTCTCTATGAGGCCTCAAGCATACATCAATTATTTCAGGGTCTTTACTTTAGGAAAAAGAACACATTATGAATAGACATTTGTTATGCCCTTACTAGGACCTTGGCAGGCATCTGTACAAGTGATGATTCCTCATGCTTCAGCATCAGGAGCTCCATGACAAATTTGCTGAATAAGAGGGATGCCAATATGACTCAAGTGTTTATCCCAACAGTGAATGTGTACTGCACAGAGAGTCACCCTTACATTTTCCTGGTGATGGCACAAGAGAATGTAGGCTTTTATTTCCTGGTATAACCAAACAAGAGGTGGGTATTAGCTTAGAGGGGAAAGGCATCTCAGGATAAATGTTATGTGAAAAAATGAGTAAGTAGTGGTTGGCTGCACCTCTGTCCTCTTCTTTGCTCAGGTGGCTGGCAGAGTCTGCTCGGTGGCTCATTATCAACAACAAACCAGAAGAGGGCTTAAAGGAACTTAGAAAAGCTGCACACAGGAATGGAATGAAGAATGCTGAAGACATCCTAACCATGGAGGTAAGCAAGACGGGAGCTGGATATGGGATGCTGGGAAGACATAAATTGTCATCTATACTTGTTGGTGTTCATAAGGTGAATAAAGGAGAGAAACACAGGTAGAGTTATGGGTCATCTCACCTCACGATCATTCTCAATGGGTGTCAACATTGGATTAACATTGAAAGAGAATATCCTGTTGCTGAAAGGATGGGACACAGATATTTTACTCAACAGAGGCAGAGGCACAGAGTGTTAACAATGCAAATTTTGCACTGGACTCACTCTAACTCCATAATAGAAAGTAACCTAAATTAGTTCATTACTTCCCAGTTATTATTCTGTGGCCTTCTTTCAGGGTAATAAGGACAGAGGAAGGAAGGATTAGGGAGCAAACAGAATAGAACATAAGGAGGTTCACTTATTTGTTCACTCTGTCATATATTCTTTCATTCAAGATATATTTAGTGAGTGCCTACCTGTTCAAGATTTCATTCTTTCTTGGAAATATGACAGTACCAACACCAGTCCAAATCTATATTTGTATGGAGTTTCTTCTACTTACTATAAGCTTTAAAGCATGGCTGAGTGGAAATGCCTGGGGGAAGTCTTTATCTTTTTTTCCACCCCATGGATTATTAAGTAAATGTAAAGTATTTATCAAAAAATTATAGTATGCCACAAATGGTACTAGGTCATGAATGACAGAGGAAGTCAGGGTCACAGCCTGAATGGAGCTTTTACTTTAATATGAGAGAGGAGAACTAATGGACATGTTTAAATCTAAGTGTTGGAAATTATAAAAGTATAGAAAGAATGTTAATGAAGACAAGAAAAATACATTTTACCTTATTTTACTGAAACAGGAGAGGACTAGGAGCTAGTTAATCAGAGAGAATGAATAAAACATCTCTTAAGACATGGTCAATGACATATCTGATGGAACTTAGTCCCAGAAGGAAGCACAGCTCCTTCAAAAGGAGATTTGAAATAAGAAGCCTGAAAATCTTCCTGTGAGTTAACGTTCAACAGAAGGTGGCAGGAAGAAATAAATATTTCCCACAGAGATGAACCCATTGCAGAGACAATAGCACAGGCATCCCAATAGAATAGTGAAAATATTGGCATAGCATTTTTTTTAAAAAGGAAATGTTGAAATTCAGATGGAACTGAATGTCATTTCTAGACTGTATCTAAATATATATAAAGAATATATAGAGAGAATATATATATATATATAGTGTAATTCTTTTGGGTCAACTGAATTCTCAGATGCTATCTGTGGTTTCATACACACACACCTAGCATGTGACCTACAAGGTTGGCCCAATAAGAAAATAAAAGCTACTCTTACAGAAGTTCAGGGAGATTCAAAACAACGACAACAACAACAACAATTAAGTGTTACAAAAAACAGTAGAATCCAAAAAATAGCAATGCATTATCTCAAAGTGAATGGCAACTGACTGTCCCCTCAGCACCCAGAGGAAGGCCAGTGTTGCTCAAAAAGAGCAATTGGTTTAGGATGTGGATTCTATGCATGAATGGGTACCTAATATTGTGTTAACTTGATTTTTTTATTTTGTAAATATTATCCATATGTGTGTGGTCTTATTCCTGTTTCAACCTCCATCTGACAGACTGCTTAACACACCTACTCTAGGAAGCCCTTCTAGCCTAAAGCAAATCCACTTTATGTCAATAGCAATCCGTTGATCAGTCTAATTTTAGTGGTCAGCGAGTTCAGTACGTAACATTCATCTCCTATGCCCAAACCACACATAACTGAGAGATAGTTAAAGGGTTCAGAAACATGGAGATCAAAATTTTTAGCATTTGTACTACTGAGAAAACTGGAATAGAAGACATGACTTCACGTACCTTGCCTCAACAGGATTTCTAACACTTCATCCCAGAATTAAGCTTACTCACCAGTCACAGGTTTTCCCAGAGGTGCAGAGCCTAACCTGATAAATATAGGATGTGGCCCAGAAAGCAGACTTGAATGCAATCTCTTTCTAAACGTGTTCTGGGCACTACAGCATGCCTGTCTCATTCTCCCACACTCACCAACAATACCATAGTCCTCCACAGACAACTTAGGGTATGTGGAGAGGGACCAAGATTATCCCTGTTGAAACTTGTTCTTCACAGAAACATAAGGGTTAGTTTCCAGCTTCATCCATCATTCTCATCAAACTATCGCAAGGACAAAAAAACTAACACCGCATGTTCTCACTCATAGGTGGGAATTGAACAATGAGAACACATGGACACAGGAAGGGGAACATCACACACCAGGACTGTTGTGGGGTGGGGGGAGGGGGGAAGGATAGCATTAGGAGATATACCTAATGCTAAATGACGAGTTAATGGGTGCAGCACACCAACATGGCACATGTATATCATGTACCCTAAAACTTAAAGTATAATAATAAAACATAAGGGTTAGGAAGAAAGTACCCCACTCCCAAACCTCCAGCATTTCTGAAACAAGAACCAAAATAAACTCTCTCAGGAAATTTATCTCTTTCCTGAGGCAGGCAAACTGTTTTTCACCAAAGGCAGTTCAGCTGAGAACCAGGTCTTTGGGGCCCATCTGGTATAAATGGAGCTTTGGAGTTTAATCCAAGTAACTCTTCATTTTTTTCCCCATCCTGATCTGAATCTCTAACCTACATATTCTTTTCAATGCTCTGCAGCCAATTAAATCTCTTGTCTAAAATAGCCTTGATAAATAATTTCTCTGAGGCTTCTTTAACTCTCTATTCTAACTTCCATACCACTTTTATATTTGCCATTGCATTTTTAAGCCATGTATTTTCTGCTAGACAGAAAGGGATGTCATCTATCTTGTCATCTGTTGGTTGACAAGTCCTCTTACAATGCCTACCATTTTGTGACAACTGAACAGTTTATTGCTTCTGTTGTTGTTGAAGGTTTTGAAATCCACCATGAAGCAAGAACTGGAGGCAGCACAGAAAAAGCATTCTCTTTGTGAATTGCTCCGCATACCCAACATATGTAAAAGAATCTGTTTCCTGTCCTTTGTGAGGTAAGTTTCATGCAGTGTGTGAGGAATGTTAAAATAGAGGAGACATAAATCCATTTCTTATTTCAAATGATACAACATGTTGAAGGAAAATATTTGGGGGATAAAAGATGATAAATCCATAAAGAGAATTGCTATTTTTAAAAGTGGTAAAAGGGTTATGAAAAGGCTGACACAGAATTAATTACACAATTTCTGTTTATAACATCATTCTACCAGGCTCATCAGTGGAGACTTATGCTAAGAACTTCAATTATAGTATAGGTTTAGACTCAAAGTTTCTTCATTTGTTTCCATTTTAATTGAGCTAATTTATAAACAGCAAATCATATGAATGTACACAGATCAATGAATATTACCAGTTATTAATATCTAGCTACCACTCAGATCAAGGTATAGAAAAAATTCTAAAACACTGGGAAATGATCACAAGTTCAGCAAGATGACGTAACAGAAAATCCTACCCCTCAACCGCACACAGAAACACTGATTAAATAATGACTGGACAAAAATACTTCTATGAGAATTTCAAAACTGAGACAAGACATTGTAATGCCCCAGATGAGCACGAAACCAAAAACAGTTGCACTGAAATGGGCAAGAAGAGTAATGTCAGTTTATACATGACAACCCCTTCCCAAAGTTGTTACAGCTCATGCCAAGAGAGGACACCCTGGCCTATGACTTTTCCCTCACAGGGAAGGAAAGAGTAGAGCATTCAGCCACACCTTGGCCTTTGGACACACTGTGTGAGGAACTGGTCTCTGTCTCCCCTCACTCAGAGCACTGATGGAACTGGCATATTTGGATGCCTAAGGTCACTGAGGACAAAGTGAGTACAAAAGAAAGCTGTGACTCACACAGCTCAGTGCAATGAAAAGAATATGCACAACTTGAGATTTCTCCCTCAGGAGGGAAAGGAGCTCAGTATGTGTCTGATATACTGATTTTCCAGGGAGCTGCCCAAGAAATTAGTTTTTTTCTAGCCCAACCATTATGCCAGTAGGACCCCACACGCACTCTAGATGCCTCAGAACTACTGAGAACAAAGACAGCTGGGTGTTAAGCTGCTACATCAGAGGACTCATGGTATGGCAGACAGATACCACAGAAAGCAAGAGATTGCCAGTTCCTGAAAAACAGAAACCAGGAAATCCCTCTAATTAGGAATCTACATGCACAAATACAGAGAAGATACTTTCACAGAGTAGAATTGAAGGTCCCCAGAATCTCTATCTGGGCTGATTGTAAAAGCCAGTCTGGGAAGACAGGAAGAGGTGGCTATTTCTTCAAATGTATAGATACCAATGCAAAGCTACAAAGAACACGAAGAAACAGAGAAATATGACACAAAAGGGAACAAAATAAATCTTAAGAAACTGATCATAAAGAAATGGAGAGATATAGACCAGGCACAGTGGCTCATGCCTGTAATTCCAGCATTTTGAGAGCCTGAGGCAGGCGGATCACCTGAGGTCAGGAGTTCAAGACCAGCCTGGCCAAACATGGTGAAACCCATCTCTACTAAAATTACAAAAATTAGCCGGGCATCATGGCCCTGTAATCCCAGCTACTCAGGAGGCTGAAGCACCAGAATTGCTTCAACCCACGAAGTGGAGGTTGCAGTGAGCCAAGATTGCACCACTGCACTCCAGCCTGGGTGACAGAGCAAAACCCCATTTCAAAAAAAAAAAAATTACAGACTTAAATGTAAGACCTAAAACTATGATAATACTAGAAGAAAGCATTGAGGAAATCCTTTAGGACATTGCTATTAGCAAAGTTTTCTTGAGTAAAAAGTCAAAAGCACAGGCAAACAAAGCAAAAAAAATGACAAATGGAATTACATCAAGCTAAAAATCTTCTGCACAACAAAGGAAAACAATCAACAAAGTGGAGAAACAACCTACAGAATAGAAAAAAAATTGCAAACTATTCAACCGACAAGGGATTAATAAATCAAACCTATAAGGAACATAAACAACTCAGTAGCAAAAAAACAAATAAGCTTATTTTTAAATGGGCAAGATACCTGAATAGACATTTCTTAAAATAAGATATACAAATGACCAACAAGTATAAAAAATGCTCAATACAGTTAATCACCAGAAAAAATGTAAATTAAAACCACAATAAGATATTATTTCACCCCAGTTAAAATATTATCAAAAAGACAAAAAAAAAAATGCTGGGGAAGATGCATATAGAGGGGGATGTTTGCACACTGTTGGTGGGAATATAAATCAGTACAGCCACTATGCAAAACAATATAAAATTTTGTGAAAAGATTAAAAATGGAAATACCATATTATCCAGCAGTCTCACTTTTGGATATATATGCAAAGGTAGAAAATCAGCATATTGAAGAGATATCTGCACTTCTATGTTTTTTGCAGCAGTATTCCCAAAAGCCAAGATATGGTATCAACCTAAATGTTTATCAATGGCTGTATAAAGAAAATGGGGTATATTGGCAGGGCGTGGTGGCCCACACCTGTAATCCCAGAATTTTGGGAGGCCAAGGTGGATGGATTGCTTGAGTCCAGAAGTTCAGATCAGCCTGAGTAACATGGCAAAACCCTGACTCTGCAAAAAAAAAAATAAATAAAAATACAAAAAATTAGCCAGGCATGGTGGCACATATGTGTAGTCCCAGTTACTCTGGAGGCTGAGATGGGAGGATAGCTTGAGCCCAAGGAGGTGGAGTGTCACTTTTAAGACAGAGTGAGACCCTGTCAAAAAAAAAGAAAATGGGATATACATTATATATATATATTATATATATACATTATATATATTATATATATACATTATATATATATACACATTATATATATACATTATATATATGTATTTGGATATATATATAATCGGATATGTAGAGAGAAATAGATATAATGGAATATTATTCAGCCATAAAAATAATACATTCCTGTCATTTACAACAACATGGATGGAATTGGAGGACATTATTTTAAGTTAAATTATCCAGGCACCAAAAGACAAATATTGCATGTTCTCACTCATATGTGAGAGCTAAAAAATTTATCTCCTGGTGGTAATAAGTGAAATGGTGGCTACCAGAAGCTGGGAAGGGTACTGGGGAAAGGGTATTAAGAAGGATGAGCTAATGGGTACAAAAATACAGTTATATAGAAAAAATAAGATCTAGTTTTCAGTAAAACAATAGTTATAGTTGACTATAGGTGACTTTAGTTAACAATAAAGTTATTGTATATTTCAAAATAGCCAGAAGAGTATATTTAAAATGTTCTCGACACACACACACACACACACACACACACACACACTCAAATGATGAATGTGTGAGATAATGGATATCCCAATTACCCAGGTTTTATCATTATATACTGTATGAATATATCAAAATATCACAGTGCCTCATAAATATGTATAATTATCATGTATCCATAAACATTAAAAATTTAAAAAATTCACATCTAGACATTTTATAATAAAATTATCAAAAGAAAAGAATTTTGAAAGCAGCAAGAGAAGTGACTTGTCTTGTACTAAGAGAACCTCCATAAGACTTTGGTTTGTTTTCCCACAGAAAGTTTACAGGCCAACAGAAAGTATGATGATATATTTAGAGATGAAAACTGCCAACAAAAAGTATTATATCCAGCAAACTGGCCTTCAAAAATGAAGAGAAATAAAGAGTTTCCCAGACAAACAAAAACTGAGTGAATCTGTCAACACTAGATCTGCATTATAAGAAATGTTAAAGGGAACCCTTCATGTTTAAACAAAGAACCCTAATGAGCAACACGAGAGCATATTAAAGTATAAGGCTTACTGGTAAAGGAAACTATGAGAAGTCCAGAGCTAACATCATACTCGATGAAAAACTGAAAGCTCTTCCTTTAACATCAAGAATGAGTCACCACTTCTATTTAATATAGTACTTAAAGTGCTAACCAGAGCAGTTAGGGAAGAAAAACAGATTAAAAGCATCTAAATAGGAAAGGTAGAAGTAAACTAAGCTCTACTCACTGGTTATATGATCTTAGAGGTAAAAATCCTAAAGATTACACACACAAAAATTTTAGAGCTAATAAACAAATGCAATCTAGTTGAAGGATACAAAATGCACTTAAAAATCAGTTGTGTTTTTATACACTAACAACAAACTATCCAAAAATGAGATTAAGAAGCAATCTCATTTATAATACCATAAAAAGGAAGAAAATACTTAGGAATAAACTTAACCAAGGAGGCAAAAGACTTGTACACTGAAAACTACAAAACATTGATGAAATAAACAAAACAAAGATGAATGAAAAGATATATGCATGAATGGCAAAGCTTTATATTATTAAATGTTCATGCTACTCAAAGTAATCTGAAGATTCAGTGCAATCCCTATCAAAATCTCAGCGGCATTATTTTACAGAAATAGAAAAAAATCCTAAAATCCTATGGGAACCATACAAATTTTAGAATAGATAAAACTACCTTGAGAAAGAAGAACAATGCTAAAGGCCACAACCACCTGATTTCAAAACATATTGCAAAGCAACAGTAGTTTAAAACACTATGGTACTTGCATAAAGATGGACATTTAGACCAATGGAACAGAATGGAGAATGCAGAAATCAATCCATGCATATACAGTCAACTGATCTTTGTGGGGGTGACAAAGATACACAATAGAAAAAGATAGTTTCTTCAGCAAATGGTGCTAAGCAACTACATATCCACATATATGTGCCATAAGGAAAGGATTCAATTTCATTTTACTGTGCTATCAGGAAAGGGTTATGTGCTATAAGGAAAGGGTTTCACTTTATTAAAATGTGTATATATATATATACACACCCAATTTTCTTTATTAAATGAAATTGAACCCTTTCCTTATAGCACACACAAAAATCAACTGAAAATGGATTCAAGACTTAACATGAGACCTGAAACTATCAAAATCCTAGAAGAAAACATAGGTGAAAAGCTTCATGACATTAGTTTTGGCAATTATTTCATGGATATGATGCCAAAAGCACAAACGATGAAAGGAAAAATATACAAATAGGACATCAAACTAGAAAGCTTCTGCACAGCAAAGGAAATAATAGAATGAAAAGGCAGCCTTCAGAATGAGGGAAAATATTTGCCAACCACATATCTGATATGAGTTAATATCCAAAATATATTAGGAAAACCTACAACTCACTACCATGAATGCAAGTAGTCCAATCACAAAATAAGCAAAGGACTTGACTAGACATTTTTCCAAAGAAGCCATACAAATGGCCAATGGAAAATGTGCTCAAAATCACTAGTCAGGAACATGCAAGTCAAAACTACAATCAGATATTACTTCAAATCTGTTAGGACATTATCATAAATAAATTGAATAAATAAATAAGAGATAATAACTGTTGGCAAGAATGTGGAAAAATTGGAACCATTGTACACTGTTAGTGAAAATGTAAATAGTATAGCCCCTATGGAAAGCAGTAGGACTACCATATGATTCACCAATCCTACTTCTAGGATCTCAGTTTTTCAAAGAAACAATTGAAATCAGGATTGGGAAGAGATATTTGCACTCCCATGTTCATTGCAACATTATTCATAATTGCCAAGATGTAGAAGCAACTTAAATGTCCATTGACATATGGATAAGTAAAATGTGGTACGTACTCATGATGGAATATTAGTCAGCCATGGAAAGAAAAATGTCATATCCAACATGTTTGAAACTTGAGGACATTATGCTAAGTTAAATATGCCAGGACAGAAGGACAAACACCGCCAATTCCCCTTATATGAGATATCTAAAATAATCAAATTTATAGAAGCAGAAAGTAGAATCATAGTTTCCTGGGGCAGAGGGCAGAGGGAAATAGGAAGTTCCCATTTAATGGGCATAAAGTGTCAGTTACGCAAGATGCTGTGCAACATTATGCATACAGTTAAGAATATTTTACTGTACACTTAAAAATTTGTTAACAGGGCAGAACTCGTGTTATGCATTTTTACCACAGTTTTAAAAAGTAAATAGGTGTTTTGAGAGTTCCCAGCTAAACTGGGATTTCAGTATCTGAGTGACTGGCAAGCCTGCCCTAAGGGAAAAAGAAGAGGAACTAGACGTGGGTGATTTCAGTGCCTTTCACAGGATACGTGTTTTACCTGGTGGACAGCTAGTGCCTAGTTGTCCAAACCATAACTAGGAAGGTTTGGACAACTAGGTAGTCACACAGGAAAATAGCTTAGACTGGCATATGCCATTGTGGTTCTTATCTGATCTATGTGCAATTTATGCCTGCCTGACCATTGCTCTGCCACTGGGAGCCCAATCTTGTGTTCTCATTGCTATCCTAGAGAAAATCCAACCTTGATAGACTAGATTAAGAAAATGTGGCACATATACACCATGGAATACTATGCAGCCATAAAAAAGGATGAGTTCATGTCCTTTGCAGGGACATGGATGAAGCTGGAAACCATCTCATTCTCAGCAAACTCACAAGATCAGAAAACCAAACACCGTGTGTTCTCACTGATAAGTGGGAGTTGAACAATGAGAACACATGGACACAGGGAGGCGAACATCACACACCAGGGCCTGTCAGGGGGTGGTGGGTTAGGGGAGGGATAACATTAGGAGAAATACCTAATGTAGGTGATGAGTTGATGGGTGCAGCAAACCACCATGGCACTTGTATACCTATGTAACAAAAAGGCACGTTCTGCACATGTATCCCAGAACTTAAAATGTAATAAAAAAAAAAAAAAAGAAAAGAAAATCCAACCTTGAATAGCTAGCCCCTAGTTCTTCCAATGGAAAGCATAAATTCAATGCACTGAACAAAAGGAAACAAGTTCAAGGATGTCTACTTACAGATCCTGGGTAAGGATCACCAGATCACATGATGCAGAAATAAAGAATCATGCACAGAGAGAGAAATGTACATGGCAGTGAGCAGTATACATAAGGAAGTAGGTTGTGGGTCACTTAGAGCTTCCAGGCAAATGCCTGAATTGTACACTTACAAGAAGCACTGGGAAAGTCACAAACCCAATCTGCTAGGCAGGAGAGATGGCTCCAAGTTTTTCTCTCTGGCCATTTGGGAGTGGCATAGAAATGGAAACTGTGTCAAGGGTGACTGAGCCCTGCCTCTGGTATAAGAAAGTTAAACTTGAATTCAAAATGGATGCTGACATAACATAAAATTATAAGTATTCACTACAATGAGATACAAATGTATGTTGAATATATAATTAAAGTTTATTGACTGCCTCTTTTTTAAAATTATACTTTAAGTTCTGGGATACATGTGCAGAACATACAGGTTTGTTACATTGGTATACATGTGCCATGGTGGTTTTCTGCACCCATCAACCCATTATCTAGGTTTTAAACCATGTATGCATTAGGTATTTGTCCCAATGCTCTCCCACCCCTTGCCCCCCACCCCCAACAGGCCCCAGTGTGTGATGTCTCCCTCCCTGTGTCCATGTGTTCCCATTGTTCAGTTCCCACTTATGAGTGAAAACCTGTGTTGTTTGCTTTACTGATCCTGTGTTAGTTTGCTGAGAATGATGGTTTCCAGCTTCATCCATGTCCCTGTTAGGGACAGGAACTCATCTTTTTTTATGGCTGCATAGTATTCCATGCTGTATATGTGCCACATTTTCTTTATCCAGTCTATCATTGATGGGCATTTGGGTTGGTTCCAAGTCTATGCTATTGTGAATAGTGCTGCAGTAAACATACATGTGCATGTGTCCTTATAGTAGAATGATTTCTAATCCTTTGAATAATATACCCAGTAATTGGATTGCTGGGTCCAATGGTATTTCTTTTTCTAAATCCATGATGAATCAACACACTGTCTTCCACATGGTTGAACTAATTTACACTCCCACCAACAGTGTAAAATTGTTTCTATTTCTCCACATCCTCTTCAGCATCTGTTGTTTCCTAACTTTTTAAGGATCACATTAGGCTATCCACCAGGTTAAAAAAAAAAAAAAAAAAAGGTATCCTGTGAAAGGCACTGAAAACACCCACACCTAGCTCCTCTTCAAACTGGCATGAGATGGTATCTCGATGTGGTTTCGATTTGCATTTGTCTGATGACCAGTGATGATGAGCTTTTTTTCATATGTTTGTTGGCCACATAAATGTCTTATTTTGAGAAGTGTCTGTTCACATCATTTGCCCACTTTTTGATGGGATTTTTTTCTTGTAAATTTGATTAGTTCCTTGTAGATTCCAGATATTAGAACTTTGTCAGATGTATAGATGGCAAAAATTTATCCCATTCTGTAGGTTGCCTGTTCACTCTGATGATAGTTTCTTTTGCTGTGCAGAAGCTCTTTAGTTTAATTAGATCCCAGTTGTCAATTTTGGCTTTTGTTGCAATTGCTTTTGGTGTTTTAGTCCTGAAGTCTTTGCCTGTGCCTATGTCCCAAATGGTATTGCCTAAGTTGTCTTCTAGGGGTTTTATGGTTTTAGGTATTATATTTAAGTCTTTTATCCATCTTGAGTTAATTTTTGTATAAGGTGTAAGGAAGGGGTCCAGTTTCAGTTTTCTGCATATGGCTAGCCAGTTTTCCCAGCACCATTTATTAAATAGGATATCCTTTCCCCATTGCTCATTTGTGTCAGGTTTGTCAAAGACGAGATGGTAGTAGATGTGTGGTGTTATTTCTGTTCGCTCCATTGGTCTATGTATCTGATTTGGTGCCAGTACCATGCAGTTTTGATTACTTTAGCCTTGTAGTATATTTGAAGTCAGGCAGTATGATGCCTCCAGCTTTGTTCTTTTTGCTTAGCATTGTCTTGGCTATACAAGCTTTTTTAAAATCCATGTGAAATTTAAAGTAGTTTTTTCTAGTTCTGCAAAAAAAGTCAATGTTAGCTTGAGGAATAGCATTGAATCTATAAATTGCTTTGGGCAATATGGCCATTTTCATGATATTGATTCTTTCTATCCATGAGCATGGAATGTTTTTCCATTTGTTTGTGTCCTCTCTTATTTCCTTGTGCAGTGGTTTGTAGTTCTCCTTGAAGAGCTCCTTCACGTCCCTTGTAAGTTGTATTCTTAGGTATTTTATTTTCTTTGTAGCAATTGTGAATGGGAGTTCATTCATGATTTGGCTCTCTGTTTGTCTATTGTTGATGAATAGGAATGCTTGTGATTTTTGCACATTGATTTTGTATTCTGAGACTTTGCTGAAGTTGCTTATCAGCTTAAGGAGTTTTGGGGCTGAGATGATGGGGTTTTCTAAATATACAATCATGTCATCTGCAGAGACAATTTGACTTCTTCTCTTCCTATTTGAATACCCTTCATTTCCTTCTCTTGCCTGGTTACCGTGGCCAGAACTTCCAATACTATGTTGAATAGGAGTGGTGAGAGAGGGCATTCTTGTCTTGTGCCAGTTTTCAAAGGGAACGCTTCCAGCTTTTGCCCATTCTGTATGATATTGGCTATGGGTTTGTCATAAATAGCTCTTATTATTTTGAGATATGTTCCATCTATACCTAGTTTATTGAGTAGTTTACCATGAAGGGTGTTGAATTTGATTGAAGGTCTTTTCTGCATCTATTGAGATAATCGTGTGGCTATTGTCATTGATTCTGTTTACGTGATGGATTATATTTATTGATTTTTCTATGTTGGACCAGCCTTGCATCCCAGGGATAAAGCCTACTTAATCGTGGTGGATAAGCTTTTGATGTGCTGCTGGATTCAGTTTGCCAGTATTGTGCTGAGGATTTTTGCATTGATGTTCATCAGGGATATTGGCCTGAAATTTTCTTTTCTGGTTGTGTCTCTGCCAGGTTTTGGTATCAGGATAATGCTGGCCTCATAAAATATGTTAGGGAGGAGTCCCTCTTTTTCTATTATTTGAAGAATTTTCAGAAGGAATTGTTCCAACTCCTCTTTGCACCTCTGGGAGAATTCAGGTGTGAATCCATCTGGTCCTGGGCTTTTTGAGTTGGTAGGCTATTATTTACTGCCTCAATTTCAGAACTTGTTATTGGTCTATTCAGGGATTCAACTTCTTCCTGGTTTAGTCTTGGGAGGGTGTATATGTCCAGGAATTTATCCATTTCTTCTGGATTTTTAGTTTATTTGTGTGAGGTGTTTATAGTATTCTCTGACGGTAGTTTGTATTTCTGTGGGGTTAGCGGTGATATCCCCTATATCATTTTTTATTGTGTCTATTTTATTCTTCTCTCTTTTCTTCTTTATTAGTCTTGCTAGCAGTCTATTTATTTTGTTGATCTTTTCAGTAAACTGGTTCCTGGATTCATTGATTTTTATGAGTGGTTTTGTGTCTCTGTCTCCTTCTGTTCTGCTCTCATCTTAGTTATTTCTTGTCTTTGCCTAGCTTTTCTTCAATTTGTTCACTCTTACTTCTCTAGTTATTTTAATTGTGATGTTAGGGTATCGATTTTAGATCTTTCTCGCTTTCTGATGTGGGCACTTAGTGCTGTAAAATCCCTCTTAATACTGCTTTTGCTGTGTCCCAGAGATTCTCATACATTTTGTCTTTGTTCTCATTCGTTTCAAATAACTTCTTTATTTCTGTCTTTACTTCATTATTTACCCAGTAGTCATTCAGGAGCAGGTTGTTCAGTTTCCACGTAGTTGAGTGGTTTTGAATGAGTTTCTTAATCCTGAGTTCTAATTTGATTGCACTGTGGTCTGAGAGACTTGTTTGTTATGATTTCTGTTCTTTTGCACTTGCTGAGGAGTGTTTTACTTCCAATTATGTGATCAATTTTAGAATAAGTGCGATGTGGTGCTGAGAAGAATGTATATTCTGTTGATTTGGGGTAGAGAGTTCTGTAGATGTCTATTAGAGATCCACTTGGTCCAGAGTTGAGTTCAAGTCCTGAATATCCTTGTTGATTTTCTGTCTAGTTGATCTAATATTGACAGTGGGATGTTAAAGTCTCCTACTATTATTGCGTAGGAATCTAAGCCTCTTTGTAGGTCTCTAATAACTTGCTTTATGAATCTGGGTGCTCCTGTGTTGTGTGTGTATATATTTAGGATAGTTAGCTCTTCTTGTTGCATTGATTCCTTTATCATTATGTAATGCCCTTCTTTGTCTTCTTTGATTTCTGTTGGCTTAAACTCTGTTTTATCAGAGAATAGGATTGCAATCCCTGCTTTTTTTTCTTTCTCTTTGCTTGGTAAATATTTCTTTATCCCTTTATTTTGAACCTATGTGTGTCTTTGCACATGAGATAGGTCTCCTGAATACAGCACACCAGTGGGTCTTGACTCTATGCAATTTGCCAGTCTGTGTCTTTTAATTGGGGCATTTAGCCCATTTACATTTAAGGTTAACATTGTTATGTTTAATTTGATCCTGTCATCATGATGTTAGCTGCTTAGTTTGCACATTAGTTGATGCAGTTTCTACATAGCATCATTGGTCTTTATATTTTGGTATGTTTTTGCAGTGGTTGGTACCAGTATTTCCTTCCCATATTTAGTGCTTCCTTCAGGAGCTCTTGTAAGGCAGGCCTGCTGGTGACAAAATCCCTCAGCATTTACTTGTCTGGAAAGAATTTTATTTCTCCTTTGCTTATGAAGCTTAGTTTGGCTGTATATGAAATTCTGGGTTGAAAATTCTTTTATTTTAAGAATGTTGAATATTGGCATTCACTCTCTTCTGGATTGTAGGGTTTTTGCAGAGAGATCCACTGTTAGTCTGATGGACTTTCCTTTGTAGGTAACCTGACCTTCCTCTGTGGCTGCCCTTAACATTTTTTTCCTTCATTTCAATCTTGAAGACTCTGACAATCATGTGTCTTGGTGTTGCTCTTCTCAAGGAGTATCTAAGTGGTGTTCTCTGTATATCCTGAAATTGTATGTTGGCCTGTCTTGCTAGGTTGGGGAAGTTCTCCTGTATAATGTCCTGACATGTGATTTCCAACTTGCTTTTATTCTCCCTGTCACTTTCAGGTACACCAATCCATCATAGATTTGGTCTTTTCACAGAGTCCCATATTTCTTGGAGGCTTGGTTTGTTCCTTTTATTCTTTTTTCTCTAGTCTTTCCTTCACACTTTATTTCATTTAATTGACCTTCAATCTCTCATATCCTTTTTTCCACTTGATTGATTCAGCTATTGATACTTGTGTATGCTTCACAAAGTTCTCGTGCTGTGTTTTTCAGCTCCATCAGGTCATTTATGTTCTTCTCTAAACTGGTTAACTAGTTAGCAGTTCCTGCAACCTTCTATTAAGGTTCTTAACTTCCTTGCATTGGGTTAGAACATGCTTCTTTAGCTCAGGGGAGTTTGTTATTACCCACCTTCTAAAGCCTACTTCTGTCAATTTGTCAAACTCATTCTCCATCCAGTTTAATGCCCTCCCTGGAGAGAAATGTCATCATTTGGAGGAGAAGACGCATTCGGTTTTTTGGAATTTTCAGCATTTTTGCACTGGTTTTTCCTCATCTTTATGGATTTATCTACCTTTGATCTTTGATGCTGATGGCCTTTGGATGGGGTTTTTGTGGGGGCATCCTTTTTGTTGATGTTGATGTTACTTCTCTCTGTTTGTAAGTTTTCTTTCTAACAGTCAGGTCCCTCTTCTGCAGGTCTGCTGGAGTTTGCTGGAGGTCCACTCCAGATCCTGTTTGCTTGGGTATCACCAGCGGAGGTTGCAGAACAGCAAAGATTCCTGCCTGCTCCTTCCTCTGGAAGCTTCATTTTAGAGGAGCACCTGCCTGATGCCAGCCAGAGCTCTCCTGTATGAAGTGTCTGTTGACCCCTGCTGGGAAGTGTCTCCCAGTCAGGAGGCACAGGTGTTAGTGACCCACTTAAGGAGGCAGTCTATCCCTTAGCAGAGCTCAAGCACTGTGCTGAGAGATCCACTGCTCTCTTCAGAGCTGGCAAGCAAGAATGTTTAAGTCCACTGAAGCTGCACCCACAGCCACCCCTTCCCCAAAGTGCTCTGTCCCAGGTGATGGGAGTTTTATCTATAAGCCCTTGACTGGGGCTGCTGCCTTTCTCTCAGAGATGCCCTGCCCAGTGAGGAGGAATCTAGAGAGGCAGTCTGGCCACAGTTGCTTTGCAGCACTGCAGTAAGTTCCACACAGTTTGAACTTCCCAATGGCTTCCTTAACACTGTGAGGGGAAAACTGCCTACACAAGCCTCAGTAATGGTGGACATTCCTCTCCCACCAAGGTTGATCATCCCAGTTCGACCTCAGACTGATGTGCTGGCAGTGAGAATTTCAAGCCAGTGGTTCTTAGCTTGCTGGGCTCCATGGGAGTGGGACCTGCTGAGCGAGACCACTTGGCTTTCTGGCATCAGCCCCTTCTCCAGGAGAGTGAATGGTTCTGTCTCACTGAGGTTCCAGGTCCCACTGGGGGAAAAAAAAAAAACTCCTGCAGCTAGCTCAGTGTCTCCCCAAACAGCCACCTAGTTTTGCACTTGAAACCCAGGGCCCTGGTAGCATTGGCACACAAGGGAATCTCCTGGTCTGCGTGTTGCAAAAACTATGGGAAAAGCATAATTTCTGGGCTGGATAGCACAGTCCCTATGGCTTCCTTGGGTAGGTGAGGAAGTTCCCTGGCCCTTTGGACTTCCTGGGTGAGGTGATGCCCCACCCTGCTTCAGCTTACCCTCCGTGGGCTGCACCCACCCGCTGTCTAACCAGTCCCAGTGAGATGAACCGGGTACCTCAGTTGGAAATGCAGAAATCACTCACCTTCCGCATTGCTCTCGCTGGGAGCTGCAGACCAGAGCTCTTCCTATTCGGCCATCTTGCCAGCTGTCTCTATCGACTACCTCTTATTCCAAAAAATAAAACCATAATGAAGTTAGACACCATTAAATATACATAATATAAAAATAGGTTTTCTTATTCTAATCTAGATTTGCTACACAAGACCATCTACAGAATGAATGCCATGAATATACAATCTGTACCCAATAAGTTGTACATTTTAGTAAACATTCCTGATTGTAAGGGTGGCAAATGGAAATTTTGGCTTCTTAGATCTTTACTGTGAGTTTGACTGACATCAGTACATTTTTATTTTTAATTGTATATTTTCATTACTGTGAATTTTTTTGCAGTGATTTTTGATGCCATGTGGCTACATTGGTTTTAGAATACTAATAAAATCCATTGCTTTTAAAATAAATAAATAAACCCCATAGCACATCCTCCATACAACATCTGTTGTCCCTCAAGATACAATTGTTACCACTATCATCTAACCATTATTTTATGATAACTTTAAAATATCAACTTGCAAGAAAATATTCCACAAAACACACTCTGCCTTTTTACTTTAAAGAGTCCTTGGCTACCTGGGCCAATATTATTCTCATTTGTAGGATTTAGGTTCCACAGATTATAATATGTGCCTTTTTCTGTGTTCCCTGCAGATTTGCAAGTACCATCCCTTTTTGGGGCCTTACTTTGCACCTCCAGCATCTGGGAAACAATGTTTTCCTGTTGCAGACTCTCTTTGGTGCAGTCACCCTCCTGGCCAATTGTGTTGCACCTTGGGCACTGAATCACATGAGCCGTCGACTAAGCCAGATGCTTCTCATGTTCCTACTGGCAACCTGCCTTCTGGCCATCATATTTGTGCCTCAAGGTGAGAAAAGTTCACAGGTGGAAGAAAGAAAATGTCTTTCCCTCTTTTCTCAGGGATTGCCCTGGTCACACCTATCTGAAGCCAGAAGGAAAGGGAGAATTGAGTTCTCAGGATTCCCTGATAGAAATCTGGGGCTTTAGGACAGATTTTGCCACACGGAAGTTGCTGGGAAATGAGTCAAAGATGAGTAAGATTGGCTCGGATATATGGTTGTCTTCAGCACATTTGAGAAGTAGTAAGAAGTTGGTGCCATTTATTCCTGATAGTTTCTCTAGGACAGCAATTGATCACTTGCCCTTTGGCCAATCAAACTCTTAGTAAGTGTTGAGGTGCTGGGCCTTTGTATCCCAATATGAGAACACAATACTGCTATTTCCTCTGTCTGGGCTCTTTCTTACCACTACAGCTTCTGTGACAAAGTACTCCCTAATCACTACATATCCACTGTGTGCCTTGTATTAGGTCACCATAACTGCAATCCTGGTTTAGGGGAGTCATCTTGACTTCAAAGAAACAAAAGTCCCGTATCTTTATGTACAGAAATGTCCAGTAGGAAGGAGACAATTGTCAATTAAGACCTTCTCTTAGAATCTTAGAATTCATAAATTAAATGATCACAAGCAATAAATAAGGGAACCCAAGTTGTCATCAGGCTTCACCTCACTCCCGGTCTAGTAATGTACTTAAGAGAATACCAGGTTGGTGTGCTCCAGTTCTCCTCTTGAATGTCAGCAGTGATACCAGTCTGGTGCAATGCAACAGAACCCACTCCAATGACATGAGGCAATTATGATCTTTTTGTTTTAATTGGATAGAATCCTGCCTCTGAAACTTCACTTCATTTGTTTCCAAAGTCTGATATTTTTCTCCAATAAATGTCCTTATTCTTCATCCTTGAAACATTAATACTGTCCAATCTGTCCTTTAACATAGGAACCCTGTCCTTTTATGACTGCCTTTTGCAAACATAGCCCCATGTCAATATTGTGTATATATCTGGGTTTTAAAATCTATGAGGACATGGATGAGTCTTACACTCCCTAGTATTGCCCACATGACACTCCTGTTTTCTGCAAGGAGGGCAGAGGTGTTCCCAGATAGAATAAGTGAGACAAAAAAAAAACTCTTTAGCTCTAATGTTCCCTTTTCTGCTATGGCATACCCCTGATATATAGTGAGAATTGAAGCATCAACTCAGATCCTTTTATTCACTATTTAAGTCACAATATGTAGGCCAATCACATTTCTCAGCTATTAGCCACTGCACATTCTTTGCCTCTATGCAGTTTTCCTACAGTACATTTTACCCCTGGAAACACCTCCAAAGCAGTCCTTTTCACTTCTACCTTGGGAGATGCTGATTCCTTCAGCTCAGATTTCCTGAGGCCCTGTGGTCTTCCTTTCTCCAGAAATGCAGACCCTGCGTGTGGTTTTGGCAACCCTGGGTGTGGGAGCTGCTTCTCTTGGCATTACCTGTTCTACTGCCCAAGAAAATGAACTAATTCCTTCCATAATCAGGTACAAAAGTTTATGTGTGCTCTGTCATTCTCAAAATGGACCTGTCTCAACCAATTGACACTTAACAAGGGAAAAAAATCCAAGACAAGTTAGTTAAAAAACAATCAAATGTAATAGTCATAAAAACAACAAATTACAGCCCAAGTTTATATCAAGCTGACTTTGTTCCAGACGCTGCATTAAGTCTTTTAATGCAGTATCCCATGTACCTTCTGAACCACCTGAAAGGTTGATGTTAAGGAAAATAGCATTTTGTAAATGATAAAAATGTGTCTAATTCACTTGTGAATCTAAAATAAATTGCTAGCAAATAAGAGAAAATTTCAAAAGCAAGAGTATGTTATCACCTCCATGTGTTTAAGTGCTCATCCATAATCACAGCAAAATGATAAATCACAAATTATATGTATGATTTTTAACAACTTTTCCTCTGTTGCTGTTTTTACTCCAAGGGGAAGAGCTACTGGAATCACTGGAAACTTTGCTAATATTGGGGGAGCCCTGGCTTCCCTCATGATGATCCTAAGCATATATTCTCGACCCCTGCCCTGGATCATCTATGGAGTCTTTGCCATCCTCTCTGGCCTTGTTGTCCTCCTCCTTCCTGAAACCAGGAACCAGCCTCTTCTTGACAGCATCCAGGATGTGGAAAATGAGGGAGTAAATAGCCTAGCTGCCCCTCAGAGGAGCTCTGTGCTATAGGTCTGTGCTGAGGAAAGCAAAACACCATTTAGGGCTACCATCCCCCAAAAAGGCTTAGATCTGGGCTATTCCCATGTAGTCAGTGCCTTTGCCTTTGGTGTATCCTCATCCCTTCCACAGTGACCTCATACATCCCCTGAGCCTCACTAGATCACACAGACCATCTCTGCCCAGCCTGTCCAGGAGGTTAATTTGTGGTGAAAAGACCAAAATTAGGTGACCTCTGCCCTTCCTGCCCTGGTATGACATGCATACTCTTGAAGGTATTCTACAAACATGCAGGGATCCAAACACCATCTTCTCATCCCTGGGGAGCCCTCAGCCCAGTGAGTGTACCTGTTAGCTGTCTGGGATTGCCAGTGCTTACAGGCCTGACTCCCAGGACACTGAAGAATTTGTGAGAGACTGTATAGAAAATAAGAGCCCCTCCCACAGATGAGAAGTCCTTTTGTATCACATGTGAGATTCAGTCTATCTAATTTTCACGGGGGAAAAAAAGCGTTGGAAAAGGGGAAAAGAAGTGATAAGTAAAGGAATTTTTTAAGTAATGAAGAATGAGAAAAGGTTCTAAAACTTTTCTGTGCTTCTCTTGCCTTTTCCAAAATCCCTTTGGTCAATGCCATGGTGTCCAAGTGTGAGAGTTGAAGCTATTCAAGCTGCCTTCCCAGATCCTAGGCTGGGAGCTTGGTTTTTTACTTCACAAGGTTTACACAAACACTTGCGGGCAGAGGCATGTTTTTTATTAAAGCTAGTGGGCAAAGAATCAGTATGTCCTAAAGAATGCAGGACTTATATGTTTAGTCCATGTCTTTCATTTTTGAGCTTTTTTGTTTGTTGGTTTCATTATATTTGCACCAGGAGAAGATGCTCCAGAAAAGCAGGGCAGGAAGATACCTGCAGCAAAGTGACACAATTTTAAGGAATTCCAGGTGCTGATTGCTGATTAAACAGCAAGATAAAGGAAAAATCGAGACCATTTCTAGATACTACTAAAATTTAGAAAATAAATAAATAACAAGATATAATGGATAAATACATTCCATTTACAACTGTGATTCTAAATGGTTAAATATAAAATATCTACAAATAATCATAAGAAGTTTGAAGAAAATCATAACACTTTAAAAGGAATCATAATAGAACATTTGTATAATTATATACATCTCACATGTTTCTGGATATGAAGATGGAATAATATTTAAAACAATGATTCTTCCTTAATTATTTAATAGAGTAATTGCTTAAATAATTACAATGTAAAAAATGAAAAAAGTGGAAAAACCTCATTTTCAAGCTGCATACTTTTATAAGAACATAAAAAATAGTTCCAAAACTGGATATCCATATGCAGAAGAATAAAACTAGAACTCTCTCACCATATACAAAAATCAAATCAAAATGCATTAAAAACTTGAATCTAAGACCTCAAACTATGAAACTGCTACAAGAAAACATTGGAGAAATTTTCCAGTACATTAGACTGGCCAAAGATTTCTTGAGTAATACCCCACAAGTACAGGAAAACAAAGCAAATGTGGACAAATGGGATCACAGCAAGTTAAAAAACTTCTGCACAGCAAAGGATACATTCAACAAAGTAAAGAGGCAACCCACAGAATGGGAGAAAATACTTGCAAACTACCCCTCTGACAAAGGACTAATCACCAGAATATATAAGGAGCTCAAACAACTCTATAGGAAAAATCAAATAATCTCATCAAACAATGGGCAACGTGAATAGGTATTTCTCAAAAGAAGACATACAGATGTCAAACAGTCATAGGAAAAAGTGCTGAACATCATTGATCCTCAGAGAAATGCAAATCAAAACTACAATGAGATCTCATCTTACCTCAGTTAAAATGGCTGATATCCAAAAGACAGGCAAGAACAAATGCTGGTGAGAATGTGGAGAAAAGGGAACCCTCATACACTGTTGGTGGGAATGTAAATTAGTACAATCACTATGGAGAAGAGTTTGGAGATTCCTCAAAAAAATTAAAAATAGAGCTAACATTTGACCCAGCAATTCCACTGCATCATTGTATTAGTCCATTTTCAAGCTGCTGTTAAAAACATACCTGAGACTGGATAATTTACAAAGGAAAGAGGTTTAATGGACTCACAGTTCCACATAGCTGGTGAAGCCTCACAATCCTGGTGGAGGGCGAAAGGCACGTCTTACATGGCAGCAGGCAAAAAGATAATTTTTGCAGGGAAACTCCCTTTTATAAAACCATCAGATCATGTGAGATTTATTCACTATCATAGGAAGAGCATGGGAAACACTCACCCCCATGATTCAGTTACCTCCCACTGGATCCCTCCCATGATGTGTGGGAATTGTGGGAGCTACAATTCAAGATGAGATTGGGTAGGCGGACACAGTCAAACCATATCATTCTGCCCCTGGCCCCTCCCAAATCTCATGTCCTCACATTTCAAAACTAATCATGCCTTCCCAACAGTCCCCCAAAGTTTTAACTCATTTCAGCATTAACTCAAAAGTCTACAGTCCAAAGTCTCATCTGAGACAAGGCAAGTCCTTTCCACCTATGACCTTGCAAAATCAAAAGAAATTGGTTACTTCCTAGATACAATGGGGGTACAGGCATTGGATAAATACATCCATTCCAAATGGGAGAAATTGACCAAAACAAAAGGATGAGGCTGTACCTAGATAAAAGGCACTGACTACATGGGAATCGTCTTCCACCATGATTGTGAGGCCTCACCAGCCACATGGAGCTGTGAGTCCATTAAACCTTTTTTCTTTATAAATTATCCAGTCTCAGGTATGTCTTTATCAGCAGCTTGAAAATGGACTAATACAATGGTGCAGTGGAACTGTTGGGTCAAATGTTAGCTTTACTTTTAATTTTTTTGAGGAACCTCCAAACTGTTCTCCATAGCAGTTTTACTAAAGGCCCCATACAATTCCAAAATCCAGCAGGGAAGTCCAATCTTAAAGCTCCAAAGTTATCTCCTTTGACTGCATGTCTCACATTTGGGTCACAATGATGCAAAAGGTGGGTTTCCATGCTCTTGGGCAGCTCTGCTTCTGTGGCTTTGCAGGGTACAGCCTCCCTCCTGGCTGCTTTTGTGACCTGGCATTGAGTGTCTGCAGCTTTTCCAGGTGTGCAGTGCAAGCTGTCAATGCCTTTACAATTCTGGGGTCTGGAGGTCGAAGACCCTCTTCTCACAGCTCCACTAAGCAGTCTCCGATGGAGACTCTGTGTATGGACTTCAACCCCACATCTTCCTTTCACACCGCCCAAGCAGAGGTTCTCCATGAGGACCCCACCCCTGCAGCAAACTTCTACCTGGGCATCCAGGCATTTCCATACATCCTCTGAAATCTAGGTGGAGGTTCCCAAACCTCAATTCTTGACTTCTTTGCACCTGTAGGCTCAACACCACATGGAAGCTGTCAAGGCTTGGGGCTTGCACCCTCTGAAGCCACAGCCTGATCTGTACCTTGGCCCCTTTTAGCCATGGCTAGAGTGGCTGAGACACAGGGCACCAAGTCACTAAGGCTGCACACAGCAGGGGCACCTGGACCTCCTAGGCCTCCAGGCCTGTGATAGGAAGGGCTGTCACAAAGGTCTCTGACATGCCCTGGAGACATTTTCCCCATTGTCTTAGGGATTAACCTTTGGTTCCTCATTACTTATGCAAATTTCTGCAGCAGGCTTGAATTTCTCCTCAGAAAATGGGTTTTTATTTTCTATCACATCACCAGGCTGCAAATTTTTCAAACTTTTTTGCTGAGTTTCCCTTTTAAAACTGACTGCTTTTAACAGCACCCGTCACATCTTGAATGCTTTGCTGCTTAAAAATTTCTTCTGACAGATACCCTAAATCATCTTACTCAAGTTCAAAGTTCCACAAATCTCTAGGACAGGAGTAAACGCTGCCAGTCTCTTTACTAAAATATAGCAAGAGTCACCTTTACTCCAGTTACCAACAAGTTCTTCATCTTCATCTGAGACCACCTCAGCCTGGATTTCATTTTCCATATCATTATCAGCATTTCAGTCAAAGCCATTCAACAAGTCTCTAGGAAGTTCCAAACTTTCCAACATTTTCCTGTCTTCTTCTGAGCCCTCCAAATATTGCCCCAGTTCCAAAGTTGCTTCCACATTTGTGGGTATCTTTACAGAAGCACTTCACTCTATCAGTACCAATTTACTATATTAGTCCATTTCTCATGCTGCTGATAAAGACATACCTGAGACTGGGTAAGTTATAAAGAAAAGAGGTTTAATGTACTCACAGTTCCACCTGGCTGGGGAAGCCTCACAATCACGGCAGAAGGTGAAAGGCACAACTTACATGGCAGCAGGGAAAAGAGAATTTCTGCAGGGAAACTCCCCCTTATAAAACCCTCAGATCTCATGAAACTTATTCAGTATCACAAGAATAGCACGGGAAAGACCTGGCCCCATGATTCAATTACCTCCCACAGGCTCCCTCCCATGACAGGTGGGAACTATGGGAGCTATAATTCAAGATGAGATTTGGGTGGGGGTGCAGCCAAATCATATCAAAGGCATATACCCAAAAGAAAGGAAATAAGTATATCAAAGACGTATCTGCACTCCCACATTTGTTGCAGAACTGTTCACAATGGCCAAGGTTTGGAAGCAACCTAAGTGTCCATCAGCAGATGAATTGATAAAGAAAATGTGGTACATATACACAATGAAGTACTATTCAGCCATAAAATAAAGAATGAGATCCTGTCATTTGCAGCAACATGGATGGAACTGGAGATCATTATGTTAAGTGAAATAAGCCAGGCACAGAAAGACAAACATCACATGTTCTTGCTTATTTGTGTGAGATAAAAATAAAAACAATTGAACTCATAGACATAGAGAGAGAAGGATGATTACCAGAGGCTGAGAAGGGTATTGGGTGCTTCAGGGGAAGTGGGAATAGTTAATGGGGGGAAAAAAGGAAGTTGGAAAGAATGAATAAGATCTACTATTTGATAGCACAACAGGATGACTATAGTCAATAATAACTTAATTCATTTTTAAATAACTAAAAAAGTATAATTGGATTGTTTGTAATCACAAAGAATAAACGCTTGAGGGACAGATACCCCATGCTGCATAATGTGATTATTAATATCCAGTATTTGATAACACAACAGGGTGCTGTAGTCAAAATAATTTAATTGTACATTTTAAAATAACTAAAGGAGTATAACTGGATTGTTTGTAACACAAAGGATAAATGACTGAGAAGATGGATACCCCATTCTCCATGACAAGATAATTACACATTGCATACCTATATCAGAACATCTCATACACCCCATAAATATATCCATCTACTATGTAGCCACAAAAATTAAAAATAAAACATTTTAAAATATATATTTGTTTAAAAATTTCTATTTGATGTAATGTGGTTCACTTTAGGAAACTGCACCATATATGCTTTAAAAGATATATATTCTCCATATGTCAAAATAAGTATTCTAGGGGACAGGTAGATCAAGATGCAGCATAGAAAGTTCCACCCGTTATCCCTCCTGCAGGGACACCAAGTGAAAAGCTATCTACATAGAAAAAAAAAACTTTCATAAGACCAAAAATCAGGACAGCATGTAACCGCCCAATGGGATCACCTTGCATGTTGCCTAGACAGAGCCAATTTATCAAGACAGGGGAATTGAAATAGAGAGAGTAACTCATACACAGCCAGCTATGTGGGAGACTAGAGTTTTATTATTACTCAAATCAGTCCCTCTGAGCATTCTGGGAGCACAGTTTTTAAGGACAACTTAGTGGGTGGGAAGAAGCCAGTGAGCCAGGAGTGCTGATGGGTCGGGTCGGAGATGAAATCATAGGGCATCAAGGCTATCTTCTTTTGCTGAATCAGTTCCCTGAATGGGGGCCACAAGACCAGATGAGCCAGTTTATTAATCAGGGTGGTGACAGCTGATCCATCAAGTGCAGTGTCTGCAAAATATCTCAAGCACTGTTCTTAGGAGCAGTTTAGGGAGGGTCAGAATCTTGTAGCCTCCAGCTGCATGACTCCTAAACAATAATTTCTAATCTTGTGGCCAATTTCTTAGTCCTACAAAGGACTTATTTCTTAGTCCTTCTAGTTCCCAGGCAAGAAGTAGGTTTGTTTCTGTAAATGGTTGTTATCATCTTTGTTTTAAACTGTAAACTATAAATTACGTTCCTCCCAAAGTTAGTTCAGCCTACATCCAGAAATTAACAAGGACAATTTGGAGACTAGAAGCAACGTGGAGTTGGTTAGATCAAATCTCTTTCACTGTCTGTTACAATTTTGTAATGGCGGTTTCAAGCATTCACAGTACCAGATTTTAACTTTACATAGCTGAAAGACGCACTGAAGAAAGAT
Organism: Homo sapiens; assembly: GCF_000001405.40. Lineage (NCBI taxonomy): Eukaryota > Metazoa > Chordata > Mammalia > Primates > Hominidae > Homo > Homo sapiens. Next base: position 63,157,436 of record NC_000011.10, on the reverse strand, counting down.
AAAAGAGAGGGATGCCACCCATCCTCCACCCCAGGCAATGCCAGCCTTGTGCAGGGAGCATCTCTGGGCACTGGGGAGGGAGAACACTGTAATTGTGAGGAATTGAACTCAATGCTGTCCTGTTAGAGCAGAAAGAAAAATTGAACCAAACTCAGCTGAGGCCTGCCCACAGAGGAAGCATTTGAACCAGCCTTAGCTAAAGGGGAATCTCCTATACCAGCAGTCCAAAATTGGGTGCCCAAAAACCTTGCCACCCAGGGCCAGAGTGCTTTTGATCTCTAAGTAAACTTGAAAGGCAGTCTAGACCATAAGGAATGCAACTCATAGGTGGGTCCCAGAGCTGAACTAGGCCTGGAGACAGTGGACTGGAGGGACAGGTGACATACTGAGGCACGACCTGGGGCAGCCAAGGGAATGCTGGCATCAACCTTCCCTAACCCAAGGCTGCACAGCTCACCATTTCAAAAAAGGTCCCTTCCTTCTGCTTGAGGAGAAGGAAGAAGCAGGAGGACTTTGTCCTGCATCTTGGATACCAGCTCAGCTACAACAGGATAGGGCACCAGTCAGAGTCAAGAGGCCCCTGACCAGGCCCTAGATCCCAGATGACATTTCTAGATACACCGTGGGCCAGAAGGGAACCCACTGCCTTGAAAGATAGGACCCAGTCCCACCAGCATTTATCACCTGCTAAATGAAGAGCCCTTGGGCCCTGAATAACTAGCAGTGATACCCAGGTACTACATCAAGGGCTTTGATGAGCCTCTGGGACTTGCTGGCTTCTGGTGAGACCCAGCACATTACCAACTGTGATGGCTATGGGGAAAAATTCCTTTTATTTGAGAAAAGCAGAGGGAAAAGTAAAGGAACTTTGTCTTGCACCTTTGGTACTGGCACCACCACAGGTTGGCAGAGCACTAAGCCAGCTCTTGGGGTCCTCCAATTCTAGGACTAGATTCTTAAATGTTATTTCTCGACCTGTCCTGGGCCAGAGAGGAGCCCACTGCCCCAGTGGGGGAGTTGCAGGCCAGGCAGCATTCATGACAAGCTGACTTAAGAGATCTTGGGCCTTAAGGGAACACTGGCAGTAGGCTGGCCTCATAGTCAGGGGTGGCAGTGGCTACAAGGCTAGGCTTCTCTGCCTTTGAAAAGGGGAGGACAGAACAGGAAGAATTGCATCCTTTGGTTTGAGTGCCAGATCAGCCACAATACAATAGAATACCAAGTAGACTTTTAAGTTATTTGATTGCAGCCTGATTCCTGGAGAGCACTTCTGGACCCACTCACAGCCTGGGGGACTTCACCACCCTCAGGAGAAGGATACAGGACTAGTTGGCTTTGCCACTTGCTGATTATACAGCCCCAGGGCCTTAAATGAACATAGGTAGTAGTCAGGGAGTGGTTACAGCAGGCCCTGCATGACAGCCAGTGCTATGCTGGCTTCGGGTCTGATCTAGTGCAGTCCTACTGGCAGTGGCCACAGGGGTGCTTGTGTTACTCTACCTCAAGATTTAGGTGGCTGAGAACAGAGAGAGAGACTGTATAATTTGCACAAAGTAAGAAAAGGGAACAAGAGTCTCTGCCTTAAAATCTAGAGAATTTTTTCAGATCTTGTCCAGGACCATCAAGGCAGTACCTCTATGACACTGAAAGAAACACAGTGTTACAAGGCTTGGGGTACCCTCTAAAGCAGATACAGCTTAAGTCACAACACCCAAGCCCTTTCAAATATATGAAAAGCCTTCCCAAGAAGGACAGCTACAAATAACCCAGCCTGTGAAGACTATAATATATACCTAACTCTTCAATGCCCAGAAACCCAAGAACATGTACTACCATCAACGCCATCCAGGAAAACATGACCTTACCAAATGAACTAAATAAGGTACCAGGGACCAGTACTGGAGAAACAGAGATATGTGACCTTTCAGCCAGAGAATTCAAAATAGCTGTGTTGGGGAAACCCAAAGAAATTCAAGATGACACAGAGAAGGAATTCAGAATTCTATAAGTCATTTGCAACAGGATGGATAGAACTGGAGATAATTGTGCTAAATGAAATAAGCCAGGCACAGAAAGACAAGCATTGCCTGTTCTAACTTATTTGTGGGATCTAAAAATCAAATAAATTGAACTCATGGAGATAGAGAGTAGAAGAATAGTTACCATAGGCTAGGAAGGGTAGTGGTGCATTGTAGTGGAGGTGGGGATGGTTAATGGGTACAAAAATAATAGAAAGAATAAATAAGACCTACTATTTGATAGCACAGTAGGGTGACTGCGGTCAATAATAATTGTATATTTTAAAGTAACTTAAAGAATGTAGTTGGATTATTTATAACTCAAAGGATAAATGCTTGAGGGCATGGATACCCCATTCTCCATGATGTGTTTATTTCACATTGCATGCCTGTATCAAAACATCCATGTACCCCATAAATATATACACCTAAAATGTACCTACAAAAATTTTTTAAAATAATGAATAAATAACAGACACAGAGATCAATGGAACAAAACAGAAAGCCCAGAAGTAAATGAATGCATTTATAGCCAACGCATTTTTTACAAAGGCATGAAGAATATTAATTAAGGCAAGGACATTCTCTTCCATAAATTATGCTGGGAAAGCCGGATATTCAAATGCAGAAAAATGAAACTAGATCCCTATCTCTCACCATATATGAAAATCAAATCAAAATCAGTTAAGAATTAAAATTATGAAACTACTGGAAGACTAAAGCTATGAAACTAAAACTAAAGACTAAAACAATGAAACTGCTGAAATAAAACATTGGGGAATGCCCCAGGACTTTGGAATCAGCAAAGGTATTTTGTGTAAGAAATCAGCATGGACAACCAAAGTAAAAATAGACAAATAGAATTACCTCAAGCTAAAAATCTTCTGCACATCAACAGAATGAAGAGACAACCTGTTGCAAGAAAGAAAATATTTGCAAACTATTCATCTGACAGGGAATTACAAGAATATACAAGGAGTTCAAACAACTCAACAGCAAAATATATATCTATATCCAACTTAAAAATTGGCAAAAAAAAAACATGAATAGGCATTTTTCAAAAAATATACACAAATGGCCAACAGGTATATGAAAAAATGCTGAACATCACTAATCATCAGAGAAATGCAAATCAAACCCACAATAAGGTGTCATCTTACCCAAGTTACAATGGTTATTATTAAAAAGACAAAAATAGGCGGGGTGCAGTGGCTCATGCCTGTAATTCCAGCACTTTGGGAGGCCAAGGCAGGTGGATAACCTGAGGTCAGGAGTTTGAGACCAGCCTGGACAAGATGGTGAAACACCATCTCTACTAAAAATACAAAAATTAGGTGGGTGTGGTGGCACATACCTGTAATCCCAGCTACTCGGGAGGCTGAGGCAAGAGAATCCCTTGAACCCGGGAGACAGAGGTTGCAGTGAGCCAAGATTGCACCACTGCACTCCAGCCTGGGCAACAGAACAAGACTCCATCTCAAAAAAAAAAAGACAAAAATAACAGATGCTGTCAAGGATTGTGAAAAAAAGGGAGCTAATACACCATTGATGGGAATGTAAATTAGTACTGCCGCTATAGAAAACAGTATGGAGAGTGCTCAAAAAAACTAAAAATGGCACTATCATATGATCTAGCAATCCCACTGCTGAGTATATAGCCAAAGGAAAGAAAATCAGAATAGCAAAGGGATATGTACATTCCCATGTTCATTGCAGCAACATTGCACTGTTCAGTGCCAAAGATATAGACTCAACCTGTGTCCATCAACAGATGAATAGATAAAAAATTTTGGTACATATATACAATGGAATACTATTTAGTATCTTAAAAGCAATAATATCACTTTCAGCAACATGGCTGGAACTGGAGAGTTTTATGTTACGGGAATAAAACACCAAAAGACAAATATCAGATGTTCTGTCTCACATGTGGGAGCTAAAATGTTGATCTCATGAAGGTAGTGAGTAGAATAATGGATACCAGAGGCTTAGAAGGGTATGGGAGTGTGGGGAGTGGGGAGAGAAAAAGGTATTAGTTAATTAGTACAAATATACAGTTAAATAGAATAAATAAATTCTAAGGTTCTATAGCAGAGGAGGGTGACTATAGTTAACAACAATGTATTCTATATTTTGAAATAGCTAGAAATGGTAAATACTTGAGGTAATGAACACTCCAAATACTCTGGATTTATTACTATATACTCTATGTATGTAACTAAATATCAAATATATCCCATAATATGTATAAAAATTATATACCAAGTAAAAAGTTAAAAATTAAAATTAAAAAATTAAAGGAAAATGAAAAAATCTGTAGTCAAGAGATAAGGGCTAGCAGCCAAAACTGATCTAGGAAGAAGCCCACCCATCAAGCTACCATTCACTTTCTTCACAGAAATAGAAAAAACTACCTTAAATTTCAAGTAGAACCAAAAAAGAGCCCATATACCCAAGACAATTCTAAGCAAAAAGAACAAAGCTACCTAACTTCAAACTATACTACAAGGCTACAGTAATCAAAACAGCATGGTACTGGTACCAAAACAGATATGTAGACCCATGAAACAAAACAGAAGCCTCAGAAATAACACTACACATCTACAACCATCTGATCTTTGACAAACCTGACAAAAACAAGCAATGGGGAAAGGATTCCCTGTTTAATAAATGGTATTGGGAAAACAGGCTAGCCATGTGCAGAAAACTGAAAATGGACCCCTTCTTTACACCTTATACAAAACTTAACTCAAGAGGGATTAAAGACTTAAACATAAGACATAAAACCATAAAAACGCTAGAAGAAAACCTAGGCAATACCATTCAGAACATAGGCAACATAGGCATGGGCAAAGACTTCATGACTAAAACACCAAAAGCAATGGCAACAAAAGCCACAATTGACAAAAGGGATCTAATTAAACTAAAAAGTTTCTGCACAGCAAAAGAAACTATCACCAGAATGAACAGGCAACCTACAGAATGGGAGAAAATTTTTGCAATCTATCCATCTGACAAAGGGCTAATCTACAAGTAACTTAAACAAATTTACAAGAAAAAAAACAAACAACCCCGTCAAAAAGTGGGCAAAGGATATGAACAGACACCTCGCAAAAGAAGACATTTATGTAGCCAACAAACATATGAAAAAAAGCTCATTATCATTGGTCATTAGAGAAATCCAAATCAAAACTACAATGAGATACCATCTCATGCCAGTTAGAATGGCAATCATTAGAAAGTCAGGACACAACAGATGCTGGAGAGGATGTGGACAAATAGGAACACTTTTACACTGTTGGTGGGAGTGTAATTAGTTCAACCATTGTGGAAGTCAGTGTGGCGATTCCTCAAGGATCTAAAACTAAAAACACCATCTGACCCAGCAATCCCATTTCTGGGTATATACCCAAAGGTTTACGAACCATTCTACTATAAAGGCACACGTACACATATGTTTATTGCAGCACTGTTCACAATAGCAAAGACTTGGAACCAACCCAACTGTCCATCAATGATAAACTGGATAACGAAAATGTGGCACATATACACCGTGGAATAATATGCAGCAATAAAAAAGGATGAGTTCATGTCCTTTGCAGGGACATGGATGAAGCTGGAAACCATCATTCTCAGCAAACTAACACAAGAACAGAAAACCAAACACCACATGTTCTCACTCATAAGTGGGAGTGGAACAATGAGAACACATGGACACAGGGAGGGGAACATCACACACTGGGGCCTGTTGGTGGGTGGTGGGCTAGGGGAGGGATAGCATTAGGAGAAATACCTAATGTAGGTGATGGGTTGATGGGTGCAGCAAACCACCATGGCACATGTATACCTATGTAACAAACCTGCACGTTCTACACATGTACCCCAGAACTTAAAGTATAATAATAAAAAAAAAGAATTTTCTGGGAGTAGGAAATTGTTCTGCATGTTGAGAGGATTGCAGTTTACACTGCTAAGCGAAGTTATTTAAATACCTTGAAATTGCACTTAAGATTTGTATATTTCATAATGTGTAAATTTTACCTAAGATAAAGGAGCCATAAACAAAAAATGATATGCCTGTAAATTATTTTTACAATTATCTAAAAAGTGGTTACTCACAGAAAAGCAGGAAGACATTTATTCTGAAGTTGCACACAGGTGTTTTCTTAATTACGCTTAAGTTAGATTTTGTCATTTGAATGGTGGTTAAATACATGTTCTGTTTATAATAATTCTTTTAAATATACACACGTGGCTGGGTGCGGTGGCTCACGCCTGTAATCCCAGCACTTTGGGAAGCCAAGGCGGGTGGATCACCTGAGGTCAGGAGTTCAAGACCAGCCTGACCAACATGGAGAAACCCCATCTCTACTAAAAATACAAAATTAGCCAGGCGTGGTGGTGCATGCCTGTAATCCCAGCTACTCGGGAGGCTGAGGCAGGAGAGTCGCTTGAACCCAGGAGGCGGAGGTTGCGGTGAGCCAAGATCACACCATTGCACTCCAACCTGGGCGACAAGAGCAAAACTCTGTCTCAAAAAATATATATATATATATACACACACACACACGTGTTTTAGGTACACTTCTATATGTAAATTTCAATACTCATACAAGGTTAAAAATTTATATAGACTAATGTAGATTTGCTGGTAACTATTCTAATTTTGAAAAGAAGAACAAAGCTAAATGACTTTCCCTGCCAGATTTTAAGCATATACAAAACGAGTGAATAAAAACAATGAGGTATGAGAACAGGAGCAAACAGACTGATCAATAAACAAAATAGGTGTGTCTGTGCACAAAGTATAATACCTGTTAAATGATTCAGGAAGCAGAACATATAGAGGAGGCAGAAAGGCATTTTTAGGAAATCATAATGGAAATATAGCACACTCTGAAAACAAATATAGGTGAATACCACAGCATTTGTTAAAGTGGAATCCCAATATAAGTAAAGGTAATAACCAGGGAGATGTCCTTGCAAACTGCATGTATGAATCAGGGTTCTACAGAGAGACAGACCAGTAGAATATATATATGATATATGTATTCATACATATATGACATATATGACATTCCTACATATATGACATATATTATATATATATATATGAATGATAGGGGTTTCTTAGGATAATTGGCACATGTGATTATGGAGGCTGAAAAATCCTGTGACAAGTTGTCTGCAAGCTGAAGACCCTGGTATGCTGGTAATGTGGCTCAGTCCAAGTCTGAAGACTTCAGAACCAGGGAAGCCAATGGTGTAACTCTCCATCCAACACCAAAAGCCTGAGAACCTGGGAAGCTGCTGGTATAAGTTTTCGGGTTCAAAGGCCAGATAGGCTGGAGTTCTGATATCCAAAGCAAGATAAGAAAAGTGTATCCCAGCTCTGGAGAGAGAGAATAATTTACCTTTTCTCTGTTTTTGTTCTGTTTGGGCCCCCAGCAGATTAGACGGTGCCCACCCACATTGAGGGAGAATCTTTCTCACCTAGTCCACTCAGACGCACATGCTAATTTCTTCTGGAAAACCTCACTCTAGGTACTCTTTAATCGAGTCAAGTGGACACCTAAAATTAACCATCACACTACATTTCCAGATTCTGTTGGCAATTTGATTGTGGTTAGGGCCAGGCAATAAAAGACGGTGGAATATTGGAGAGCAAAAGGAAGGCAGAAGCCCCCTTGATTTAGGCAGGACCTACATCAGTGACAATATCTCCTCTGTTGTTCCAGCTCCCACCCATCTAGCGCATTTCCTCTAGGTTCCTCTGGGTGATCCTAGCACCTGAATACAGGTGGCATTAACTCTTCTACTTGTTCTCCAGTTCGTGTAGTAGCACCTTCCTCCATTGCTGATGTCTGAGTTGTTTTACCATTCCTTGTCTGAACTTTGCATGTTAGTTCCCCATATCAAATTCTATTGAATAAATGATATTATGTGGTTTTTACGATGGGTTGCCAATATCTTGGAATGTCTCATGTTTCTTTGTTCAGTGTTCCACAATTATTTATTTGGCACTTAACATGTTCCAAAAACTCTTCACGATGATGAGGATACAAGAAAGATCAAAGCAGACTGTTTTATTTCACTGGAAGTACATTCAAGTAGTGGGGAAATAGGTAATAAGCAAATATATGGCTGGTAGTGCTCAATGGCATGAAGAAAATGAAACAGAATAAGGATATGCGTAGAGAGAGAGATGGCATCTAGATCAATATGTAAGGAGACAACATAGGGAAGGCCTCTCAAATGTGGTAACATTTGACTGGAGAACTGAAAGAACTGATGGAATTTTTGAGGCATTTTGTGGAAAAGTCAATGCAGAAATCCTGGAGTGGAAATTGCCTAGCATCATTTGAAACACAAAGAAGGCCAGTATGGGTAGAGAAAAATAAGGTAAAGTCATATGGGTAAAGGGACAGAAGGGACTAAATCTAATAAGACCTTGAAGGTAGTAGGGTGGTTGACATTATTCTGCAGGACATGGAAGCCACAGGAGGTATTTGAGATTTGACATGACATGACAAATTGGAAACGGTATACTCTGCAATTTGTGTGGAAGAAAGGTAGCGGGGCAGGGGAATAGTCCAGGTGAGAAATGAGAGGGACTTAGACTTGGGAGGTAGTAGGCTGGTAGTTAGGAGAAGTCAGATTCTGGGCGTCATTTGAAGGTAAAGCAATTTTTAAAACTTGGAGTTTAGGGGAGTAGTTTGCTGCAGATAAAAATCTAAGAGTTTGTTATAGTTTGGATGTTTGTCCCTCCAGATCTCATGTTGAAATTTGACCCCAATTATCGGAGGTGAGCCCACTGGGAGGTATTTGGGTAGTGGAGGCAGATCTCTCATGAATAGATTAATGCTCTCTCTTGAAGGTGGGTGAGTTATCAATCTATTAGTTCCCTTAAGAACTGGCTATTAAAAAATGTCTGGCATCTCCCCAACTGCCCTCTTGCTACCTCTCTTGCCATGTGACCTCCACAATACCCTGGCTTCCCTCCACCTTCTGCAGTGGAAACAGCCTGAAGCCCACAGTTGATGTAGATGCTGATGCCACAATCCTTATACCGTCTGCAGAACCATGAGCCAAATAAGCCTCTTTTCTTTACAAATTACATAGCATCAGGTATTCCTTTATAGCAACATGCAACTGACTAAGATAGAAGCATTAGAAAATAAATTAAGGAAGTGAGTACATGTAAACAAGAGAAATTGTTAAAGAACTTAGCCCTCCAAAACTCCAATGTTTGAAGACTCAGCACAGAAGACTGAGAAACTAGAGCCTGGAATGAATTAGTAAAATAAAAACAGAGTAGAAATCTGGGAGGCCAAATGAGAAAAATGTTTCCAGGAAGAAGAATTTATCAACTGCAACACATAAACATTTGGATCTAATAATATGGAAAACATTAAGACCTTCCTTACTAAGAAGAAATTTGGTGATAAACGCCTGATAGGATTGAGTTAAAATGTAAATGGAAGGGAAGAAAGTGAGAAAAGATTTGCTGTCAATAATATCAGGTAATAGGGCAGTAGCTTAAGGAGAAAATGGGTTCATCAAAGTTTATTTTGGTTTCTGCTTTTCAAATTGAGAGACATCACTGTCCGTTTGTATGTCAGGAGGTTGGTGATTTCTTAATGGAGCTTATCTTACACTACAGAATTATTTTGTCTGTGTCCTGGCTTTCCTTGCTTCCCCAAAAGATAGGTAAGGTTCTGATTCCATTGATTCACTGGCAGGTGTATTCAGAGATGAGGGCAGCCCTTCCTGGTGCATCTTCCTATGCAGGCTTATAGGGGAGGCCTCAGTTTTTACAGTAGTATTGCCTTACCAAAGCTTCCCATGTCCTTCAGTATACAGTTTGTTTCCACTAAGAAAACATGGATGTTAAAACTAGTCTTGCTGCCATGTAATACTGAAAGGTGTCAGTGAGATCAAAGGAAAGAACTGAGCACAGTAGCAAGTCAATGTAAGTGTCCTAAAGAAACTATATAAAGCCAGCAAAACAATCAATAATGCTGGAAGGAAATGAGAGATAAATAGATGAACATAACAGCCTATAGGCACATAAAACAGAGAGATAGCTGTGGTGGTGCACAATAGGAATTCAACCTCAGCAAGAGTGAGTAGACTTCACCTCTCTTCCATTTGAATAAGACATAAACTTCTCATGCTGACATTACAGTACCTGGGCTTCTTTTGTCCAAATGATTGTAGAATCTGTGAAACAGAAGAAGCCTGGGTGCCATGAGGGTGGAATGAGAATTTTACAGGTGGGTGTTTGTATCATCACCCATAGTTTCCTAATTGCCACCAGTCTAATCTTCCACTGTGTACCCAACACTGGACTCCCTGCCAGACTTTTTAAGCTTTATACAGTGTTCACATCTTACTATCCCAGTCAACTTAATAGGGCATATTACAACACTTGTCCATGTTACATTTTCCCTGTAAACCAAGGAGGGTAATACCCATCTCACGGGGTTGTTGTGAGGAATAAATAACATGCACAGAAATCACCCAGCCCAGTGTCTGGCACATAGGAAATGACAATATATTGCTAGTGATCATTATTGTCCTTACTAATGCTTTTTTCTCTGCATGCTTCTTTACTTACTCATTACTCTAGAGATACATCACTATTTTGACCTATGGAACATTCCTTCTTATTCCTTTTTGTGTCTATACTTGGTCACCATGATACTTACTAATTTCCTCTCCTTTAAATTTTCTGTGTTTCATGGGAGATTTGGGGGATGGGGCACAATGGTTTCAGCCTCTCCTCTTCCAGCCATCTTGACTCTAGATAGGCCATCGTTGTTTCTGAGCATAAAAACAATCATTTAATTTATGAGATGAAAATAAGTCATTTACTGATGAGTTAATGGGTGCAGCGCACCAGCATGGCACATGTATACATATGTAACTAACCTGCACGTTGTGCACATGTACCCTAAAACTTAAAGTATAATAATAATAAAATAAAAGAAAAGAAAAAGAAAATAAGTCATTTATTAAAGTGAGTAAGAGATTTTCCTTTAGACTACCATGGTCCATATTTTGGCTCTACCACTTACACTCTGTATATCCTTTGGCAAGTTATTTAATGTGTCTAGTCCTTTGTTTTCTCAGGGGTAAAATGTAGATAACAAGGGTGAGAACTAAAATAAGGAAAACATTAAAAGTGCTTACAACAGAATCGACTTATAGCGAATACTCAGTGAATTCACAGCTGTAATCATTCTTTACATCATTTTATTCTTGTGGTTCTGAATGGTTTGCCTTGCTGGAACGTTCACTTCTTACTATTTTTACACTGTGTCAGTAACTTTAGTAAAATATAATTGTGATTGTCTAACCCCATTATGGGGTGAATTGTGTCTCCCACTCCCAAAATTCCTATGTCAAAGTCCCAACCCCTAATACCTCAAAATACAACCATATTTGGGGATAGGTTAAAATGAGACCCATAGGGTGGGGCCCTGATCCAATATGACTAGTGTCCTTATAAGAAGAGGAAGGAACACCAGGTGTGCACATGCATAAATGAAAGAATATGTGAGGACATGACGAGAAGGCAGCTATTGACAAACCAAAGAGAGAGGCTCAGAGGAAATCAAATCTGTTGACACCTTGATCTTAGACTTTCAGCCTTCAGAACTGTGAGAAAATAAACTTCTGTAAAGTCACCTTCTGTTAAGTCTGTGGTATTTTGTTATGCAGCCCTAGTGAACTAAAACATTTCTAACAATTTACAACAAAACCCTGTGATGTATTAGATTTCCTGTTTGGAATAGATCCATGAAAGTCATTTCCTGAACAGAGAATCTCTGCAGGCTGGACAGGAATCTGCTTTTTTTTTTTTTTTTTTTTTTTTTTTTTTTTTTTTTTGAGACAGAGTCTTGCTGTGTCACCCAGGCTGGAGTGCAGTGGCACAATCTCAGCTCACTGCAACCTTCACTCCCAGGTTCAAGTGGCTCTCCTGCCTCAGCCTCCTGAGTAGCTGGGATTATGGGTGTGAGCCACTGCACCCATCCAGGAATCTGCATCTTAAGATGTTTCACGGGTGACCAGTTTGAAATTCAAAAATAAGAACTTCTTGTAGGCAGAATAAATTCTGGAGATTCTGTTTGTTTCTTTGGGTTTCTTTTTAATCAACCTGTCTTTTCCCATTATATCCGTGCATGCTATTTAGCTGCTAGCTTTTGAATATCCTTGTAGGTACACAATTATGCCACACCTTTAACTGTAATTGTGTACTTATTATTCCCTCATTTAAAAATTGACTCTTGCAGTCCCTCATCCACTGCTTCATTATCTCAAGAATCTTCCCACAAGAGTAGGTCAAGCTGGCTGGGCATGGTGGCTCATGCCTGTAATCCCAGCACTTTCAGAGGCTGAGGTGGGCAGATCACATGAGGTCAGGAGTTTGAGGCCAGCCTGGCCAATATGATGAAACCCCTTCTCCATAAAAAATACAAAAATTAGCTGGGCATGTGGGTGAATGCCTGTAATCCCAGCTACTTGGGAGGCTGAGACATGAGAATTGATTGAACCCAGGAGGTCAAGGCTGCAGAGAGCCAAGATCCCACCGCTGCACTCCAGCCTGGTGACAGAGTGATACTTTGTCTCAAAAAAAAAAAGAGTAGGTAAAGTTAATTTGTAGAGGGATGACTCCCCTGCTCCATGGCATCTATCCAGGTATCATTAAACAGTTTCTCCTTAATCTTCCATAGCACACTGTGTATCTTCCTTATAGTTATATGATGACATTACAGTACAATTATTTACAAACCTATCATTTATATGAGACATTGAGCTCAAATTTTATTTTAAACTTATAAATAAATATATGTAAGTTAACATTGCTTTATTTACAGCAATAGCACCAGAAAGCCCAAAATGATATTTGAATGAATCAATAAATCTGGTGAAATATACTACTATAATACATAAAAGCACTATTTCCTTTCTCTTTGTTTCTTATCCTAATTTCCCTATTTTAAAAAATCTTTAAAGCCCTGTCATTGGTATGACTTGAACTGAAGCAGAACTACACTTAGCAAAAGTCAATGTTTAAACTCAACATTCCACTTTCCTTTAACTAAGAATAGTTTTTATTAACTTTTAGTAAAACTCAGTCCTAGTCCAAAAAAAGCCCTGCTCTCTGATCTTTGTACAAGAACATCATAAAGCAATTCACTTTGGATTTTCTAATATCCCATTTCTAAGAAGAATGGCAGACTATTGAACAGGTGTATTTTAGGTCACGTGGGGACTGCATCCACCTGAAAATCCACCGTTGACTTATCAGGAAACTCAGAGATCAGGATCTTTCACAGAGTAGTCTTTTAAGAAGATTCAGTTGTCAACAGCTAGCAGTCTCTTTGCCAAATAATTATATCTGTGACTTCTGAAACTATTTGGCTGCCTAAAGTTAAAGGACTTGGGGAAAGTCCTTCCACTGCTCTTCTGCAGTAGTGTCACACCACTCAGTGCAGGGCCCACCAAGAAGAAAGCAGTGTCAGGATCCACATGGCACTATGGTAACTTTGTGAAAGGGGACATTTTCTCCCTCTGAACTTCTCTTCATAAAGTCATTGTGCTTCCTCTTGGGGATCACCTGTTCAGTCTCAATGGGCTTTGATGTGCTCCTGGATCAAGTGGGTGGCATGGGGAGATTCCAGATTTGTCTGATAGCTTTCTTTTGCATCACCAACATCCTACTGTTCCCTAATATTGTGTTGGAGAACTTCACTGCATTCACCCCTAGTCATCGCTGCTGGGTCCCCCTCCTGGACAATGACACTGTGTCTGACAATGATACCGGGACCCTCAGCAAGGATGACCTCCTGAGAATCTCCATCCCACTGGACTCAAACCTGAGGCCACAGAAGTGTCAGCGCTTTATCCATCCCCAGTGGCAGCTCCTTCACCTGAACGGGACCTTCCCCAACACAAATGAGCCAGACACGGAGCCCTGTGTGGATGGCTGGGTGTACGACAGAAGCTCTTTCCTCTCCACCATCGTGACTGAGGTAAGAGGCCCCATGTAAATCTTCTGTTTATATGATTAAAGTGTTTGGAGTTAACACAAAAAAATTGACTTGCTTTATACCTTTAGTCCTTAGATGGGACCTGCAGTCAGCTCATTCTTCATTCCTTTAGCAGGTGGCAGCACCTGATTATCTATTAATACTCTACGATACAGCCAAGTGTATTAGTATTATATTGGTGTAAAAGTAAATTGTGGTATTAGACCATGAATTTTAAATCATTATAACTAGGCTCAAACACATCTTTATTAATCAAAATAGGAACCATTACAATCAACACATTTTTGGCAATGAGAAATAAGTTTGTTAATTCTGTAACATAAATATCCACGCTTTGGGATTTGACAAATTTTTCTGCATTCTGCTGGTTGTGAAAGTGTTTCTCCTACAAAATGTTGTTGAGATACTTAGTTTTGGTTGTTTTTGTTTTTTGCTTTTTGTTTTTTGAGGGAGGCCAGAGTTTTATTACTACTCAAATTAGTCTCCCTGAGCATTCGGGGAGCAGAGTTTTTAAGGATAACTTGGTGGTTGGGGGGCAGCCAGTGAGCCAAGAGTGCTGACTGATCAGGGCTGAAATCATAGGGAGTCAAAGCTGCCTTCTTGTGCTGAGTCACTTCCTAAGTGGGGGTCACAAGATCAGATGAGCCAGTTTATCGATCTGGGTGGTGACAGCTGATCCATCAAGTGCGGGATCTGCAAAATATCTCAAGCACTGATCTTAGGAGCAGTTTAGGGAGGGTCAGAATCTTGTAGCCTCCAGCTGTGTGACTACTAAATGATAATTTCTAATCCTGTGGCTAACGTTAATCTAGTCCCCAGGCAAGAAGGAGGTCTGCTTTGGGAAAGGCTGTCTTTGTTCAAACTATAAACTACAAACTAAGTTTCTCCCAAAGTTAGTTCAGCCTATGCCCAGGAATGCACAAGGACAGCTTGGAGGTCAGAAGCAAGATGGAGTCGGTTAAGTTAGATCTCTTTCACGGTCTCAGTCATAATTTTGCAAAGGCAGTTTCAATCCCTCCCTTTGGGTTTTATAACACCTTAA
The DNA here is from genome assembly GCF_000001405.40 of Homo sapiens. Taxonomy (NCBI): domain Eukaryota; kingdom Metazoa; phylum Chordata; class Mammalia; order Primates; family Hominidae; genus Homo; species Homo sapiens. Next base: position 63,142,317 of record NC_000011.10, on the reverse strand, counting down.
TCTTAAGATGTAGGCTATGAAGACGGGAAAAGGCCATCTATCACTCCAGCTTCTTCCTGCTGACAGGGGACATAATGGGAATGGGAGTGAACCCCAAGGTGAGAAGAGTGGAACTGCTTTGCTACTGAGTGTATTCATGCAGGCCTGGATGGGCTTCCAAGGCTTGTGTGGCAAAAATATTAGTACTCTCATCTATAGTTTTAGTACAGTATTTAAATGAAGAGCATGCTATAAGGTAAATAATGAGTCCTAGGATGAGGAGTACAATTCCCAATTTTAAAAGCAAAGATTGGAAAGCATTTGTCTGGGGCCTTCTAACTCACAAATAATTTAGAATTTAGTCTAACCTGCAGAAAAAAAAACATCAAGAACAGCTAACAAAAGTGTAATATAGTTTTTCTTTTGAAGCATAATTTTTCTCTCTCCAGTCCCTATTTTTATTAAAAACAAATTATGATAGAACTGACTTACAGTTTACAAAACAAACTTTAGTTTCACTGTACTTGGCCTGATTATTTGCATAAAGTGCAGCAAGAATAATTATTTTTCACTTAGGCTTTTTTAATTGGCTTTGATGAAACTCTGTTCCATGAAGAATCTCAGATAAGGCTTTTTAAAAGCCGAGCCCAGCCATGGGTTTGAACCCTCAGATACCTATGAGTTGAACAAAGTCCTCTCCTCAAGATAACTTGGGGTTCCTGGGCCTGTTAGAAAGTGACATTCTTTACTTAACACAGGTCAGGAACCTTGTACAGGGACTCTGTCTGGACAAGGTATGAGGCCAGATTCCCCAGTGGGTTTTAATTGGTTCCATAAGTCAACTTTGATTCTTTACAAGAAGCATGCCATTCCAGTCAAAGCCTTGGAAAAATGACCAGTTTCTCCAATTGTATCCTTTACTCCGATGGAGGGGGGTTAGCTTTCCAAACAAAACCCAACGAAGATAGCATGAGGCCAACTAAATCTGTCTCCTCCCTCTCCTCCTTTTATTTCCTGCCGTTTACCCAAAGGAGAAAACAAAACCCTTTCATTATCTTTTAACATTACATAAAAATTGTCTTCAAAAGAGAAAACCAAATTTCATGTTTGCATTAGTGCATCTTTAATGTTAAAGTTTGTTTTTTAAAATAAAATTTTATATCTCTATCCAGTTTTAATTAGTTTGACCATAAGATAAGATTTTTATAAACTTTTTAGAACGCTTTACAATTTTCAATCAAACAGCACATCAATTTTCTAAGAAAACCCTGTTATTTGGACACATGGGCCCAGATTCTGGCCCCACATCAGTATGATTAGTGTTCTAACCTATTGTAAAAAGCTAAATAATTTCTTTTACATCTTAGCCAACTTGTGTATACCCACAGAATTTTTTATAAGATTAACGCTTTACAAAACCTTTTCACTTTGCTTAAACTTTCAGTTTTGTCTTATTCTCTCTTAGTTTAAGACAGTCTTTAAAACCCCCTCTAAACCAGAAAAAATTACATTCCCTTTAACAAAAGCCATATTCTTATGCCTTCTTATAAACTTTTACCAAAAACACATTCCCTACGCACCTTGTATGTCAAACTGTTTCTCCAGTAATCTCAATTTCATATTCCAATGTTAACTCTTTGCTACTTTTGTTTTTTAGTGAAAAACCTGATAAGTAAGCAATTTTAATTATGTACTGGGGTGAAGCCTAGGACATCAGATAGAAGTGAAGATAAGATCTAATTCTTTTCAGCATAGCTAAGGGCGAGGCTCTTCATGTGTCCCCAAGCCTCATCTATAATCTAATGCTCCAAAGTAGGTAAACTGAATGATTTTCAAAGGTCAAGGAAACAGTTTGACCTTAAGGCATTTAGCAGATCTGATATCTGGCCTTAATTTAGACCAAATGTCTATATTTTCAAGACACTTTGTTTTACCGATAATCTTTAAAACTGTCTTTATGCCCAGATGTGGTGGCTCACGCCTGTAGTCCCAGCACTTTGGGAGGCCGAGGTGGGCAGATCATGAGGTCAAGAGATTGAGACCATCCTGGCCAACATGGTGAAACCTCATCTCTACTAAAAATACAAAAATTAGCTGGGCATGGTGGTGTGTGCCTGTAGTCCCAGCTACTCAGGAGGGTGAGGCAGGAGAATTGCTTGAATCCAGGAGGCAGCAGTTGCAATGAGCTGAGATTGTGCCACTGCACTCCAGCCTGGTGACAGAGCAAGACCCCGTCTCAAAAAAAAAAAACAAAAAAAAAAAACAAAAAAACAAAAAAACTGTCTCTATTTCCAAAAGATTACTAAAGACATGTGAACAAAAAGTCATTAAAGTTTCTATTTTTCTGACAAAATATTAAGCTCTTATTTTTCTAAGCTAATTAATCAGAGCTCTTTTACATATAAATATCACACACAAAAAAAAACATATAAATACAGATAAAGAGAATATTCAGTACTTGTAAGATTTTTCATTTGCCAGTTTCTTAATTGGATTACTGGCTTCCAGGTAGAGCCCTTGGAGGAAAAGGGCCAGGAGAGCATGCATTTCTAGGGCCTAATCACAGCTGAAGGCAAAGACAGATCCCCAAAATTAGGGGTGCCATTTTATACTGGATCCTGGATCGGATCCCTAAAAGGAGGGAAATACTTTGGGAGAAGTCAGTGTGGTGCTTTTACCAACTGTGCATTTCCTTGCAAGGCAACCCAGACAATCAGCCCATCTTATAATTAGACCATCCCCCATGAGAGTCTCATTTCTCATTGGGGGTTGGGGATGTTTCCATATCTTCCAGGTAGCCAAGAGCATGCTTTTCTGATCCAGGTGTGCAAAGAGTCAAGTGTTCCTCCATAACTACTATTAGCCATCCCCTAAGGTATATTTCCTACCTAGTTATTACACACCAAGCTCTTTCATAATGAAAAGTAATTTCTGATACCCCTAAAACTCAAAACTGTCAGATGACACAATGCGAAACAGAACACAGCATTTTGAGAGGGATCTATCCGCTTTTAATTCCTGGGGTTTCATGAGGAAAACAGAGCTTTCTTCCGAAACGGTGTCTGTGGCACCTTCTGTTTTTCCCAAGGAGTTCCAGGCTACCAGAAATTATCTTAGGGCCCCTCGTGTGTGCATTAAGAGTGGCAAGACAAAAAAAAATGGAGAAAAATATTTCAGTTGACTGAGAAGAAAAAAGCTTTTTCCAGAAAAACAAGTTCCAAGAAGAGAAAAACATAAAGGCCTTTTAAATATGCCTATAACTTGCTTATCCACTTTTAATTAAGCTGACTTTTAACCACAGTGCTCTTTTAAAAAATCCTTTCAGATCTCTTATTACCCAAGCAGCCAATATTTCTAAACTTTACCAAAGGTAACCTCCTAGGTGCTTTAAAGACATGGTAGGCAGTTTGTTTTTACAAGATTTAGAATCTCTACAAGGTAGTTCAGAGAAAGGAAAATTCAACAGAGGAAATCAAAAGCTATCCATGGGGGGGAAAAAACCTTATTAAATGGCAAAGTTACACAAATAAACCAGGAAGGAATCATTCCAGAAGCCAACAATTGAACCCAGGCCACCATTATCAAAAGATAAAGCCTTAGCTATTGAACTATACAGCATTGAGCAGTTTCTATTGCTTTTCCCAGAAGGAGAGTACAGAAGCCAATTTCTTTTTTTTTTTTTTTTTTTTTTTTTTTTGAGACAGAGTCTTGCTCTGTTGCCCAGACTGGAGTGCAGTGGCATGATCTTGGCTCACTGCAAGCTCCACCTCCCAGGTTCATGCCATTCTCCTGCCTCAGCCTCCCGAGTAGCTGGGACTACAGGTGCCCGCCACCACACCCGGCTAATTTTTTCTATTTTTAGTAGAGACAGGGTTTCACCGTGTTAGCCAGGATGGTCTTGATCTCCTGACCTTATGATCTGCCTGCCTCGGCCTCCAAAAGTGCTGGGATTACAGGTGTAAGCCACCACGTACCCGGCCTCAGAAGCCAATTTCAAGCTTGCGAAGCTTTAACTGGTCAGGAAAAAATTGTAGGACTATGACATGAACCCCAAAATTTCTGTCCTCTGGATGGTGGAAACAAAAAGAAAGAATCCCTGCATGGTCACAAGGTTGAGCTCTTAAGGACACAAAACAAGACATAGAAATCTCATACAGTATTGGCTTCAGGGATCCATAGCAAAGTTTGTAACTGACCAGCCTGCTGAGCTGGCTTGAAAGGCAGGCTTATAGAGGTCCTAAACCCACGTTCTATCCTGTTGATACCCCTCTCTCCATTACAGAACACAGAAAGACAAATTCTTAGCACAAACTATACCAGATATGCTACAGCCTAAGATTAGTCTCATAAATCCTTTTTTTATTAATCAAACCCTTGCAGATGAGACAGATAGTTTACTATTTACCAAGACAGAGAAAGACAGAGAGAGACCAGAAACTTGGCCAGTAAGAATTTCTTACCCTTTTTGCTGGTATATCAGGTTTCCAGTTTCCCTTTCTCTGCAGCTTCCAGAAGAATGGAGTGGCTTCTGATGATCCTGCTCACTTGTGCTATAGCTGTGGGGTTCATGCCACTTTAAAAGAGGAAATCACACTTTCCTGTTTTATGGAAACATAGACAAGATTCTTAATTTGCAAGATGCTGCCCAATGGGCTGCATGGGTAACTGAATTAACATTTTCCATTCCAGCAAAATACACATACAAAACAGACATTAGTCACCTCATTCAGTACCCAATATCAGCCTGGCAAAGCTCAAACATTTTTCCTGTTGGTCCCTGTTGCCTTTGATCCACTCCAGGTGGGGAGAGATAACCTGCAAATGTAATTCACAATGGGATCTCTGGGCAAGGCAAAGAGCAGATAGTTACCATGAGAGACAGGCCTGTTGAGCCTTTTTTAGGGTCATCAAATATAACCAGACAAATAAGGAAGGTTCTCTGAGGTAGGGCTACTGGACTTCCACCAACAACCCCTTGTGAGATCCCTTTCACATATACAAACACACACAAAGATGAGATGGACAGCAGGCCTTCCAAATCAGATCCCTAGCCAAGAACTTCAAGATTATCCCTTCCAAACTATCCTTCTATTCTCCATCTGAGAAACCTCCTTGAAATCTTCCTGATTAAGGAGAAGCCTCCCAAACCAGGACTCTTCCTACTAGTTAGAAAGAACCAACCGAGACCTCCTCAGGAGCCAAACAGACACCCTGCAATGGAGCTACAGACACAGACACCCTGTGGTGGAGCTACAAACAGACACCCTGCAATGGGGCTACAGACATCCCACCACAGGGCTACAGAATCCATCGAGAGAAGGAAGGAGGTGTTGGCAGTGTCTAGGATACTCACCAATGCAGACACACCACATTGAGGCTACAGACAGACACCCTCTGATAGAGCTACAGTTAAGGGACATCTCCCCATGACTATGTCTCCATTGCAATTAAACCCATGTACATTGGATTGGCAGCTCCCCACCAGTAGAGAGAGTACCAGAGTCAGCCACCAGTCCAAGAGAACTAGGCGACCACTTGGGCTGGCTTCTGGATCCATTGCTGAAGAGGGGGCCACTGAACCATGGGCAGGTAGCCACAAGGGCAATCCCAGATGAGCTCCCAAATTTGCAACCACCCAAGGGTGAGACACCTTGTCCACTGCCTAGACAGAGCATATTCATCAAGACAGGGGAATTGCAATCAAGAAAGAATAATTCATGCAGAGCCAGCTGTGCAGGAGACCGGAGTTTTATTATTACTCAAATCAGCCTCAAAACAGTTGTTGAGATGTTTGAAGAAGTGGGAGTCAGTTGGCAAGAGGTCAGGTGAATATGGTGGATAAGGCACAACTTCGTAGCCGAATTTGTTCAACTTTTGAAGCATTGGTTGTATGATGTGCTGTTGGATGTTGTCATGGAGAAGAATTGGGCCCTTTTTATTGACCAGTGCCAGTTGCAGGTGTTGCAGTTTTCAGTGCATCTCATCGAAGTGCTGAGCATACTTCTCAGATGTAATGGTTTCACTGGGATTCAGAAAGCTGTAGTGGATCAGACCAGCGACAGACAACCAAACAGTGACCATGACCTTTTTTTCGTGCAAGTTTCACCTTGGAAAGTGCTTTGGAGCTGCTTCTCAATCCAGTCACTGAGCTGTTCATTGCCAGTTGTCATATAAAATCTACTTTTCATCACACATTACAATCTGATTGAGGAATGGTTTGTTGTTGTGTAGAATAAGATGACACTTCAAAACAATGATGTTTTCTATTTGCAGTCAGCTCATGAGGCACCCACTTATCGAGCTTTTTCACCTTTCCAATTTGTCCCAAATGCCAAATGACTGTAGAATGGTCAACGCTGAGTTCTTTGGCAACTTCTTGCGTAGTTGTAAGAGGATCAGCTTCGATGATTGCTCTCAACTGGTCATTGTTGACTTCCGATGGCCAGCCACTACACTCCTCATCTTCAAGGCTCTCGTCTCCTTTGCAAAACTTCTTGAACCACCACTGCACTGTATGTTCATTAGCAGTTTCTGGGTCAAATGCATTGTTGATGTTGCAAGTTGTCTCCACTGCTTTACAGCCCATTTTGAACTCAAATAAGAAAATCACTCGGTTTTGCTTTTTGTCTAACATCATTTCCATAGTCAAAAATAAACATAAAATAAACAGCAAGTAATAAGTCATTAGCAAAAAAATAAAGCGAGAAATGTCCATTGCAATGACTGATAACATAACCACATTATTTAAGAATGTATTCCAATATCAAATGGCAAATTCCAACAATGCAAAAACCACAATTACATTTGCACCAACCTAATATTAAGCGAATTAATTAAACAAACTAAACATAAACCTGTTACTATGTCATTTAATCTAGGGAGAAAGACCTATAATTTGTAAAGTATTTGGAATGCTGTTAGGCAAATGTTATGCTAGGTCGCCCCAGTTTTGAGTGATTCTCAATACTTAAAAAACTGATACCCAGAGTAAGTAAATCAGAACCTCTGGGCACAGGATCTAGGCATCGGTATTTTTAAAGCTGTTCAGGTGATTCAATCTGTGGACAAAGATGAGACTTACTGTAGTAGTTGAATTATAGACTGCTAAGTGAAGTCAAAGGTAGAGCTCATATGTTACCTACATGATGAGGGAAGCCTTCTTAGAAAGATTGTGGGGGTTTTATATATTTTTAAAATTTTTGTACCTGAAGTCTTTAATTGTTTTTATGTGCTTTTAATTATAATACCCAAAAAATGTGTATAAGGTAATGCATTAAAGGAACTTAGTGGTCCGAGAGGAAAAGGAATAAAGACTTGTAGACATGTGGATATATATTTTGGAAGGTTAGGAGGTGAGAGAGAGACAGATGCATTTGAAAAGTTGAAATAAGTTTAGTATTTTTAGAATATGAGCTACCAGAAAAGAGTACCTGCAGATGAAGCTGGAGAGGGAGGCAGGACCTGCCTAGCAGAGGATTGTGTACACCATATGTAGGAGTTTGGAGTCAGTTTCTACTAAAGAGTTGAAACTCTTCTCAAGCTCTGCTGTACTGCTTTCTTTCTCTTCCAGTGGGACCTGGTATGTGAATCTCAGTCACTAAAATCAATGGTTCAATCCCTATTTATGGCTGGGTCACTTCTGGGAGGTCTAATATATGGCCATCTTTCAGACAGGTGAGTGTCATCTCACTTTCTTTGGGGCTGTTTATCAGATGATATATTCATTCCTTTATTTTAGAAATATTTACTGAGCTCTTACTGTATACTTTGCATTGTGCTATGTGCTGATCTCTCTTTCTGACTCCAGGAAGCTACAGCTGATTAAGAATGCTTATTTGAATTAGAAATGATAGTTGGGTATTAAAAGTCTGTTCATTGTACTGAATAAAAGAGGACAGAAAAAGACATCCAAATCAGATTCAAAGAAGTTTCAGGAAGGGATTTTTAGAGTAGATTACAGGATTTGAGGTTTACTTGTAGGAGTTAGTTCAATACAGGGAGAGGAAGGGTGTTTGAGGCAGGAGGTGCTTCGGGTCTGAAAGTGCAAATTTGTGAAACAGCGTTATTGGCCTTGACAATGTTCTAAACCACCTAGACCCTGTGAGAGAAATTATTGAGGCACTTTTAGACTGGCCATCATTTCATACCTGCAGCATAAGTGCTCATGTGCAGTGGGTAGTCATCATTATAAAATCTGATGGTTGTGCAGCACTGTGGCACTCACAGGATAGGAAGACATTGCACCTCTAACCTGGATGCTGATCCTTGTGAAATAATTTTAAAATGTCATTTGTATAACCACATAAGGGTTATACAAAATAGATTGTATTTATCTACTAATCTACTCTAATAGATTGTGGTATATTCATATAAATAAATTAAGAACCTAGAATGGAGTGGGCACGGTGGCTCACGCCCATAATACCAACACTTTGGGAGGCCAAGGTGGGTGAATCACTTGGGGTAAGGAGTTTGAGACCAGCCTGGCCAATACTGTGAAACCCCATCTCTACTAAAAATACAAAAATTAGCCTGGCATGGTGGCTGGCACCTATATAGCTCCCAGCTATTCAGGAGGCTGAGGTGTGAGAATCACCTGAACCCAGAAGGCAGAGGTTGCAGTGAGCTGAGATCATGCCACTGTACTCTGGCCTGGGCAACAAAGCGAGACACTGTCTGAAAAAAAAGAAAAAAGAAAAAAAAAGAACCTAGGATGACTTTGCTTGAGGATGAGATGTTTGGGGATTCCTTTGTCCTGGCAGAGCTCCTTCTGAAGGAGGCACTCAACCATGGCTGTCACTGAAGCATGTCACCCACAAGGACACTGAGGAGAGTTTAGATGCTCAATGTCATCTGACAGTCTTTATTTAAAAATTGTGACCTGGGATCACTTCCAAGATGGCTGAATAGGAATAGCTCCGGTCTGCAGCTCCCAGTGAGATCAACACAGAAGATGGGTGATTTCTACATTTCCAGCTGAGGTACCTGGTTCATCTCATTGGGACTGGTTGGACAGTGGGTGCAACCCATTGAGGGTAAGCTGAAGCAGGGTGGGGTGCCGCCTCACCCAGGAAGTGCAAGGGATTGGGGATTTCCCTTTCCTAGCCAAGGGAAGGTGTGACAGACTGCACCTGGAGAAACAGTACACTCCTGACCAAATACTGCACTTTTCCCACAGTCTTGGCAACCTGCAGATCAGGAGATTCCCTCGCATGCCTGGCTCGGTGGGTCCCATGCCCACTGAGCCTTGCTCACTGCTAGTGCACCAGTCTGAGATCGACCTGCGATACTGCAGCTTGACAGGGGGAGGGGCATCCACCATTGCTGAGGCTTGAGTAGCTCACAGTGTAAACAAAGTGGCTGGGAAGTTCGAACTGGGCAGAGCCCACCGTAGCTCCGTAAGGACTACTGCCTCTCTAGATTCCACCTCTGGGGGCAGGGCATAGCTGAACAAAAGGCAGCAGACAGCTTCTGCAGACTTAAACATCCCTGTCTGACAGCTCTGAAGAGACCAGTGGTTCTCTCAGCATGGCATTCGAGCTCTGAGAAAAGACAGGCTGCCTCCTCAAGTGGGTCCCTGGCCCCCATGTAGCCTGACTGGAAGACACTTCCCAGTAGGGGCCGACAGACACCTCATACAGGTGGGTGCTCCTCTGGGAAGAAGCTTCCAGAGGAGGGATCAGGCAGCAATATTTGCTGTTCTGCAATATTTGCTGTTCTGCAGCTTCTGCTAGTGATACCCAAGCAAAGAGTGTCGGGAGTGGACCTCCAGCAAACTCCAACAGACCTGCAGCTGAAGGACCTGACTGTTAGAATGAAAACTAACAAACAGAAAGGAATAGCATCACCATCAACAAAAAGGACTTCTACACCAAAACCCCATCTGTAGGTCACCAACATCAAAGACCAAAGGTAGATAAAACCACAAAGATGAGGAGAAACCAGAGCAGAAAAGTGGAAAATTCTAAAAACCAGAGTGCCTCTTCTCCTCCAAAGGTTCACAGCTGCTTGCCAGCAAGGGAAAAAAACTGGATGAAGAATGAGTTTGACAAGTTGACAGAAGTAGGCTTCAGAAGGTTGGTAATAACAAACTTCTCCAAGCTAAAGAAGCATGTTCTAACCCATTTCAAGGAAGCTAAAAACCTTGAAAAAAGGTTAGACGAATGGCTAAATAAAATAAACAGTGTAGAAAAGACCTTAAAGGACTGGATGGAGCTGAAAACCACAGCATGAGAACTTTGTGATGCATGCACAAGCTAAAATAGCCTATTGGATCAAGTGGAAGAATGGATATCAATGATTGAAGATGAAATGAATGAAATAAAGTGAGAAGACAAGATTAGAGAAAAAAGAGTGAAAAGAAATGAACAAAGCTGTCAAGAAATATGGGACTAAGTGAAAAGACCAAATATATGATTGATTGGTGTACCTGAAAGTGACAGGGAAAATGGAACCAAGTTAGAAGATACTCTTCAGGATGTTATCCAGGAGAGCTTCCCTAACCTAGATAGGCAGGCCAACATTCAAATCCAGGAAATACAGAGAACACTACAAAGATACTCCTTGAGAAGAGCAAGCCCAAGACATGTAATTGTCAGATTCACCAAGGTAGAAACGAAGACAAAAAATATTAAGGGCAGCCAGAGATGAAGGTGGGGTTACCCACTAAGGGAAGCCCATCAGACTAATAGCACTTCTCTCAGCAGAAACCCTACAAGCCAGAAAAGATTGGGGGCCAATATTCAACATTCTTAAAAAAAGAATTTTCAACCCAGAATTTCACGTCCCGCCAAACTAAGCTTCATAAGTGAAGGAGAAATAAAAATCCTTTAAAGACAAGCAAATGCTGAGAGATTTTGTCACCACCAGGCCTGCCTTACAAGAGTTCCTGAAGGAAGCACTAAACATGGAAAGGAACAACCAGTACCAGCCACTGCAAAAACATACCAAATTGTAAAGACCATTGACACTATGAAGACACTGCCTCAATTAACAGGCAAAATAACCAGCTAACATCATAATGACAGGCTCGAATTCAAACATAATAATATTAACCTTAAATGTAACTGGGCTAAATGCCCCAATCAAAAGACACAGACTGGCAAATTGGATAAAGAGTCAAGACTCTTTATCGGTGTGCTATACTCAGGAAACCCAGCTCACATACAAAGACGTGTATAGGCTCAAAATACAGGGAGGGAGGAAGATCTACCAAGCAAATGGAAAGCAAAAAAAAGCAGGGGTTGCAATCCTAGTATCTGATAAAACAGACTTTAAACCAACAAAGATCAAAAGAGACAAAGAAGGCCACTATATAATGGTAAAGGGATCAATTCAACAAGAAAAGCTAACTATCCTAAATATATATACACCCAATACAGGACCACCCAGATTCATAAAGCAAGTTCTTAAAGACCTACAAAAAGACTTAGACTACCACACAATAATAATGAGAGACTTTAACACCCCACTGTCAATATTAGACAGATCAATGAGACAGAAGGTTAACAAGGATATCCAGCACCACTGATCCCACAGAAATACAAACTACCATCAGAGAACACTATAAACACCTCTATACAAATAAACTAGAAAATCTAGAAGAAATTGATAAATTCCTGGACAAATACACCCTCCCAAGACTAAACCAGGAAGAAGTTGAATCTCTGAATAGAACAATAATGGGCTCTGAAATTGAGGCAATAATTAACAGCCCACCAATCAAAAAAAGTCCAGGACCAGACAGATTCACAGCCGAATTCTGCCATAGGTACAAACAGGAGTAGGTACCATTCCTTCTGAAACTATTCCAATTAATAGAAAAAGAGAGAATCCTCCCTAATTCATTTTATGAGACCAGCATCATCATGATAGCAAAGCCTGACAGAGACACAAGAAAAAGAGAATTTTTGACCAACATCCCTGATGAACATTGATGTGAAAATCCTCAATAAAATATTAGCAAACCGAATCCAGCAGCACATCAAAAAGCTTATCCACCATAATCAAGTGGGCTTCATCCCTGGGATGCAAGGCTGGTTCAACATATGCAAATCAATAAACGTAATCCATCACATAAACAGAACCAATGACAAAAACCACATGATTATCTCAATAGATGCAGAAAAGACCTTCAACAAAATTCAACAGCACTTCATGCTAAAAACTCTCAATAAACTAGGTATAGATGGAACGTATCTCAAAATAATAAGAGTTAGTTATGACAAACCCAAAGCCAATATCATACTGAATGGGCAAAAACTGGAAGCATTCTCTTTGAAAACCAGCACAAGACAAGGATGCCCTCTCTCACCACTCCTATTCAACATAGTGTTGGAAGTTCTGGCCACGGCAATCAGGCAAGAGAAAGAAATAAAGGGTGTTCAGTTAGAAAAAGGGGAAATCAAATTGTCTCTGTTTGCAGATGAAATTATTGTATACTTAGAAAACCCATCATCTCAGCCAAAATCTCCTTAAGCTGATAAGCAACTTTAGCAAAGTCTCAGGATAAAAAATTAATGTGGAAAAATCACAAGCATTGCTACACACCAATAACAGACAAACAGAGAGCCAAATCATGAGTGAACTCCCATCCACAGTTACTACAAAGAGAATAAAATACCTAGGAATCCAACTTACAAGGGATGTGAAGAACCTCCTCAAGGAAAACTACAAACCACTGCTCAACAAAATAAAAGAGGACACAAGCAAGTGGAAGAACATTCCATGGTCATGGATAGGAAGAATCAATATCATGAAAATGGTCCTACTGTCCAAGGTAATTTATAGATTCAATGCCATCCCCATCTAGCTACCAATGTCTTTCTTCACAGAATTGGAAAAAAAACTACTTTAAAATTCACATGGAACCAAAAAGAGACCGCATAGCCAAGACAACCCTAAGCAAAAAGATCAAAGCTGGAGGCAACACGCTACCTGACTTCAAACTATACTACAAGGCTACAATAATCAAAACAGCATGGTACGGGTACCAAAACAGATATATAGACCGATGGAACAGAATAGAAGCTTCAGAAATAACACCACACGTCTATGACCATCTGATCTTTCACAAATCTGACAAAAACAAGCAATGGGGAAAGGATTTCCTTTTTAATAAGTGGTGCTGGGAAAACTGGCTAGCCATACGTAGAAAGCTAAAACTGGATCCCTTCCTTACACCTTATACAAAAATTAACTCAAGATGGATTAAAGACTTAAATGTAAGACCTAACACCATAAAAGCCCTAGAGAAAACCTAGGCAGTACCATTCAGGACTTAGGCATGAGCAAAGACTTCATGACTAAAACACCAAAACAATGGCAACAAAAGCCAAAATAGACAAATGGGATCTAATTTGTAGGGACCAGCCCTACAGGGTCTATGGGTTTTTCTCCCCATGTACAGAGATGAGAGATTGTAGATATAAAGACACAAGACAAAGAGGTAAAAGAAAAGACAGCTGTGCCTGGGGGACCACTACCACCAAGACGCGGAGACTGGTAGTGGCCCTGAATGCCAGGCTGCGCTGTTATTTATTAGATACAAGACAAGGGGGCAGGGTAAGGAATGTGAGCCATCTCCAATGATAGGTAAGGTCACATGGGTCATGTGTCCACTGGACGGGGGCCCTTCCCAATTTGGCAGCTGAGGCAGACAGAGAGAGAGAGAGGAGACAGTTTACGCCATTATTTCTGCATTTCAGAGACTTTTAGTACTTTCACTAATTCTGCTACTGCTATCTAGAAGGCAGAGCCAGGTGTACAGGATGGAACATGAAAGCGGACCAGGAGCATGACCGCTGAAACACAGCATCACAGGGAGATGGTTAGGCCTCCGGATAACTGCAGGTGGGCCTGACTGATGTCAGGCCCTCCACAAGAGGTGGTGGAGCAGAGTCTTCTCTAACTCCCCCAGGGAAAGGGAGAATCCCTTTCCCAGTCTGCTAAGTAGCGGGTGCTTTTCCTAGGCACTGACGCTACGACTAGACCAAGGTCCGCTAGGTAACAGGTGTCTTCCCAGGCGCTGGTGTTACTGCTAGACCAAGGAGCCCTCTGGTGGCCCTGTCCAGGCATGACAGAAGGCTCACACTCTTGTCTTCTGGTCACTTCTCACCGTGACCCTTCAGCTCCTATCTCTCTATGGCCTGGTTTCTCCTAAGTTATAATTGTAGAGTGATGATTATTATAATATTGGAATAAAGAGTAATTGCTACAAACTAATGATTAATAATATTCATATATAATCATATCTATCATCTATATCTAGTATAACTCTTCTTATTTTATATATTTTCTTTATTATACTGGAACAGCTCCTGCTCTCAGTCTCTTGCGTCGGTGCCTGGGTGGCTTGCCGCCCACACTAATTAAACTAAAGAGCTTCTGCACAGCAAAAGTAACTATCATCAGAGTGAACAGGCAACCTACAGAATGGGAGAAAATTTTTGTAGTCTATCCATCTGACAAACAGCTAATATCCAGAATCTAAAAAGAACTTAAACAAATTTACAAAAAAAAATCAAAAAGTGGGCAAAGGATATGAACAACATTTCTCAAAAGAAGACATTTATGCAGAAAACAGACATATGAAAAAATGTTCATCATCACTAGTCATCAGAGAAATGCAAATCAAAACCACAATGAGATACCATCTCACACCAGCTAGAATGGCAGTGATTAAAAAGTCAGGAAACAACAGGTGCTGGAGAGGATGTGGAGAAATAGGAACACTTTTACACTGTTGGTGGGAGTGTAAGTTAATTCAACCATTGTGGAAGATAGTGTGGCGATTCCTCAAGGTTCTAGAACTAGAAGTACCATTTGACCCAGCAATCACATTCCTGGGTATATACCCAAAGGATTATAAATCATGCTACTCTAAAGACACATGCACACGTATGTTTATTGTGGCACTATTCACAATAGCAAAGACTTGGAACCAACCCAAATGTCCACCAATGACAGATTGGATTAAGAAAATGTGGCACATATACACCATGGAATACTATGCAGCCATAAAAAAGGATGAGTTCATGTCCTTTGCAGGGACTTGAATGTAGCTGGAAACCATCATTCTAAACAAACTATCACAAGGACCGAAAGCCAAACACCACATGTTCTCACTTATAGGTGGGAGTTGAACAATGAGAACACATGGAAACAGGGTGGGGAACATCACATACCAGGGCCTGTCAGGGAGTGGGGGGCTGGGGCAGTGACAGCATTAGGAGAAATACCTAATGTAAATGACGACTTGATGGGTGCAGCAAACCAATATGGCACGTGTATACATATGTAACAAACCTGCACATTGTGCACATGTACCCTAGAACTTAAAGTATAATTTTTAAAAATCACAAGTATTCCTATACACCAATAACAGACAAACTGAGAGCCAAATCCTGAGTGAACTCCCATTCACAATTGCTACTAAGAGAATAAAATACCTAGGAATACAACTTACAAGGGATCTGATGGACCTCTTCAAGGAAAACCACTGCTCAAAGAAATGGGAGGACACCAACAAATGGAAAAACATTCCATGCTCATGGATAAAAAGAATCAATACTGTGAAAATTGCCATACTTCCCAAAGTAATTTATACATTCAATGCTATCCCCATCAAGCTACCACTGACTTTCTTCACAGAATTGGAAAAAACTGCTTTAAACTTCATATGGAACCAAAAAAGACCCCACATAGCTAAGAAAATCCTTAGCAAAAAGAATAAAGCTGGAGGCAACACGCTACCTGACTTCAAATTATGCTACAAGGCTACAGTAATCAAAACAGCATGGTACTGGTTCCAAAACAGATATATAGACCAATGGAACAGAACAGGGGCCTCAGAAATAACACCACACATCTACAACTATCTGATCTTTGACAAACCTGACAAAAACAAGCAATGGGGAAAGGATTCCCTATTTAATGAATGGTATTGGGAAAATAGGCTAGCCATATGCAGAAAATTGAAACTGGACCTCTTCCTTACACCTTATACAAAAATTAATTCAAGATGGATTAAAGACTTAAAAGTAAGACCTAAAACCATAAAAATCCTAGAAGAAAACCTAGTCAATACCATTCAGGTCATAGGCATGGGCAAAGACTTCACATCTACAACACCAAAGCAATGGCAACAAAAGCCAAAATAGACAAATGGGATCTAATTAAACTAAAGAGCTTCTGCACAGCAAAAGAAACTACCATTAGAGTGAACAGGAAACATACAGAATGGGAGAAAATTTTTGCAATCTACCCATCTGACAAAGGGCTAATATCCAGAATCTAAAAAGAACTTAAACAAATTTACAAGAAAAAAAACAAACGACCCCATCAAAAAGTGGGCGAAGGATATGAACAGACACTTCTCAAAAGAAGACATTTATGCAGCCAACCAACATAGGAAAAAATGCTCATCATCACCAGTCATCAGAGAAATGCAAATCAAAACCACAATGAGATACCATCTCACACCAGTTAGAATGGCAATCATTTAAAAAGTCAGGAAACAACAGATGCTGGAGAGGATGTGGAGAAATAAGAACACTTTTACACTGTTGGTGGGAGTGTAAATTAGTTCAGCCATTGTGGAAGACAGTGTGGCAATTCCTCAAGGATCTAGAACCAGAAATATTATTTCACCCAGAATCCTACTACTGGGTATATACCCAAAGGATTATAAATCATGCTACTATAAAGACACATCCACACGTATGTTTACCGCGGCACTATTCACAATAGCAAATACTTGGAACCAACCCAAATGTCCACCAATGACAGACTGGATTAAGAAAATGTAGCACATATACACCATGGAATACTATGCAGCCATAAAAAAGGATGAGTTCATGTCCTTTGCAGAGACATGGATGAAGCTAGAAACCATCATTCTCAGCAAACTAACACAGGAACAGAAAACTAAACACTGCATGTTCTCACTCAGAAGTGGGAGTTGAACAATGAGAACACATGGACACAGGGAGGGGAACATCACATACCAGGGCCTGTCGTGGAGTGCAGGGCTAGGGGAGGAGTAGCATTAGGAGAAATACCTAATGTAGATGACAAGTTAATGGGTGCAGCAAACCACCATGGCACTTGTACACCTATGTAACAAAACTGCACATTCTGCACAGGTACCTCAGAACTTAAAGTATAATAAAAAAATTTTTTAATGAAAAATAAACTTCAATGAAATGTTTTTTTGTTTTTTTTTATTTTTGTATTATTATACTTTAAGTTTTAGGGTACATGTGCACAATGTGCAGGTTAGTTACATATGTATACATGTGCCATGCTGGTGTGCTGCACCCATTAACTCGTCATTTAGCATTAGGTATATCTCCTAATGCTATCCCTCCCCACTCCCCCCACCCCGCAACAGTCCCCAGAGTGTGATGTTCCCCTTCCTGTGTCCATGTGTTCTCATTGTTCAATTCCCACCTATGAGTGAGAACATGCGTTGTTTGGTTTTTTGTCCTTGCAATAGTTTACTGAGAATGATGATTTCCATTTTCATTCATGTCCCTACAAAGGACATGAACTCATCATTTTTTATGGCTGCATAGTATTCCATGGTGTATATGTGCCACATTTTAATTTGAAATGTTTAATAAGGGATATGACAATGATAGGGTTTGTGACAGTTGAGTTGAAAAGACTGTTAGTAAGAGCTAACAGTGGCAGCCAGGAGACCAGTTGTAAAATAATTTATTTCAATAACCATGGCTCAGATTTGTAAGATGACCCTAACATCTAAAATAGTGAAGGGATATTTTGGAAGATAGTAAAGGAACTCTAGAAGTTATCAAGTTCAACCTCCTATCAAATGAAGGAACTTCTGCATTTCTAACAAATAACTACCTTGTTCTGTTACAAAACCTTTAAGAATATGTTGCTCACTTCTTTAAAAAGAACCGTCTGCTAGTGTTTGACTCCTGTTAATATCACACAGTTAATCCATACATCGAATTTATCTCATTATCTGTGCCTTCTCAAGCTTGAAAGTTTTTTCTGTCTTTCTTCCCCCCAGGAGCTAGATGACACTCAACAGTATTCCACTGCACTTAGAATAAAATCTAAGTTTTCTTATCATAAATCTTGCCAGCTCTGAGATCTGGCTGCTGTATCCCTTTCTCACCTCATCTATTACCTTCTTCCATTTTCTGCTAGTCTTCAAGACATCAAGCTGGTTCCCATCATGTAGCATTTATACTTGCTGTTCCCTCTGGCCATAATATTCTTTTTTCTGCACATAGCTCAGCCCACACCTTCTGTTTACTCAAATTTAAATTTCACCCCCTCAAAGATCTCTTCCTTGACTCCTATCTGGTGGTGCCTTCACCCAAGTTACTCTCAGTAAATTTCTCGATCTTTATTTTTAAGGGGAATTTTACAATAAAACCTTTTTAAAGACTTACTCCTCCACTGAGTAGTAGCAAGGACCATTTAAAAGGCTGTTGAAATAGTCCAGAGGAAAGATCATAAGAATGTAAATTAAAGGGATATCAAGGGAGATGGTAAGATAGAGTTGGATTTGTAAAATGTTTTAGAGGTAGAGACAATAAGAGTTGCTGATAAGCTTAGAATATTTTCCACTATTGGGGGACTGCTAGGAAGAGAAACAGAAGAATCCAAGGGGATATAGGCTTTTCGCCCAAGCAAACAAGTAAATTCTGATGCCACTATACAAGATGAGAGAAGACTAGAAAGAAAGTAAATCTGGGGAAGAAAGTCAAGATGTCTGCTTTGGACTTTCTGGGTCGGAGTTGCCTATTAGACATGCATATGGAGTTTCAGGTAGACAGTTGTATATAATGGATATTCAGGTCACAGAAGAGGTCAAAGCTAGAGACAATAATTTAGAATTTATTAGCATATAATTATTTTCATAGTTATGAAAGTGGAAGGGGTAACTCAGAAAAGAAATGTAGATAGAGACCAGTGATATCAAGTAGATTAAACTCTGTCTAAAGCAGGAACTCACCATATGATCACCATTTTACATCACTGTGACTGGCATTGGCATTCTCTTACCTTATTAATTAAGTTTTCCAGCCTTGACTTCTTTCTTTTTCAGGTTTCAAAGTTACCCTGTATTCATTATGTGCATAATATTCATTATGCACTGTAGTATACAACTGTGCCCTCATTCTTTTTTCACTAGCATTCATTTTCACCTTAATGTAAGTTCATTAAACCAAATCAAGACTGACACAACTTTTTCATTCTAGATGTTCTCTTTGCCTCTTCTCCTTCCTCCTCCAATCAAAATATGCACATAGTATTCTATACCACTGTAGGATTACTTTAGTTAACAATAATATATATAGTTTCAAATAGCTCAAAGGAGGATATCTAATATTTCCAACACAAAGAAATGATAGGTGTTTTGAGAAGATAGGTATGCTAATCACCCCATTCTGATTACTGTACATTATAAGTATTGAAACATCACTATATATCCCACGAATATGTACAACTATTATTTGTTAATTTAAGAAATAAAATAGGCCAGGCACAGTGGCTCAGGCCTGTAATCCCAGCACTTTGGGAGGCCGAGGCTAGCGGATCACGAAGTCAGGAGATCAAGACCATCCTGGCCAACATGCTGAAACCCCGTCTCTACTAAAAATACAAAATAAAAAAACTAGCTGGGCATGGTGATGGGTGCCTGTAGTCCCAGCTACTCGGGAGGCTGAGGCAGGAGAATGGCTTGAACCCAGGAGGCGGAGGTTGCAGTGAGCCGAGATGGCACCACCGCACTCCAGCCTGGTGGCAGAGCAAGACTCCATCTCAATAAATAAATAAATAAATGTTTAAATGCACATAAACCTTCTCTGTTTATCTTCATCAAACACCAGCTTCATCTTAGCCCTAACACATTAGTCATGAGAGTTAGCTGCCCAAAATCTTAAACAGTTACCATAATGAAAGGATAATCCTCATTGATGTTTTAGTCAGATATGGTGGAATGAGTCTACAGGGCACCCATCTTTCAGACAGTAGCTCGGAGAACCAGGGCCATTTATTGCAGGTCTTTAATTTCTATGAAAGAGCGTGTGAGACTACAGTGGACCTTTTATGGTCAGGTCTGGAGTTAGCGTATATTACTTGCCACATCCAAGTAAATCCCCATGGTAACTACATTGAATTACAAGAAATGCTTTCTTCCAATAGGCCTTTAAAAAGAAAAATGATGGTAAATATCTAGCCAGACTCTGTACCATCTGTACTTTTAATGAATGAAAATGATTCAGTTAATCATTTTCCTTATTGATGAGGTAATATCTTCGTTAATTTGGGCAAGGCCTCTTTCATACTTGTATAACTCTTCATGTCTACCCCATTTGTTTCTATTCCCATCTTTCACCATAAAGGGCTTTCTCATGTGTTTATTATTAATGTTTTTATTTCTTCAAGCTAAAAAAAGTGTGTGATATCCTGCATGTTCTCACTCATAGGTGGGAATTGAACAATGAGAACACATGGACACAGGAAGGGGAACATCACACTCCGGGGACTGTTGTGGGGTGGCGGGGAGTCGGGAGGGATAGCATTAGGAGATATACCTAATGCTAAATGATGAGTTAATGGGTGCAGCACACCAGCATGGCACGTGTATACATATGTAACTAACCTGCACATTGTGCACATGTACCCTAAAACTTAAAGTATAATAATAAAATTAAACTTAAAAAAAGTAAAATAAAAAATTTTTTAAAGCAAAAAAAAATGTGTGATATCATTGGGTATGCAGGTATTTTAATTTACATAAAAAGTATCCAATCTCTTTCTAACCTTTGTCATTCACCAAGTTTTTGAGATCTACCTCTAGTTTCATGTGCATATCTAGTCTGCTGCTTCAAACTATTTCATAGTTCTTCATAGTGATCCCCCAACAATTTTTTCCTATTCTCATTTCCAGTGATGAATTCCTAACAACAGTATTCCTAACAACACATCTATTTCTAATATTAACATCTCGATATGTGTTTCTTTACTATGAGAATTTTTTTTACTAATAGGCTTTAATTTTTATAGCAATTTTAGGTTTACAGAAATAATGAGTAGAAAGTAGAGTGTTCCCATATAATCCCTTCCACAAAGTTTCCCATATTACCAACATTTTGCACTAGTGTGATACATTTATTACAATTGATAGACCAATATTCATACATTATTTACTAAAGTTCATAGTTTATCTTAGGGCTCAGTGTTTGTGTTGTACAGTGTTATGGGTTTTGGCAAAAGTATAATATCATGTATCTACCATCAGAGTATCTCCTTAAAAATGTCCTGTGCTACATATACCTATTTATCCCTCCCTCTTATCTGGGGGCAACCACTACCATGAGATTTTTATTGAGGATATATACATTCTCATTGTACTTATTGTGTTTCTATTTCTCAGTTTTCCAATGATTCCTTCTCCATCATGTCCTGTATCATAGATCTTTTTTTAAAGATAATTCTATTCTAAGTTGCCTCATACAAATTTAGTAATAAAATATATTCTATATAAACATTCAGAAAGTAAGACATTTTATAAGAGTAATCATGACATAAATATACTACTAGGGTAACAAAAATTACAGAACAGGTGTCCAAAACTAAAGTTTGTTTGTATGCTAATACTACTGAGAATTTAGTATCAACTCATGTAATTTGGTCAAAGTTAACTCTAGAAAGGGTGCCTGCCCTTCCTGCCAGTCTGTGACACACATACTGCTCTTTTCTATTTGTTTATCTTCCCCTTCTTTGTTTCTCATTCTCTGCCTTACCTCATCCTCTCCTCTGTAAACTTTCTACCAGTTTCTGCACTGAGGGGAACAGTTGCTGAACTGTTTTCTTTTTCTTTTTTTTTATTTATTTTTTATTATATTTTAAGTTTTAGGGTACATGTGCACATTGTGCAGGTTAGTTACATACGTATACATGTGCCATGCTGGTGCGCTGCACCCACTAACTCGTCATCTAGCATTAGGTATATCTCCCAATGCTATCCCTCCCCCCTCCCCCCACCCCACAACAGTCCCCAGAGTGTGATATTCCCCTTCCTGTGTCCATGTGATCTCATTGTTCAATTCCCACCTATGAGTGGGAATAGGCATTACCATTCAGGACATAGGCATGGGCAAGGACTTCATGTCTAAAACACCAAAAGCAATGGCAACAAAAGCCAAAATTGACAAATGGGATCTAATTAAACTAAAGAGCTTCTGCACAGCAAAAGAAACTACCGTCAGAGTGAACAGGCAACCTACAAAATCGGAGAAAATTTTCACAACCTACTCATCTGACAAAGGGCTAATATCCAGAATCTACAATGAACTCAAACACATTTACAAGAAAAAAACAAACAACCCCATCAAAAAGTGGGCGAAGGACATGAACAGACACTTCTCAAAAGAAGACATTTATGCAGCCAAAAAACACATGAAAAAATGCTGAACTGTTTTCTATAGAGCTGAAACACATTTCCCAAGCCTGTAAATCTAGACATAGCTGAGTGATTGTTATGCAGCCTATCTGCAACTTTGATTTATTGTCTTTCCACTCTTCCTTTCAAATAAGTTTAGCTTTTACCTGGACAGTGCAGAGACCCAAGAACAGATCTCTGGATTTCCCTCCTCAGTGCTCTAAACACAACACACATATCCACTATCCTAAATGCATATGTTTTGTAGAATAAACATTTGGGAAATATGGGACAACTTCCCATATTTCATCTTCTTTTATATGGCTTCATATGGCGAAAGAGTCCTTCCAGTGATGGTTTGGTGAGAGCTTTGACAACACTCTCATACTGACAAATAGGGAGGGTTACATCTGTGATTTTTGCTGCTCACTAATATAATTATGCCACCCGGTGTCAAGCACCATGTTCCACTTGTTAAACATTTATCCTAATTTCAAGATGCGCCATTGTTTGTCAAGTTTTCCACGTGTTATTTTTGTTCCTAAGTAACGTTATCTGGTTTAATATTTCTTAGGGTTGGACGGAAGATCATATGCAAATTGTGTTTCCTCCAGCTGGCCATCTCTAACACCTGTGCGGCCTTCGCTCCCACCTTCCTTGTTTACTGCATACTGCGCTTCTTGGCAGGGTTCTCCACCATGACTATTTTGGGAAACACTTTTATTCTCAGTAAGTCAATAATTTGAGCATTTTATCATCTCCATGTCTTGAATTGACCTTGAAATTACCATTTGTCTAAAATTATTACTATGTATATGTTTTCTTCCAGGCTTAGAGTGGACATTGCCCCGGTCACGATCTATGACAATAATGGTGCTATTATGTTCCTACAGTGTTGGGCAGATGCTCCTAGGAGGGCTGGCTTTTGCCATTCAGGACTGGCACATATTGCAACTGACTGTGTCTACACCCATAATTGTCCTCTTCTTGTCCTCTTGGTATGAACAATCTCCACATTCTTTGCCTGTAAGCGAGGCTATGGTAGACATAGAAAGGAAAATTCTGACACCTGGGATCTGTTCGGTCTCTGGCCTAGTCCTGAGCCATGATGTCCATAGTACCTATTGTGTCACCTGAGAAGCAAACAATGGAATAGGATGACACTATATGTGGGGAGGCTGGCACTTTGCATTCATTATTTTAGACATGGAATTATCATGAAATTATTTTTCTTAATAGAAAAAATACCCACTTATTTTTGAAGCAAATGTATTATTTATCTAACTTTTGGAATATTATGTGATGGAGATAATTTGGGGGCTTTTGTCATTGTAACTGAGATTGAATATAAGGAAAACACAATAAATTTATCTACATAACTATTTAAAATTAGAAGAGCATGCTGTCTCTAGCACCAAGAGTTAGGATGGGGGCGACTTCAGGGAACTTGACAGAGTAGGATCTCCAAAAATTGGTTCCTCCATAAAAGCAACACAAAACTAGCAAAAAGTTGTCAAAATCATCTCTTTCAGAACTCTGAAAATTAACCAAAGACTTGCAGCAATTTAGGGAATCTTTTGTTGAAGAAAAACTGAGTCCCAGTAAGAAAGTGAATGTTGGGATGTTTTTAACATATCTTAGTTTCAGTTCCTACTCTCCAGCTATGCTGCAGCCTTGAAAAAAAAATAACAGCTAACATTCTTGGTACTAGAGGGAGGAGGACAGAGCTTGAGTTATTTCAAAACCTCATTCACAAAAAGCTGTCATTATTATACCTTTCTGCTGGCTCCCCTAAGACCCTATTTGGAAGGCTGTCTCTATTTGACCTGACTCAAAGTTGCCTAGTGTGAGAAGGCTCCCCTCATAAGGCATTTGTCAAACATATTTACTGACAAATGTTTTGAGGTCACAGCTGTCTGAAGTGATGGATAACAATTTGGGAAAATAATATAATTAACAAAGAGTTGAAAATTAGAAGCTGAGGAACAAAATACAGTTGACCCTTGAACAGTGCAGAGTGTTGGGGGCGCCAACACCCCATGCACTCAAAAATCTGCATATAAATTTTGACTCTAAAAACTGAACTACTTATAGCCTACTCTTGGCTGGCAGCCTTAACAATAACATAAACAGTTATTAACACATATTCTGTGTGTTATATGCATTATATACTATATTCTTATGGTAAAGTAAGCTAGAGAAAAGAAAATGTTATTAAGAAAAGCGTAAGGAAGAGAAAATGTATTTACTATTCATTAAGTGGAAATGGATTATCATACAGGTCTTAATCCTTAACATCTTCATGTTAAGTAGGCTGAGGAGAGGAAAGAAGAGGAGGAGTTGGTCTTGCCATCTCAGGGGTGGCAAAGATAGAAGAGGTAGATGAGGTGAAAGGGGAAGTCCCTAAGCTCTCACCTCTGGATGATCTTGGGGCTCTGCATATGCAGTTGGTGGAGGCTAAGGCAGAGATGTAAACTGCCTGACTGAGTGTCACATACTCAGAGCCTCTCAATAAAGACTGGGAGAAGTATTGGTTGCAGACAACTAACTTAATAGCTGAGCACTAAGCTAACCAAGTAGAGATTCAGTGGCCACACATGACGAATACTGATTTTACAGAATTCGTTAACAAAAAGCCACTAACCAAACAAACAATCACTACAACAGGGAGCAACAACAACAAACATTGAGAAAGAGGGAAGAATATGATTTCCAGAATTGTTACATTATATGTTTAAAAGGCCTAGTTTTCAACAAAGGAGCCATGGAAGAAAACATGAAAGCATGACTTCTACACAGGAAGAAAAGGCAATCAGTACAAACTATACCTGACAAGCCAGATGTTGGCTTATGAGACATAGGATTTGAATCAACTAAGTTAAATATGCTCAAGAATTAAAGAAAACCATGTCTAAATAAGTAACAAAAAAATACAAAAAAAAGATGTCTCCAAATAGAAAACATCATTGAAGATGGAAATGTTTAAAAGGAGCCAAATAGAAATTCTAGAGTTGAAATGTTCAGAAGTGAAAATTTATTGGATGGTCAAAACAGAAGAGTTGGGCAGGCAGAAAAAAAGCAGTAAATTTGAAGACAGTGTTGAGATTATCCAGTTTAGTGAATAAAATAAGTAAGGAGGAGCAGAGTTTTGAGGACATGTGAGACTCTATCAAGGGTATCAACATATGCATTTTGTAGTCCCAGAAGGCGAGGGCTGAGAAAAAGGAACAAAGTATATTTTTAAAAATAATGGCTAATAAAACAAATATGTTGGAAACATTAATCTACACACCCAAGAAATTCAAAAACTGTAATTCAGATAAACTGAAAAGATCCATACCTAGACACAGTATAATCAAGCTACCAAAATCCAAAGAAAGATTTTTAAAACCATCAAAAGAAAAGCTAACTCATCATGGAAAAGAGATCCTCAATAAGATTAATAGTTGATTTATCAACAGAAAACAGAGTCTGCAAGGCAGTGGGATTAATTATTCAAAGTGTTGAAAAAAAAATCTGCCAGAGCCTTCTGGTTCTAGGTGCTTTGGGAGCTGCGGCTTAAGGTGCAGACATAACCAAGTCCAAGAACCATACCAAACACAACCAGTCCGAAAAATGGCACAGAAATGGTATCAAGAAACCCTGATCACAAAGATATGAATCTCTTAAGGGTGTGGACCCCAAGTTCCTGAAGAATATGCGCTTTGCCAAGAAGCACATCAAGAAGGGCCTAAAGAAGATGCAGGTCAACAATGCCAAGGCCATGAGTGCACATGCCAAGGCTATCAAGGCCCTCATAAAGCCCAAGGAAGTTAAGCTCAAGATCCCAAAGAGTGTCAGCAACAAGCTCGATTGACTTGCCTACATTGCCCACCTCAAGCTTGGGAAGTAGGCTCTTGCCCATGTTGTCAAGGGGCTCGGGCAGTGCCAGCCAAAGGCCAAGGGTCAAACCAAGGCCCAGGCTGCAGCTCCAGCTTCAGTTCCAGCTCAGGCTCCCAAAGGTGCCCAAGCCCCTACAAAGACTTCAGAGTGGATATCTCTGTCTACCAAGGTGAGGACAGAAGGAATGGTGCAACCTCCCCAATAGGCTGCCATCTGCATGGGGCTGGGGTCCTCTGGTGCTATTTGTACAAGTAAACCTGAAAAAAAAAATCTGTCAGCAGAGAATTCTACATCTGCCCATATAAAAAAAACAAAACCGGGTCTTCCATTCCAAGATGGTCGAATAGGAACAGCTCTGGTCTGCAGATCCCAGTGTGATCGATGCAGAAGATGGGTGATTTCTGCATTTCCAACTGAGGTACCTTGTTCATATCACTGGGACTGCTTGGACAGTGGGTGCAGCTCATGGAGGGTGAGCTGAAGCAGGGCGCAGTGTTGCCTCACCTGGGAAGTGCAAGGGGTTGGGGGATTTCCCTTTCCTAGCCAAAGGAAGCCATGACAGACTGTACCTGGAAAAATGGGACACTCCTGCCTAAATACTGTGCTTTTCCCAAGGTCTTAGCAACCAGCAGACCAGGAGATACTCTCCCATGCCTGGCTCACTGGGTCCCATGCCCACGGAGCCTTGCTCACTGCTAGCACAGCAGTCTGAGATCGACCTGCAAGGCAGTAGCCTCATGGGGGGAGGGGTGTCTGCCATTGCTGAGGCTTGAGTAGGTAAATAAAGTGGCCAGGAAGCTCGAACTGGGTGGAGCCCACCACAGCTCAGCCAGGCCTACTGCCTTTCTAGATTCCACCTCTGTGGGCAGGGCATAGATGAACAAAAGGCAGCAGAAACTTCAGCAGACTTAAACGTCTCTGTCTGACAGCTTTGAAGAGACCAGTGGTTCTCCCAGCACAGTGTATGAGCTCTGAGAATGGACAGGCTGCCTCCTCAAGTGGGTCCCTGAACCCTATGTAGCCTAACTGGGAGACACCTCCCAGTAGGGGCTGACAGACACCTCATACAGGCAGGTGCCCTTCTGAGACGAAGCTTCCAGAGGAAGGATTAGGCAGCAATATTTGCTGTTCTGCAAAACCTCCACTGGTGATACCCAGGCAAACAGGGTCTGGAGTGGACCTCCAGCAAACTCCAACAGACCTGCAGCTGAGGGACCTGGCTGTTAGAAGGAAAACTAACAAACAGAAAGGAATAGCATCACCATCAACAAAAAGGATATCCACACCAAAACCCCATCTGTAGGTCACCAAAATCAAAGACCAAAGGTAGATAAAACCACAAAGATGGGGAGAAAACAGAGCAGAAAAGCTGAAAATTCTAAAAACCAGAGTGCCTCTTCTCCTCCAAAGGATTGCAGCTCCTCACAAGCAACAGAACAAAGCTGGATGGAGAGCTACTTTGATGAGTTAACAGAAGTAGGCTTCAGAAGGTCAATAATAACAAACTTCTCCGAGCTAAAGGAGCATATTCTAACACATCACAAGGAAGCTAAAAACCTTGAAAAACGATTAGATGATGGCTAAACAGTGTAGAGAAGACCTTAAGTGACCTGATGGAGCTGAAAACCATGGCATGAGATCTTCATGACCCATGTACAAGTTTCAATAGCCGAGTCAATCAAGTGGAAGAAAGGGTATCAGTGATTGAAGATCAAATTAATGAAATAAAGTGAGAGGGCAAGTTTAGAGAAAAAAGAGTAAAAAGAAGTGAACAAAGCTTCTAAGAAATATGGGACTATGTGAAAAGACAAAATCTATGTTTAATTGGTGTACCTGAAAGTGACGGAAAGAATGGAACCAAGTTGGAAAAACACTCTTCAGGATATTATCCAGGAGAATTTCCCCAACCCAGAAAGGAGGGCCAACATTCAAATTCAGGAAATACAGAGAACATGACAAAGATACTCCTCAAGAAGAGCAACCCCAAGACACACAATTGTCAGATTCACCAAGGTTGAAGTGAAGGAAAAAATGTTAAGGGCAGCCAGAGAGAAAGGTCGGGTTACCCACAAAAGGAAGCCCATCAGACTAACAGCAGATCTCTCGGCAGAAACCCAAAAAGCCAGAAGAGAGAGGGGGCCCATATTCAACATTCCTTTTTTTTTTTTTTTTTTGAGATGGAGTCTCACGCTGTTGCCCAGGCTGGAGTGTAGTGGCACAATTTTGGCTCACTGCAATCTCTGCCTCCTGGGTTCAAGTGATTTTCCTGCCTCAGCCTCTCAAGTAGCTGGGACTACAGGCATGTGCCACTATGCCGAGCTAATTTTTGTATTTTTAGTAGAGATGGGGTTTCACTGCATTAGCCAGGATGTTCTCGATCCCCTGACCTCGTGATCTGCCCACCTCGGCCTCCCAAAGTGCTGGGATTACAGGTGTGAGCCACTGTGCCCGGCCTCAACATTCTTAAAGAAAAGAATTTTCAACCCCAGAATTTCATATACAGCCAAACTAAGCTTCATAAGTGAAGAAGAAATAAAATCCTTTACAGACAAGCAAATTCTGAGAGATTTTGCCACCAATGGGCCTGCCTTACAGGAACTCCTGAAGGAAGCACTAAACATGGAAAGAAACAAACGGTACCAGCCACTGCAAAAACATGCTAACTTGTAAAGACCATCGATGCTATGAAGAAACTGCATCAATTAACAGGCAAAATAACTAGCTAACATAATAACGACAGGATCAAAGTCACATGTAACTATACGTGTGTGTGTGTATGTGTGTATATATATATATATGTATATATATATATGTGTATATATATGTATATATATATGTGTATATATATATGTATATATATGTGTATATATATATGTATATATATATGTGTATATATATATGTATATATATATGTGTATATATATGTATATATATATGTATATATATGTGTATATATATGTATATATATATATGTATATATATATATATATATTTTTTTTTTTTTTTTTTTTTTTTTGAGACAGAGTCTGCTGTCACACAGGCTGGAGTCCAGTGGCACAAACTTGGCTCACTACAAGCTCCGGCTCCCGGGTTCACGCCATTCTCCTGCCTCAGCCTCCTGAGTAGCTGGGACTACAGGCACTCATCACCATGCCTTGCTATTTTTTTTGTATTTTTTAGTAGAGACGGGGTTTCACCATATTAGCCACGATGGTCTCAATCTCCTGACCTCGTGATCCACCTGCCTCAGCCTCCCAAAGTGCTGGGAGTCACACGTAACAATATTAACCTTAAATGTAAATGGGCTAAATGCCCCAGTTAAAAGATGCAGACTGAAAGAACTAGAGAAGCAAGAGCAAACAAATTCAAAATCTAGCAGAAGGCAAGAAATAACTAAGATCTGAGCACAACTGAAGGAGATAGAGACACAAAAATCCTTCAAAAAATCAAAGAATCCAGAAGCTGGTGTTTTGAAACAATCAACAAAATTCATAGACTGCTAGCAAGACTAATAAAGAAGAAAGAAGACCTACAAAGAGACTTAGACTCCCACACGATAATAATGGGAGACTTTAACACCCCACTATCAACATTAGACAGATCAACGAGACAGAAAGTTAACAAGGATACCCAGGAATTGAACTCAGCTCTGCACCAACCGGACCTAATAGACATCTACAGAACTCTCTACCCCAAATCAACAGGATATACATTTTCTTCAGCACTACACCACACTTATTCCAAAATTGACCACATAGTTGGAAGTAAAGCTCTCCTCAGCAAATGTAAAAGAACAGAAATTATAACAAACTATCTCTCAGACCACAGTGCAATCAAACTAGAACTCAGGATTAAGAATCTCACTCAAAACCACTCAACTACATGGAAAATGAACAACCTGCTCCTGAATGACTACTGGGTACATAACGAAATGAAGGCAGAAATAAAGATGTTCTTTGAAACCAACGAGACCAAAGACACAACATACCAGAATCTCTGGGACACATTCAAAGCAGTGTGTAGAGGGAAATTTATAGCACTAGATGCCCACAAGAGAAAGCAAGAAAGATCCAAAATTGACACCCTAACATCACAATTAAAAGAACTAGAAAAGCAAGAGCAAACACATTCAAAAGCTAGCAGAAGGCAAGAAATAACTAAAATCAGAGCAGAAATGAAGGAAATAGAGACACAAAAAACCCTTCAAAAAATTAATGAATCCAGGAGCTGGTTTTTTGAAAGGATCAACAAAATTGATAGACCACTAGCAAGTCTAATACAGAAAAAAAGAGAGAAGAATCAAATAGACACAATAAAAAATGATAAAGGGGATATCACCACCGATCCCACAGAAATACAAACTACCATCAGAGAATACTACAAACACCTCTACACAAATAAACTAGAAAATCTAGAAGAAATGGATAAATTCCTCGACACATACACTCTCCCAAGACTAAACCAGGAAGAAGTTGAATCTCTGAATAGACCAATAACAGGCTATGAAATTGTGGCAATAATCAATAGCTTACCAACCAAAAAGAGTCCAGGACCAGATGGATTCACAGCCGAATTCTACCAGAGGTACAAGGAGGAACTGGTACCTTTCCTTCTGAAACTATTCCAATCAATAGAAAAAGAAGGAATCCTCCCTAACTCATTTTATGAAGCCAGCATCATCCTGATACCAAAGCCGGGCAGAGACACAACAAAAAAAGAGAATTTTAGACCAATACCCTTGATGAACATTGATGCAAATATCCTCAATAAAATACTGGCAAACCGAATCCAGCAGCACATCAAAAAGCTTATCCACCATGATCAAGTGGGCTTCATCCCTGGGATGCAAGGCTGGTTCAACATACACAAATCAATAAATGTAATCCAGCATATAAAAAGAACCAAAGACAAAAACCACATGATTATCTCAATAGATGCAGAAAAGGCCTTTGACAAAATTCAACAACCCTTCATGCTAAAAACTCTCAATAAATTAGGTATTGATGGGATGTATTTCAAAATAATAAGAGCTATCTATGGCAAACCCACAGCCAATATCATACTGAGTGGGCAAAAACTGGAAGCATTCCCTTTGAAAACTGGCACAAGACAGGGATGCCCTCTCTCACCACTCCTATTCAACATAGTGTTGGAAGTTCTGGCCAGGGCAATTAGGCAGGAGAAGGAAATAAAGGGTATTCAATTAGGAAAAGAGGAAGTCAAATTGTCCATGTTTGCAGACGACATGATTGTATATCTAGAAAACCCCATCGTCTCAGCCCAAAATCTCCTTAAGCTGATAAGCAACTTCAGCAAAGTCTCAGGATACAAAATCAATGTACAAAAATCACAAGCATTCTTATACACCAACAACAGACAAACAGAGAGCCAAATCGTGAGTGAACTCCCATTCACAACTGCTTCAAAGAGAATAAAATACCTAGGAATCCAACTTACAAGGGATGTGAAGGACCTCTTCAAGGAGAACTACAAACCACTGCTCAATGAAATAAAAGAGGATACAAACAAATGGAAGAACATTCCATGCTCATGGGAAGGAAGAATCAATATCGTGAAAATGGCCATACTGCCCAAGATAATTTATAGATTCAATGCCATCCCCATCAAGCTACCAATGACTTTCTTCACACAATTGGAAAAAACTACTTTAAACTTCATATGGAACCAAAAAAGAGCCCGCATTGCCAAATAAATCCTAAGCCAAAAGAACAAAGCCAGAGGCATCATGCTACCTGACTTCAAACTATACTACAAGACTACAGTAACCAAAACAGCATGGTACTGGTACCAAAACAGAGATATAGATCAATGGAACAGAACAGAGCCCTCAGAAATAACGCCGCATATCTACAACTATCTGATCTTTGACAAACCTGACAAAAACAAGCAATGGGGAAAGGATTCCCTATTTAATAAATGGTGCTGGGAAAACTGGCTAGCCATATGTAGAAAGCTGAAACTGGATCCCTACCTTACACCTTATACAAAAATCAATTCAAGATGGATTAAAGACTTAAACGTTAGATCTAAAACCATAAAAACCCTAGAAGAAATCCTAGGCATTACCATTCAGGACATAGGCATGGGCAAGGACCTCATGTCTAAAACACCAAAAGCAATGGCAACAAAAGCCAAAATTGACAAATGGGATCTAATTAAACTAAAGAGCTTCTGCACAGCAAAAGAAACTACCATCAGAGTGAACAGGCAACCTACAAAATGGGAGAAAATTTTTGCCACCTACTCATCTGACAAAGGGCTAATATCCAGAATCTACAATGAACTCAAGCAAATTTACAAGAAAAAAGCAAACAACCCCATCAAAAAGTGGGCAAAGGACATGAACAGACACTTCTCAAAAGAAGACATTTATGCAGCCAAAAGACACATGAAAAAATGCTCACCATCACTGGCCATCAGAGAAATGCAAATCAAAACCACAATGAGATACCATCTCACACCAGTTGGAATGGCGATCATTAAAAAGTCAGGAAACAACAGGTGCTGGAGAGGATGTGGAGAAATAGGAACACTTTTACACTGTTGGTGGGACTGTAAACTAGTTCAACCATTGTGGAAGTCAGTGTGGCGATTCCTCAGGGATCTAGAACTAGAAATACCATTTGACCCAGCCATCCCATTACTAGGTATATACCCAAAGGACTATAAATCATGCTGCTATAAAGACACATGCACATGTATGTTTATTGTGGCATTATTCACGATAGCAAAGACTTGGAACCAACCCAAATGTCCAACACTGATAGACTGGATTAAGAAAATGTGGCACATATACACCATGGAATACTATGGAGCCATAAAAAATGATGAGTTCATGTCCTTTGTAGGAACATGGATGAAACTGGAAATCATCATTCTCAGTAAATTATCGCAAGAACAAAAAACCAAACACCACATATTCTCACTCATAGGTGGGAACTGAACAATGAGAACACATGGACACAGGAAGGGGAACATCACACTCTGGGGACTGTTGTGGGGTGGGGGGAGGGGGGAGGGATAGCATTGGGAGATATACCTAATGCTAGATGACGAGTTAGTGGGTGCAGCACACCAGCATGGCACATGTATACATATGTAACTAACCTGCACAATGTGCACATGTACCCTAAAACTTAAAGTATAATAATAATAAAAAAAAAGAAATGTAAAGACAAAAGGAAAAAAAAAAGAATCAAATAGATGCAAAAAAAAATGATAAAGGGGATATCACCACTGATCCCACAGAAATGCATACTACCATCAGAGAATACTATAAACACCTCTATGCAAATAAACTAGAAAATCTAAAAGAAATGGATAAATTCCTGGACACATACACCCTCCCAAGACTAAACACCAGGAAAAAGTTGAATCTCTGAATAGACCAATAACAGGCTATAAAATTGAGGCAATAATTAATAGCCTACCAACTAAAAATGTCCAGAAGCAGACAAGTT
The DNA here is from genome assembly GCF_000001405.40 of Homo sapiens. Lineage (NCBI taxonomy): Eukaryota > Metazoa > Chordata > Mammalia > Primates > Hominidae > Homo > Homo sapiens. Next base: position 63,108,546 of record NC_000011.10, on the reverse strand, counting down.
CACAGTCAAATTCTACCAGAGGTACAAAGAGAGCTGATACCATTCCTTCCGAAACTATTATAAAAAACAGAAAGAGAGGGAATCCTCCCTAACTCATTTCATGTGGCCAGCAACATCATGATACCAATGCCAGGCAGAGACACAACAAAAAAAGAATTTTAGACCAATATCCCTGATGAACATTGATATGAAAATCCTCAATAAAATACTGGCAAAACGAATCCAGCAGCACATCAAAAAGCTTATCCACCACGATCAAGTCGGCTTCATCCCTGGGATGCAAGGCTGGTTCGGCATATGCAAATCAATAAATGTAATCCATCACATAAACAGAACCAATGACAAAAACCACATGATTATCTCAATAGATGCAGAAAAGGCCTTTGACAAAATTCAATAGCCCTGCATGCGAAAAACTCTCAATAGACTAGGTATTGATGGGATGTATCTCAAAATAATAAGAGTTATTTATAACAAACCCACAGCCAATATCATACTGAATGGGCAAAAACTGGAAGCATTCCCTTTGAAAACTGGCACAAGACAGGGATGCCCTCTCTCACCACTCCTATTCAACATAGTGTTGGAAGTTCTGGCCAGGGCAATTAGGCAGGAGAAGGAAATAAAGGGTATTCAATTAGGAAAAGAGGAAGTCAAATTGTCCATGTTTGCAGATGACATGATTGTATATCTAGAAAACCCCATTGTCTCAGCCCAAAATCTCCTTAAGCTGATAAGCAACTTCAGCAAAGTCTCAGGATACAAAATCAGTGTGCGAAAATCACAAGCATTCCTATATACCAATAACAGACACACAGAGAGCCATATCATGAGTGAACTCCCATTCACAATTGCTTCAAAGAGAATAAAATACCTAGGAATCCAACTTACAAGGGATGTGACAGTACTTTTCAAGGAGAACTGCAAACCACTGCTCAAAAAAAATAAAAGAGGACACAAACAAGTGGAAAAACATTCCATGCTCATGGACAGGAAGAGTCAATACTATGAAAATGGCCATATTGCCCAAGGTAATTCATAGATTCAATGCCATCCCCATCAAGCTACCAATGACTTTCTTCACACAATTGGGAAAAACTACTTTAAACTTCATCTGGAACCAAAAAAGAGCCCACATTGCCAAGACAATCCTAAGCCAAAAGAACAAAGCTGGAGGCATCACACTACCTGACTTCAAACTACACTACAAGGCTACAGTAACCAAAACAGCATGGTACTGGTACCAAAACAGAGATATAGACCAATGGAACAGAACAGAGGCCTCAGAAATAACACCACACATCTACAACCATCTGATCTTTGACAAACCTGACAAAAACAAGAAATGGGGAAAAGATCCCCTATTTTAATAAATGTTGCTGGGAAAACTGGCTAGCCATATGTAGAAAGCTGAAACTGGATCCCTTCCTTACACCTTATACAAAAATTACTTCAAGATGGATTAAAGACTTAAATGTTAGATCTAAAACCATAAAAACCCTAGAAGAAAACCTAGTCAATACCATTCAGGTCATAGGCATGGGCAAGGACTTCATGACTAAAACACCAAAAGCAATGGCAACAAAAAGCCATAATTCACAGACGGGATCTAATTAAACTAAAGAGCTTCTGCACAGCAAAAGAAACTACCATCAGAGTGAACAGGCAACCTAAAAAATCGGAGAAAATTTTTGCAACCTACTCATCTGACAAAGGGCTAATATCCAGAATCTACAACGAACTCAAACAAATTTACAAGAAAAAAGCAAACAACCCCATCAAAAAGTGGGTGAAGGATATGAACAGACACTTCTCAAAAGAAGACATTTATGCAGTCAAAAAACACATGAAAAAATGCTCATCATCACTGGCCATCAGAGAAATGCAAATCAAAACCATGATGCGATACCATCTAACACCAGTTAGAATGGCGATCATTAAAAAGTCAGGAAACAACAGGTGCTGGAGAGGATGTGGAGAAATAGGAACACTTTTACACTGTTAGTGGAAAACTAGTGACAACCATTGTGGAAGTCAGTGTGGTGATTCCTCAGGGATCTAGAACTAGAAATACCATTTGACCCAGCCATCCCATTACTGGGTATGTACCCAAAGGATTATAAATCATGCTGCTATAAAGACACATGCACACATATGTTTATTGCAGCACTCTCCACAATAGCAAAGACTTGGAGCCAACCTAAATGTCCAACAACGATAGACTGGATTAAGAAAATGTGGCACATATACACCATGAAATACAATGCAGCCATAAAAAATGATGAGTTCATGTCCTTTGTATGGACGTGGATGAAACTGGAAACCATCGTTCTCAGCAAACTATCGCAAGGACAAAAAAACCAAACACCGCATGTTCTCACTCATAGGTGGGAATTGAACAATGAGAACACATGGACACAGGAAGGGGAACATCACACACCGGGGACTGTTGTGGGGTGGGGGGAGGGGGGAGGGATAGCTTTAGGAGATATACCTAATGCTAAATGACGAGTTAATGGGTGCAGCATACCAGCATGGCACATGTATACATATGTAACAAACCTGCACATTGTGCACATGTACCCTAAAACTTAAAGTATAATAATAATAAAATTTAAAAGAAAAAAATTCAGTTTTAAAAGGGCAACAGTGCATAAATGTTTGAAAAATTTGCAGCCTGATGATGTGATAGAAAAGAAAAACCCATTTTCTAAGGAGAAATTCAAGCCTGCTGCAGAAACTTGCATAAGTAATGAGGAGCCAAAGGCTAATCACCAAGAAAATGAGGAAAATGTCTCCAGGGCATGTCAGAGACATTTGGGCAGCCCCTCCCATCATAGGCCTATTTACCTAGGAGAAAAAAAAATGACTTACTGGGCTAAACCAAGGGACCCCTGCTGTGTGCATCCTAGGGGCAGGTGTCCTGAGTCCTAGCCACTGTAGCCATGGCCAAAACGGGCCAAGGGACAACTTGGGCTGTGGCTTCAGAGGATGCAAGCCCCAAGCCTTGGCAGCTTCCACGTGGTATTGAGCCTGCAGGTGCACAGAAGTTAAAAATTGAGGTTTAGCAACCTCCATCTAGATTTCAGAGAATGTATGGAAATGCTTAGATGTCCAGGAAGAAGTTTTCTGTGGGGCAGGACCCTCATGAAAACCTCTGCTAGGGCACTGCAGAAGGGAAATTGGGGCCAGAGCTCCCACAGAGAGTCCCCACTGGTACACTGCTGAGTGGAGCTGTGAGAAGGGGGCCACTGTCCTCTGGATCCCCGAACTGTAGATCCACCAACAGCTTGCACCATTTGCCTGGAAAAGCCACAGACACTCAATGCCAGACTGCAAAAGCATCCAGTAGAGGGGCTGTACCCTGTCCAAGCCACAGTGGCAGAGCTGCCAAAGACCATGGGAACCCACCCCTTGCATCGGCATGACCTGGATTTGAGACATGGAATCAAGGAACATCATTTGGAGCTTTAATATTTGACTGCCCTGCTGGATTTTGAACTTGCATGGGGCCTGCAGCCCCTTCATTTTGGTCAAATCCACTGCTATACCCCCATTGTATCTAGGAAATAACTAACTTGCTTTTGATTTTATAGGCTCATAGGCAGAAGGGACTTGCCTTGTCTCAGAAGAGACTTTGGACTGTGGACTTTTGAGCTAATGCCGAAAAAATTAAGACTTTGGGGGACTGTTGGGAAGGCATAATTGGTTTTGAAATATGAGAACATGAGATTTGGGAGGGACCAGGGCAGAATGATCTGGTTTAGTGAGGGACCCAGTGGGCGATAATTGAATCATAGGGATGGTTTCTCCCATACCGTTATTATGGTAGTGAATAAGTCTCATGAGATCTGATGATTTTATAAGGGCTTCCCTTTTGCTTCTCTTGCCTGCCACCAGGTAAGACATGCCACCATGATTCTGAGGCCTCCCCAGCCATGTGGAACTATGAGTTCATTAAACCTTTCTTTCTTTATAAGTTACCCAGTCTCAGGTATGTCTTTATCAGCAGTGTGAAAATGGACTAACACACTCATGGTTCTGTATAATCACTTTAACAAACACTTATTGATGGCCAGATACATCCTTCACCCTAGGAGTCCAGCAGAGGAGGCCAATTTGGTCAGAAATGACTCTACTATAATTTATAATGTCTGTATTAAATCAAAGGGGAAAGGAATTTCATGTTAAAGGTTAAGTGCCAAATAAGTAATTGTTTACTATACCTATGTTGTCTTCTTTCATCAGGAAGATGGTGGAGTCTGCTCGGTGGCTGATTATCAACAATCAGCTAGATGAGGGCTTAAAGGAGCTTAGAAGAGTTGCACACATAAATGGAAAAAAGAATACTGAAGAGACACTGACCACTGAGGTGATCTGGAAAGGGGAAATGATTGCTGTGATTAAATGAAAACATGACCTCACAATCATACTAGTCTAGGTTCCTGGAGTGACAGAATTAGACTTCTGTGAGTGGAGTCTTACATCTCTGTCCTGATAAAATATATATATCTTTCCTCCTGTCAAAGATTTGGATATAGATATTGAAATATACTGGGAGAAGTGGATATAATTGTTTAATTAAATTGATTGGGAAATTTTCATGCTCTTACCCTAGACGTATAGGGGAAAGTAATCAAAACACAATTTATTTCTCACTATTTTACTGACTCATGGTCCCCTCTGGGGAAAATAAGAAAGCCAATAAAATAAATTATAATTAATCATACAGAAGATAGATTTAAATGTGATTTTGACCCTTTATGTATTTATTCAATAATTCAATAAATATCCCATTGAGCACCAAATAAGTCAAATAAAGTTCTACACAATGTGGATACAGCAGTAAAATAGATAAAAGACCTTTTTGGCATTTACATTGTCTTCATCAGGGGTACTAATATTGTGTGTGCCAGAAAAACAGCTGAGAATTTTTCTTTTTTTGAAGTTTTTCTTCTCATGACTGGAAGCCAGAGCCTGACGTGGCTCATTCAAGCACTCTTTCACTCATTCCTTTAAAAATGCTTATTGCCTACCAGGGTGTACCAGGGTATTGTTAGATGTTGATAAGAAAATAAGTCAGAGTCTCTGACCTCAAAGAACTTAAATTTTACTATGGGACACAAAAATTAAGAGATCATTATAATATAGAATAGGTGCTATCATATGGTTATATGCAGAGTATTTTTGAGAAAACACAGAGGAAGTATCCACTTTAGCCTTAATAGGTCAGAAAAGGATTAGGAGTTAGCTGGTAAAAAGGAAGACAAATAGCATTTCAGGGATAAAATGAACTGGTTGGTATAAGCAAAACTAATAAATACATGTCAGTCCTGAAAGAGAGCAAATGCCCTGTAGAAGAACATGTTAGTAAAGGAAAACACAAAGATTCTAGCCTCTGGCCCCAAATGATTTCATCCCTCTGATATGCTAAGTAAATTAACACATGTACAATGTCTGGAAAAGTATTATTTCATTATAGCATATGCTCAAAGTCCAGAATTTCAATTAAGTTCGAGTGTGAACAAGCCTACTTATATGTAGTTCTCTAACTATAGGACCTTTGTGTTTGTATAAATTGACCTGTGAAACTAAAGACACAAGACATCTGTCTCCAACACATCCAGCATACAATAATGATAGCAGCATGGAATAACTACTGCAGATATTCCTGATCAAAATGGGAGAGACATGAGGTACAAGGAGTTCAGAGCAATTATGAAGTGCAGCCAGGCAAACGTTAGAAGTTCCTTGATTAGGTCTCAAGGCATGGAAAATGAAAGCAATTTGGCTCTCTGCTACAATCTCTTCCCTTTTGGATACAATTTATGAGTTTTCTTCCCTCTCATGAAAAAGAACATGTTTGCAGCTGAATGGTACTCTTATTCAGCTTTTCACCAGCAAGATTTGTGGGGTTACACAGGCTTTTTCATTTTGTACTGTCTCTATCCCACGCTATCATGTGTGCAGTGTTTTTTCCACCAAAGATTTCTCAAAAACATGGCAGATCACCTGTCAACCCATTGGGGTTTATTTTTGTTAGACAAAATTCACAGCAACAAACATCTTTGAGATAAGCTCTATTCTACCTATGGCTCCTGCTGAGATGGGTGACAGACCAGTGCATCTGAGTATCCTAGAGGCTGTATTTTTTTTATTGAGAGACATATTTTTAATCTCTTTAGAGGGCCCCTTGTTTCTGAATAATACACTGACTCTTTTATCTTTCTGGGATCTTAAGAAACAATCTCTAGGCCATGTTTTCATAACAGTATTCCAAAGCCATTTCTTTTTTCTTGATTTTAATTATTATGGGTACATAGTAGTTATAAATATTTATGGGGTATGTGAAATATTTTGATACAAACATACAATGCATAATAATCACATCAGAGTAAATGCGGTATCTATGATCTCAAGCAGTTATCCTTTCTTCATGTTACAAACAATTCAATTATTCTATTTTAGTCATTTTTAAATGTACAATATATTATTGTTCACTTTAGTCACACTGTTGTACCATCAAACACTTGACCTTATTCAATTTATCTAACTATATTTTCGTACCCACTAACCAACCTTATTCCCCCTCCACAACTACCCTTTCTTGTCTCTGCTAACCATCCTTCTACTCTTTATCTCCATGTATTCAATTGTTTTAATTTTTAGCTCCCACAAATGTTCCTGAGAACATGAAAAGTTCATCTTTCTGTGTCCGGCTTATTTCACTTAACATAATGACCTCCAGTTTCATCCATGTTGCTGCAAATTATAGAATCTCATTCTTTTTATGGCTGAATAGTACTCCATGTATACGTATCAACTTTTCTTTATCAATTTATTTGTAGATGGACACTTAGGTTGCCCCCATATCTTGGCTATTGTGAATGTTGCTGCAATAAACATGAAGTGCAGATATCTCTTCAAATATTGATTTCATTTCCTTTGGATAAAAACCAAGTAGTAACATTGCTGGATCATATGGAACTCCTGGGCTTTTTGAATCTTTTTACCTTATAGTAGTGATCCATATTAAGCTAACACTTATGCTTTATTTCTAATTTGTTTGATATTAATAATTGAATATCAGCATTAATTTAATTAACACTTACCTAGTATAATATTATATACAATTTTTGAATAGCAGCATTGATTCTTGCCTAGTGTAATATTATATGCAACTTTTGAAGAGTAGCATTAATTTAATAAACACTTACCTAGTGTAATTTAAAAAAAAAACAAGTAGTAACATTGCTGGATCATATGGTAGTTCTATCTTCAGTTTTTTGAGTAACCTCCAAAATATTTGCCGTAGTGATTGTACTAATTTACATTCCCTCCAACTGTGTATGAGGGTTGAGCTCCTTATATATTCTGGTTATTAATCCCTTGTCAGATGAGTAGTTTGCAAATATTTTCTCCCATTCTGCAGGCTGTCTCTTTACCTTGTTGATTATATCTTTTACTGTGCAGAAGCTTTTTAACATGATGTGATCCCATTTATCCAGTTTTACTTTGTCTGCCTGTGCTTCTGCTTGGCATATTACTCAAGAAATCTTTGCCCAGACCAATGACCTGGAGAGTTTCCCCAGTGCTTTGTTATAGTAGATGTATAGTTTGCAATCTTAGATGTAAGCATTTAATCCATTTTGATTTGATTTTTTATATGGTGAGAGCTTAGTTTCATTCTCCTGCAAATGGATATCCAGTTTTCTCAGCACCATTTATTGAAGAAATTGTCTTTTCCCTGAAGTATTTTCTTAGTACCTTTGTCAAAAATCAGTTCACTGTAGATGTAGGGATTTATTTCTGGCTTGTCTACTCTGTTCCATTGGTCTGTGTCTTTATGCCAGTACCATGCTGTTTTGGTAGTTACAGCTCTGTAGTATAATTTAGAGCCAGGTAACATGATTCCTCCAGTTTTATTCTTTTTACTCAGAGTAGCTTTGGCTATTCTAAGTCATTTGTGGTTCCACTAAAACATTAAGACTATTTTTTCTATTTCTGTGAAGAATATCATTGGTATATTGCATTGTATCTGTAGAATGCTTTGGGTAGTATGGACATTTTAACAATACTGATTAATCCAATCCATGAACATGGAATATATTTTCATTTTTTGTGTGTTCTCTTCGATTTCTTGCATCAGTGCTTTATAGTTTTCATTGTAGAGCTCTTTCACTTCTTTGATTAAAAATTTATTCCTAGGTATTTTATTTGTACCTATTACAAATGGTATTACTTTATTAATTTATTTTTCAGATTGTTCACTGTTGTCATATAGAAATGCCACTTATTTTTTATGTTGATTTTGTATCTTGCAACTTTACTAAATTTGTTTATCAGCTCATAGTTTTTTGTGGAGTGTTGGCTTTCCCAAATATAAGCTTATATCATTTGTAAACAAAGATAATTTAACTTCTTCCTTTCCAATTTGGATGCCATTTATATCTGTCTCTTGTCTGATTGCTCTAGCTAGGATTTCCAGTACTATGTTGAAAAACAGTAGTGAAAATGAGCATCCTTGTCTTTTTCTGAATTTTAGGGATAAGACTTTTAGTTTTTATCCATTTACTATGGTACTAGCTGTGTGTCTATCATATCTGGCTTTTATTATATTGGGGTATGTTCCTTCTATACTGAGATTTTTTTGAGTTTTTATCATGAAGGGAAGTTGAATTTTATCAAATGCTTTTTCAGCATCAACTGAAATGATTATGCAGTTTTTGTCCTTTATTCTGTTCATAGGATGTATCACATTGGTTGAATTGCATATGTCGAACCATCCTTGCATTCCTGGTCATAAATTCTGCCTGGCCGTGAAAAACAGTCTTCTTCACGTGTCATTGAAATTGGCTTGCTAGTATTTCATTGAGGATTTCTGTATCAATATTCATCAGGGATATTAACCTGTAGTTTTCTTTTTTATCTGTCTCTGTCTGGTTTGGGTATCAGAGTAATACTGGCCTCACAGAATGGGTTTGAAAGTATTTTCTCCTCCCGTATTTTTTCAGAATAGTTTGAGTAGGATTAGTACTAGTTCTTTAAATGTTTGGTAAGGCCAGCAATTTGGGAGGCCAAGGCAGAAGAATTGCTTGAGTCCAGGAGTTCAAGACCAGCCTAGGCAACATAGACCCTATCTCTACAAAAAAAAAAAAAAAAAAAAAAAAAAAAATCTTAAAAATTAGCCAGGTGTGGTGGTACAGACTGTGGTCCCAGCTGCTCAGGGGGTGAGATGGAACAATCACCTCAGCCTGGAAGGTTGAGGCTGCTATAAGCCATGAAAGCATCACTGCACTCCAGCCTGGACAAAACAGTGAGACAGCAACTCAAAAAAATTTTAAATATAAATAAAAACCAATAAATATTTGTTAACATGCATCAGCGAAATCATCAGTTCCTGTGCTTACTTTGCTGGGAGACTTTGTATTGTGGCTTCAATGTCATTACTTCTTATTGGTCTGTTCAGGTTTTGAATTTCTTCATGGTTCAATCTTGATAAGTTGCATGTGACTAGGAATTTATTCATTTTTTTCTAGCTTTTATAATGTATTGGCATACTGTTGCTCATACCAGCCTTTAATAACCCTTTGAATTTCTGCAGTATTGGTTGTAATGTCACCTTTTTCATTTCTGATTTTATTTGAGTCTTCTCTCTTTTTTCTTAGCCTAGAAGTTTGTCAATTTTGTTTATCTTTTCAAAAAGCCAGCTTTTGTTCATTTTTTGTATTGTTTTCTCTCAATTTCATTTCTTTCTCCTCTGATCTTTGTTACTTCTACTATTTTGGGGGTTTGGTTTGCCCTTGTTTTTCTAATTCTGTAAGACACATCATTAGATTGTTTAGTTTTTTTATTTGTTTGTTTGCTTGCTTGTTTGTTTTTTTGAGATGGAGTCTCACTCTGTCACCTAGGCTGGAGGGCAGTGGTGTAATCTTGGCTTACTGCAACCTTCAGCTCCCAGGTTCAAGTGATTCTCCTCCCTCAGCCACCCAAGTAGCTGGGTGGCATGTGCCACCATGCCTGGCTAATTTTTGCATTTTTAGTAAAGACAGGTTTTCACCATGTTGGCCAAGCTGCTCTTACACTCCTGACCTCAAGTGAGCCACCCACTTTGGCCTCCCAAGTGCTGAGATTATAGGCATGAGCCACTGTGCCTGCCAATATTTGAAGTTTTTATACATTTTGGATGTAGGCACTAATTGCTATAAATTTGCAATTAGTACCACTTTCTCTCTGTCCCATAGGTTTTGGTATGTTGTGTGTCCACTTTCATTTGGTTCAAGATAGTTTTAATTTCTGTCTTCATTTATTCATTAACCCACTGGTCATTCAGGAACATATTGTTTAATTTCCATGTGTCTGTATAGTTTCTAAAGTTTCTCTTGTTACTGAATTCTAGTTTTATTCCACTGTGGTAAGAGATGATGCTTGATATTATTTCCATTTTTTAAACTTTTTAAATTATAATTTAAGTTCTGAAATACATGTGTAGAACATGCAGGTTTGTTACATAGGTATACATGTGCCATGGTGGTTTGCTGCACCCATCAACCCATCATCTAGGTTTTAAGCTTCACATGCATTAGGTATTTGTCCTAATGCTTTCCCTCCTTTTGCCCCCCATCCCCCAACAGGCCCTGGTGTGTGATGCTCCCCTCCCTGTGTCCATGTGTTCTCATTGTTCAGCTCCCACTTATGAGTGAAAACTCATGGTGTTTGGATTTCTGCTCCTGTGTTAGTTTGCTGAAAATGATGGTTTCCAGCTTCATCCATGTAGGGACATGGATGAAGGACATGAACTCATTATTTTTCATGGCAGCATAGTATTCCGTGGCATATATGTGCCCCGTTTTCTTTATCCAGTCTATCATTGATGCACATTTGGGTTGGTTCCAAGTCTTTGCTATTGTGAACAGTGCTGCAATAAACATATGTGTCTTTATAGTAGAATGATTTATAATCCTTTGGGTATATACCCAGTAATGGGATTGCAGGGTCAAATGGTATTTCTGGTTCTAGATCCTTGAGGAGTTGCCACACGATCTTCCACAATGATTGACCTAATTTACACTCCCATGGTGTAAAAGCATTCCTATTTCTCCACATCCTCTCCAGCATCTGTTGTTTCCTGACTTTTTAATGATCGCCATTCTAACTGGCATGAGATGGTAACTTACTGTGGTTTTGATTTGCATTTCTCTAATGACCAGGGATGATGAGCTTTTTTTCATGTTTGTTGGCTGCATAAATATCTTCTTTTGAGAAATGTCTGTTCATATACTTCACCCACTTTTTGATGGGGTTGTTTTTTTTTTCTTGTAAATTTGTTTAAGTTCCTTGTAGATTCTGGATATTAGCCCTTTGACAGATGGATAGATGATAGATTGCAAAAGTTTTCTCCCATTCTGTAGGTTGCCTGCTCACTATGATGATAGTTTCTTTTGCTGTGCACAGCCTGAAATATTTACTTACTGGAGCTCTATGTAAAAGTCTCCCATATCCTGCACTAAATCATAAATGTAAGAAATGAATTAATATTATTTTTAAAAATAATGTTTCTACTCCTGTGCTAAATACATTTTATATTTACATGTAAGACTTCAGATAATTATTAGATAATCCCTATGAAAGAAACGCTAAATTCATTTTCTAAATGATAAGAAAACTAAGCACCTGAGATAAGTAATATATCAAATGGCAGGGCTGAAATTCCAAGCCAGACTTGTGCAAGCCTAAAACCATCTCCTTTCCAACAACTATATTTCACTTCTTCAAATATCTGGCTTAGGCAAAAATCATACTCCACCAACACATCCCCAACTTTTTTCCTTGCCTTCACTTCTGTGCACTCCACTCATGAGGGGACCCAGCAATCCCATTACTGGGTATATACCCAAAGGATTATAAATCATTCTACCATAAAGACACATGCACACATATTTTTATTGCAGCACTGTTCACAATAGCAAACACTTGACTGGCATATCTAGAGAATAATTGCTCAGAAGCTAATCATAAAGTGGACCCAGCTTTCAAGAAAGCTATTGACTTATAAAAATAAACACCTTCTCTCATAACAAAGGAAGGACAAGTATTTCATGCCCAGTGGATAAGAAAGAAACCTTTAACCTTTAAACAAATACCGTTTCATTTCCTCCGATTTATAATGCAAATATTTTTGTTAATGCTTTTACCTATCACTGGCTCAGTGTTTAACCTGGTTTTATTCCTATATAATTCCTCTGAGTTCCCATTTCTTCCTACACCTTTTGTAACACTTCACACATGAGATGAATTATTTAATGCTCATATTCCCCACTAGACAGAAATTTCCTTGAGGATAGTTTACAATATGTCTATCTTGTTCTCTAGTACTTACCACTATGCCTGACACATTATTGACATCTCACAAATGCTTGTTGTTATTTTTGTTGCTGAAGCTTGTGAGATCCACCATGAAGAAGGAGTTGGATGCAGTCCGAATTAAAACATCCATTTTTTCCCTGTTCCGTGCACCCAAATTGCGAATGAGAGTCTTCGGCCTGTGCTTTGTGAGGTAAGTTCCATTTGGTGATGATTCACTTTAAAATATTGGAGACACAAAACTGTTTCTTCTTTCAAAAGATTAGCAGCAGCATTTGGAGGACATTTAATACATAAGAGAAGAGAAAATCACATACAAATGTATGCCTCTAAGTGCCACATTTTTAGATAGCCTAATATTATGACAGGACAGTGGGACCTAACCACATAGTTAAAACTTATCAGCATCATATTCCAGCACAAAGTTTATCACTGGATATTATGGTGATAGTAAGTTTTACCATAAAACATAGTTTAATTTTTTGATTTTCTAATTTTTTATTCACTAAAGAAGTTACATCAACTGGCTGTCTAGATCAATTTTGCAAATCTATAAAACTATGTAACCACCACCCAGACAAGCTCATTTTCAGCATCCTGAATCATCTCTCATGTCTCTTTCACCCTAGTTAATACTTCTCCAAAACCACCAACTGTACTTACTGCTATCCCTGCAGATTACATTTGCTGGTTCTTGAATTTAATATTAATGGAATCATGCTATCTGTGTACCTTTAAATATGTGAAATTTATTCATTTTGTCTTGCATAACAGTAATTTGGTCTTTTAATTAATTGTAGGTCATTTTCTCTTATATGAATATTCCATAAGTTATCTGTCTATTCTGGTGTTCATGGGTTTTGGATTTTTTTCCACTTGTGGGCTATTATGAATTCCTGGGTTTAAGGCACATGTATATTTGGCTATAGTGAACTATCAATCAATATTCCAAACTGGATGTGCAAATGTGCACTTCAACTGGCTAGCCATATGTAGAAAGCTGAAACTGGATCCCTTACACCTTACACAAAAATTAATTCAAGATGGATTAAAGACTTAAATCTTAGACCTAAAACCATAAAAACCCTAGAAGAAAACCTAGGCATTACCATTCAGGACATACGCATGGGCAAGGACTTCATGTCTAAAACACCAAAAGCAATGGCAACAAAAGCCAAAATTGACAAATGGGATCTAATTAAACTAAAGAGCTTCTGCACAGCAAAAGAAACTACCAGCAGAGTGAACAGGCAACCTACACAATGGGAGAAAATTGTTGCAACCTACTCATCTGACAAAGGGCTAATATCCAGAATCTACAAAGAACTCAAACAAATTTACAAGAAAAAAACAAACAACCCCATTAAAAAGTGGGTGAAGGATATGAACAGACACTTCTCAAAAGAAGACATTTATGCAGCCAAAAGACACATGAAAAAATGCTCACCATCACTGGCCATCAGAGAAATGCAAATCAAAACCACAATGAGATACCATCTCACACCAGTTAGAATGGCGATCATTAAAAAGTCAGGAAACAACAGGTGCTGGAGAGGATGTGGAGAAACAGGAACACTTTCACACTGTTGGTGGGACTGTAAACTAGTTTAACCATTGTGGAAGTCAGTGTGGCGATTCCTCAGGGATCTAGAACTAGAAATACCAGTCGACCCAGCCATCCCATTACTGGGTATATACCCAAAGGATTATAAATCATGCTGCTATAATGACACATGCACATGTATGTTTATTGTGGCACTATTCACAATAGCAAAGACTTGGAACCAATCTAAATGTCTAACAATGATAGACTGGATTAAGAAAATGTGGCACATATACACCATAGAATACTATGCAGCCATAAAAAATGATGAGTCCATGTCCTTTGTAGGGACTGGAAACCATCATTCTCAGCAAACTATCGCAAGGACAAAAAACCAAACACTGCATGTTCTCACTCATAGGTGGGAATTGAACAATGAGAACACATGGACACAGGAAGGGGAACATCACACTCTGGGGACTGTTGTGGGGTCGGGGGAGGGGGGAGGGATAGCATTAGGAGATATACCTAATGCTAAATGATAAGCTAATGAGTGCAGCACACCAACATGGCACATGTATACATATGTAACAAACCTGCACATTGTGCATATGTACCCTAAAACTTAAAGTATAATAATAACAAATTTTTTTTTAAATACAGGAAAAAAAGAATTTTGGTTGTTCCATATTTTGCCAATATGACTTATTGTGAAATCTTTTAAGTTCATAATTCCAATGACTGCATATAGTATCACATTGTAAATTTAATTTGCATTTTATTTTTTTAACTTACATTTTAAGTTCAAGGGCACATGTGCAGGTTTGTAATATAGGTAAACTCGTGTCACAGGAGTTTGTGGTACAGATTATTTCATCACCCAGGTATTGAGCCTAATACCCATTAGTTATTTTTCCTGATCCTCTCCCTCCTCCCACCTTCCCCAATTAGGTAGGCCCCAGTGTCTATTGTTCCCCTCTATGTGATGATGTGTTCTCATCATTTAACTCCCACTTGTAAATAAAAATATGCAGGATTTTGTTTTCTGTTTCTGCATTAGTTTGCTAAGGATAATAACCTCCAGCCCCACCCATGTTCCTGCAAAGGACATCATTCCATTCCTTTTTATGGCTGCATAGTATTCCATGGTGTATATGTGCCACATTTTCTTTATCTAGTCTATTATTGATGGGTCTTTGGGTTGGTTCCAAGACTTTACTATTATAAATAGTGCTGCAATAAACATACGTGTGCATGTGTTTTTATGGTAGAATGATTTATAATACTTTGGGTATATACCCAGCAATGGGATTGCTGGGTCAAATAATATTTCTGGTTCTAGATCTTTGAGGAATCACCACACTACTCTCTTCTACAATGGTTGAACTAATTTACACTCCCACAAACAGTGTAAAAGCGTTTCTACTTCTCCACAGCCTCTCCAGCATCTGTTGTTTCCTGACTTTTTAATGAGTACCATTCTAACTGGCATGGGATGGTATCTCATTGTGGTTTTGACTTGCATTTCTCTAATGACCAGTGACGATGAGCTTTTTTTCATGTTTGTTGGCCACATAAATGTCTTCTTTTGAGAAATGTCTGCTCATGTCCTTTGCCCACTTTTTGATGGGGTTGTTTGTTTTCTTGTAAATTTGTTTAAGGTTCTTGTAGATTCTGGATATTAGCCTTTTGTCAGATAGGTAGCTTGCAAAAATTTTCTCCCATTCTGTAGGTTGCCTGTTCACTCTGATGATAGTTTATTTTGCTGTGCAGAAGCTCTTTAGTTTGATTAGATTCCATTTGTCAATTTTGACTTTTGTTTCAATTGCTTTTTGTGTTTTAGTCATGAAGTCTTTGCCCATGCCTGTGTCCTGAATGGCACTGCCTAGCTTTTCTTACAGAGTTTTTATGGTTTTGGGGTTTTACATTTAAATTTTTAATCCATCTTGAGTTAATTTTTATATAAGGTGTAGGAAAGGGGTCCAGTTTCTGTTTTCTGCATAAAGATAGCCAGTTTTCCCAGCACATTAATTAAATAGGGAATCTTTTCCCCATTGCTTGTTTATGTCAGGTTCGTCAAAGATCAGATGGTTGTAGATGTGCGGTGTTATGCTGTTTTGGTTACTGTAGCCTTGTAGTATAGTTTGAAGTCAGGTAGCATGATGCCTCCAGCTTTATTCTCTTTCCTTAGGATTTTCTTGGCTATACAGTGTCCTTTTTGATCCATTTGAAATTTGAACTAGTTTTTTCTAATTCTACAAAGAAAGTCACTAGTAGCTTCATGGGAATAGCATTGAATCTATAAATTACTTTGGGCAGTATGGTCATTTTCACTATATTGATTATTCCCATCCATGAGCATGGAATTTTTTTCCATTTGTTTGTGTCCTCTCTTATTCCTTGAGCACTGGTATGTAGTTCTTCTTGAAGAAGTCCCTCATGTCCCTTGTAAGTTGTATTCCTAGGCATTTTATTCCGTTTGTAGCAATTGTGAATGGGAGTTCACTCAGGATTTGGCTCTCTGCTGGTCTATTGTTGGTGTATAGGAATGCTTGTGACTTTTGCATATTGATTTTGTATCCTGAGACTTTGCTGAAGTTGCTTATCAGCTTAAGGAGTTTTGGGGCTAAGATGATGGGGTTTTCTAAATATACAATCATGTCATCTGCAAACAGAGACAATTTGACTTCCTCTCTATTTAAATACCTTTATTTCTTTCTCATGCATGATTGCCTTGGCCAGAACTTCCAATACTATGTTGAATAGGAGTGGTCAGAGAGGGTATCTTTGTCTTGTGCCGGTTTTCAAAGGAAATGCTTCCAGTTTTTGCCATTTAGAATGATATTGGCTATGGATTTGTCAAAAATAGCTCTTATTGTTTTGAGATATGTTCCATCAATACCTAGTTTATTGAGAGTTTTTAGCATGAAAGGGTGTTGAATTTTATCAAAGGCCTTTTCTGCATCTATTGAGATAATCATGTGGTTTTTGTCATTGGTTCTGTTTATGTGATGGATTATGTTTATTGTTTTGTGTATATTGAACTAGGCTTGCATCCCAGGGATAAAGCTGACTTGATCGTGGTGGATAAGCTTTTTGATGTGCTGCTGAATTCAGTTTGACAGTATTTTATTGAGGATTTTCTCATCGATGTTCACCAGGGATATTGGCCTGAAATTTTCTTTTTTGTTGTTGTGTCTCTGCCAGCTTTTGGTATCAGGAAGATGCTGGCCTCATAAAATTAGTTAGGGAGAAGTCCCTCTTCCTCTATTGTTTGGAATAGTTTCAGAAGGAATGGTACCAGCTCCTCTTTGTACCTCTGGTAGACTTCGGCTGTGAATCTCTCTGGTCCTTGCCCTTTTTTGGTTGGTAGGCTATTACTCACTGCCTCAATTTCAGAACATGTTATCGTCCTACTCAGGGATTTGACTTCTTCCTAAGTTCATCTTGGGAGGGTGTGTGTGTCCAGAAATTTATTCATTTCTTCTAGATTTTCTAGTTTATTTGCGTAGAGGTGTTTATAGTATTCTTTGATGGTAGTTTGTACTTCTGTGGGATCAGTGGTGATACCTCTTTTTCTCTCTTTTCTTCTTTATTAGTCTAGCTAGCGGTCCATCTATTTTGTTAATCTTTTCAAAAAATCAGCTCCTGGATTCATTGATTATTTGAAGGGTTTTTCATGTCTCTATCTCCTTCAACTCTACTATGATCTTATTTCTTAATTCTTGTCTTCTGCTAGCTTTTGAATTTGTTTGCTCTTGCATCTCTAGTTCTTTTAATTGTGATATTAGAATGTCAGTTTTAGATCTTTCCAGCTTTCTGTGGTAGGCATTCAGGGCTACAAAATTTCTTTCTTAACACTGCTTTACCTGTGTCCCAGAGATTCTGGTACTTGGGGTCTTTGTTCTCATTGGTTTCAAATAACTTCTTTTTTTTTTAAGATAGCTATTATTTATTTATTTATTTATTTATTTATTGTACTTTAAGTTCTGGGGCAAAGAACTTCATTTCTGCCTTAATTTCATTATTTACCCAGTAGTCATTCAGGCACAGGTTGTTCAATTTCCACGTAGTTGTGTGGTTTTGAGTGAGTTTCTTAATCCTGAGTTCTAATTTGATTGCACTGTGGTCTGAGAGACTGTTATGATTTCCGTTCTTTTGCATTTGCTGAGGAATGTTTTACTTCCAATTATGTGGTCAATTTTAGAATACATGCTGTGTGGCACTAAGAATGTATATTCTCTTGATTTGGGGTGGAGAGTTCTGTAGATGTCTATTAGGTCTGCTTGGTTCAGAGCTGAGTTCAAGTCCTGAATACCCTTGTTAATTCTCTGTCTTGTTGCTCTGTCTAATATTGACAGTGGGGTGTTAAAGTCTCCCACTATTATTGTGTGGGAGTCTAAGCCTCTTTGTAGGTCTCTAAGAACTTGTTTTATGAATCTGGGTATTCCTCCATTGGGTGCATATATATTTAGGATAGTTAGCTCTTCTTGTCGCATTGATCCCTTTACCATTATGTAATGCCATTCTTTGTCTTTTTTTTTTTTTTTTTTTTTTTTTGAGACAGAGTCTCGTTCTGTCGTCCAGGCTGGAGTGCAGTGGCCCGATCTCAGCTCTCTGCAAGCTCTGCCTCCTGGGTTCACGCCATTCTCCTGCCTCAGCCTCCCGAGTAGCTGGGACGACAGGCGCCCACCACCACGCCTGGCTAATTTTTTGTATTTTTAGTAGAGACGGGGTTTCACCGTGTTAGCCAGGATGGTCTCGACCTCCTGACCTTGTGATCCACCCGCCTCGGCCTCCCAAAGTGCTGGGATTACAGACGTGAGCCACCGCGGCCGGCCTTGTTCTTTGTCTTTTTTAATCTTCGTTGGCTTAAAGTCTGTTTTATCAGAGACTAAGATTGCAACTCCTGCTTTTTTTGCTTGCCATTTTCTTGATAAATCTTCCTCCATCCCTTTATTTTGAGCCTATGTGTATCTTTGCACATTAGATGAGTCTTGACTCTTTATCCAGTTTGTCATTCTGTGTCTTTTAATTGAGGCATTTAGCCCATTTACATTTAAGGTTAATATTGTTATGTGTGAATTTGATCCTATCATCATGATGCTAGCTGGTTATTTTGCCCATTAGTTGATGCGCTTTCTTCATAGTGTTATTGCTCTGTATATTTTGCTGTGTTTCAGCAGTGGCTGGTACCAGTATTTCCTTTCCATATTTAGTGCTTCCTTCAGGTGCTCTCATAAGGCAGGCCTGGTGGTGACAAAATCCCTTAGTATTTGCTTGTCTGGAAAGGGTTTTGTTTTTCCTTCACATGAAACTTAATTTGGTTGGATATCAAATTCTGGGTTGAAAATTCTTTTCTTTAAGAATGTTGAATATTGGCCCCCACTCTCTTCTGGCTTGTAGGGTTTCTGCAGAGTGATCCACTTTTAGTCTGATGGGGTTCCCTTTGTAGGTAACCTGACCTTTCTGGCTGCCCTTAACATTTTTTCCTTTGTTTCAATCTTGGAGAATCTGACAATTATGTGTCTTGGGGTTTGCTCTTCTTGAGGAGTATCTTAGTGTTGTTCTCTGTATTTCCTGAATTTGAATGTTGGCCTGTCTTGCTAGGTTGGGGAAGTTCTCCTGGATAATATCCTGAAGTGTGTTTTCCAGTTTGGTTCATTCTGCCCATCATTTTCAGGGACACCAATTTATCGTAGGTTGTGTCTTTTCATAGTCTCATGTTTCTTGGAGGCTTTGTTCATTCCTTTTCATTCTTTTTTCTCTAATCTTTTCTTCACACGTTATTTCAGGAACTTGATCTTCATTCTCTGATATCCTTTATTCTGCTTGATCAATTTGGCTATAATATTTGTATGTACTTCATGAAGTTCTCATGCTGTGATTTTCAGCTCCATCAGGTAATTTATGTTTTTCTCTAAACTGGTCATTCTAGTTAGCAGTTCCTGCAACCTTTTATCAAGGTTCTTATCTTCCTTGCCTTGGGTTAGAATATGCTCCTTTAGCTCAGAGGAGTTATTACCCACCTTCTGAAGTCTACTTCTGTCAATTCATCAGTCTCATTCTCTGCCCAGTTTTGTTCCCTTGCTGGAGAGGAGTTGGGATCATTGGAGAGAAGAGGCATTCTGGTTTTTGCAATTTTCAGCATTTTTGCACTGATTTTTCCTCAACTTCTTGGATTTATCTACCTTTGATTGTTGAGGCTGATGACCTTTAGGTGGGGTTTTTGTGTGGAGTCCTTTATGTTGATGTTGATGTTGATGTTGTAGCTTTCTGTTTGTTACTTTTCCTTCTAACAGTCAGGTCCCTCTTTGGCAGGTCTGCTGCAGTTTGTTTGAGGTCCACTCCAGACCCTTTTCACCTGGGTATCACCAGTGGAGGTTGCAGAACAGCAAAGATTGCTGCCTGCTTCTTCCTCTGGAAGCTTCATCCCAGAGGGGCACCAGCCTGATGCCAACTGGAGCTCTCCTGTATGAGGTGTCTGTTGACCCCGTTGGGAGGTTTCTCCCTGTCAGGAGGCGTGGGGGTCAGGGACCCACTTGAGGAGGCAATCTGTCCCTTAGCAGAGCTGGTGCACTCTATTGGGAGAATCACTCTTGTCAGGATCAGCTGTGCTCTTCAGAGCTGGCAGGCAGGAATGACTAAATTTGCTGAAGCTGCGCCCACAGCCACTCCTTCCCCCAGGTGTTCTCTTCCAGGGAAATGAGGATTTTGTCTGTAAACCTCTTACTGGGGCTGTTGCCTTTCCTTCAGAGATGCTTTGCCCGGTGAGGAGAAATCTAGAGAAGCAGTCTTGCCACAGCCACTTTACCATGCCCAGCCCAGACCTCCCATCCTCCTTAGCACTGTCAGGGGAAAACTGCCTACTAAAGCCTCAGGAATGGCGCACACCCCTCCCCCCACCAAGCTCCATCGTCCCAGGCAGGCTTCAGACTACTGCGCTGGCAGCAAGAATTTCAAGCCAGTGGTTCTTAGCTTGCTGGGCTCCATGGGAGTGGGACTCACTGAGCGAGACCACCTGGCTCCATGGCCTCAGCCCCTTTTCCAGGGGAGGGGAGTAAATGGTTCTGTCTTGCTAAGGTTCCAGGCACCACTGGAATATGAAAAAATACTGCTGCAGCTAGCCCAGTGTTTGCCCAAAGAGCCACCTAGTTTTGTGCTTGAAGCCCAGGGCCCTGGTGGTATAGGCACACGAGGGAATCTCCTGATCTGCAGATTGCAAAAACTGTAGGAAAAGTGTAGTAACCCGGCCATGTAGCACAGTCCCTCATGGCTTCCCTTGGTTCAGGGAGGGAAGTCCCTGGCTCCTTGCACTTCCCGGGTGAGCTGACGCCCCACCCTGCTTCTGCCTGCCCTCTGTGGGTTGCAGCCACTGCCTAACCAGTCCCAATGAGATGAACTGGGTGCCTCAGTTGAAAATGCGGAGATCACCCACCATCTGCATGGGTCTTGCTGGGAGCTGCAGACCAGAGCTGTTCCCACTTGGCCATCTTGGCCCCTCCCTGATTTCTACTCTTATTTTTATTATTTCTTTGCTTCTACTTACTTGGGTTTCTCTCTCTCTCTCTCTCTCTCCCTCTGTGTGTGTGTGTGTGTGTGTGTGTGTGTGTGTGCGCCCTCCAGGCAGAAAAGCTTAATTCATTTTTTTTGCAAACTTTCATTTTTCCTAATAAATGCACAGTACTACAAAGGAACTATAAAGTTCCCTGTTAGCATTGCCAAACCTACATCCCATATTTTTTTAACAAATTGTATTGTGTATGTTTAAGGTATACACTATGATGTTATGAGAGATGTGTATAGTAAAATTATTATAGTGAGACAAATTAGCATATTCATAATCTCACATAGTTACTCATTTCCATATATTTTGAGATATTGTATTTTTATTCTAAATTAGTCTAAATTTCTAATTCATGATTTGGATCCTCTTTGACCCAATGGTTTTGGATAAATGTTGTGCTTAGTTTCCAAATAGCTGTGGACCTTCAAGTTATTGTCTATTTTGGTAAAAATTCAATATAAAATTTTTTAAGTTTTATTTTAGGCTCAAGGGTACATGAGCAGGCTTGTTATATAGGTAAACTCATTTCACAGAGGTTTGTTGTACAGATTATTTTTGTTTTTCTCTTCTCTGTGTCCATATGTACTCAATATTTAGCTCCCACTCATAAGTGAGAACATGTGGTATTTGATTTTCTGTTTCTGTGTTAGTTCAGTTAGGATAATGGCCTCTAGCTATATCTATGTTGATGCAAAGGACAGGATCTTGTTCCTCTTTATGGCTGCATAGTATTCCATGGTGTATGTGTACCACATTTCCTTTATCCAGTCTACCATTGATGGGCATTTAGGTTGATTCTAGGTCTTTACTATTATGAATAAGCTGTGATGAACACAGACATACATGCATCTTTATAGTAGAATGATTTATATTCCTTTGGGTGTATATCCAATAATGGGATTGCTGGGTCAAATGGTAATTCTGTTTTAAATTCCTTGAGGAATCACCATACTGCTTTCCACGAATGGCTGAACTAATTTACATTCCCACCAGCAGTGTATAAGCATTCTCTTATCTCTCCATCCTCACCGGTATCTGTTATTTTTTGACCATTTAGTAATAGCCATTCTGACTGGTGTGAGATTGGATCTCCTTGTAAAGAAGTTTCTATATCATGGATTAGGAGAGTGACAACCAGACTGCTTTCAGGCACTAAAGACTAGAGTCCCTGATAGTGCTAATATGATAGCCAGCAAAAGAAAATATGTGCATTCTGCTCATATATGTTTGCAGGGAGAATAATCATTGGTTTTGGCAGGATTATGATAATTATTTTGTTATTATCATTACCATCATCGTCATCATTGTCACCATTCATCGTCATGACCTCCTGATGTCTATGGAAAATATAAAATGTGCGAAGGCACTGGGCTATGTGTTAAGGTTGCAGAGGCATTAAGATCTAAACTCTGCATTCAAGGAACTTAAATAGAATATTTGCTTTTTATTTCTTTATTTGTTCATCTGTTTGTATTTTCTTTTCCTCTCCATAAATTATCATTTCAGTCAAAAAATGGAACTATGCAAATTGATTTCATGTCTCAGACGAAAACCTGCTGTCAAAGCAAATTACAAAATTAAGGACACCCTTTAATTAGCCTAATTCTGTTTATATTTTTTAATGTACTATTGATTATTTAAGGCATACATGATAGTAAACTTGTAACTATAATTTAAAAACACCTCATTACCCACATTAAGAAAGACAATCAGACCAAGATAATGGAGGCCTTCTGTATAAACCTCCATGGGCATATTCCCAACCTTTTTTTCCAGGTTTTTTGTTTTATCATCCCCAAGACTTTCATTATACGTTGCTACATTGGTATTTATCTCTAAGTAATATGCGGTATTCTTTCATAATTATAAAATTTATAGAAATTTTATATCTATGAATTTTTCTAAAATGTTAATTTTTTCCTCAAATTTTATCTGCAAGTTTTATCAAAATAATTCATGTCGAATAATGAGAAAGCACAGGGCCTAATCATGAAAACAGAAAATCATCATCTTCACCTAATCCCTTCTTAGCTTTCTCTTAAACCTGCTCTGTGGTTCTTTCCCTATCCCTGATGAAATCTCTGACAAGCCACATAACACATACTCTCCTTCTCAGTAATAAAAAAAAAAAAAAATCCCATCCTCTCACTCACAAGAATAGCCTCATCTTAGTAATACATATATTTCAGCCACATATGAAAATTAAACCTCAGATATTCATTCAGAGTTAGAGAACCTGTTTCTGCAGTTCAAGCTGACTTTGGTGGTTGATATGGTAAGAAGGGTAAGAAGATATTGTTGACTTTTTCTCTACGTAAATGTGTTATGCTTCCTCTCCACTTGTATAATCTGTGAGCCGGGTTTCTACACTCTACATACCTAGAGAGGGGGAAAGAAAGCAAAGGTCGGGCATTGGTAACTGTTGGATGCTGGGCATGGTGGATGATCAAATCAGACTCCTTTCCCTGGGTGCCTTTATGTAAATTCCTTGGAGGCCTCCACTGTAACCACTTGGCATTCACTCCATTTCTTGTGATGCAAGAAATGCATTTTCCTCTGGCTCCTGCATACATTTTCTCTCTAGGCCCTGCTAATCAATTTGGCTTTGCATTGCCTTATTGCTGGTCGCCTTCCCCACCCCAACACTCTTTTCTCCTTTCCTCTTTCCACAGAGGGATTAAAATGATTCCATACAAGCTCTCTCTTTCAGAGCCTATACAACCTGCGAGCAAATACAGGCATCCCTACCTTATTTTACTGGAAGTATATTTACCTGCCAGCCCCTTTATCTCAATTCTGATGATTTAATAACCCATTGCTTGTAGCTCTTAGACTGCTTAGAAATGTCAGGCCACTGCACTCAAGTCCAGGAAACACATGGAAAGCTCTTGCCTACAGTGCCCTTGCAGCCTCACTAAGGTAAGGTAAAGAAGGTTAGATATTCATTCAGAGTTAGAGATTCTCTGTTTCTGTAGTTCAAGCTGACCTTGGTGGTTGATATGGTAAGAAGGGTAAAAAGATATTGTTGACCTTTTCTCTATGTAAATGTGTTATGATTCCTCTCCACTTGTATAATCTGTGGGCCAGATTATACAAGTAAGTATTACCCCCATTCTCCAGGGATTACTAAGACTAAGGTAAAGAAGGTCTCTGAACGGGAGCAGAGAAGTTTGACTCACACAATGCTGAACTGCTGCAAAGAAACTATTCCCCTAATTTCCATCATCTAACCCTACCCATGTCCAATCATTTATATCATCCAGTTGACTGATGAATTCAGATTTCACATTACTTTTTCTACATGGGTAGGTTTTTAACTTTCATTGATAATATGTATGTTTGCTATCTCTTTTCTTCAGGACCCAGTAAAAATTATGACAATGAAGAGCCCATTTTAACATCATGTTCCACAATTATTTTATGTTATTTTAAGACCATTGTCTGAAAAGGAAATAGTCTATAAAACAGAATGATCCCTTTTTTAAAAGGAAAAACACCATTTGCCAATTGGGTCAATATTATAATCATTTGTAGGACTTACCTTCAAAATCTCAGAAAATGTTTCCTAGGCTTTAAATCTTATTGAATATGTCTTTGTCCTTTTTATTCACTTCAGATTCGCAATCACTGTACCCTTTTATGGCCTGATACTCAACTTGCAGCACTTAGGGAGCAATGTCTCCCTGTTCCAGATTCTCTGTGGAGCTGTCACATTCACAGCCAGATGTGTTTCCCTTTTGACACTGAATCATATGGGTCGTCGAATAAGCCAGATATTGTTCACGTTCCCGGTGGGACTTTTCATTCTGGTCAACACCTTTTTGCCCCAAGGTGAGAGAGACAGGAGTTTCAGGAAAGAAAGTAGTTACCCCCATTCTCCAGGGATTACATTGGTCTTTTATGCCTGGTGCCAAAAGAACAGCATTGCCCTTGACAGCCAAAAGATTCCCTGAAGTTAATATGAGGGTTTGGAACTGATTCTGACAATATGTTGTTTTCAGCACTTGGGCTCTTACTCAATCAATGTCAGCCGTGATGGTTCAGACACACGGTTGTCTTCATCACAGCCAAGATGAATCTGGACATGGGCTCCAATTACACCTAATGGTTTCTTTAGAAAAGTAACTAAGCACATGCTTTTTGGCTAATCACCCTTTTATAGCTATTGTGGAGGGGCTAGGCCTTGCAACTGTATGCCAAAGTGGGCACACAATGCCCTCACTGCCTCTGTCTAGGACACTTTCTAATTTTTGAGGTCTCTCTAACTTGTCCATATCCTCTTCCCTGTATATTCACTTTTGAGTTCCCTATTATCTCATATAAATGCAACACTTTTTTAGAAAAGGCTTCTTGACTTTGCTGAAATAAAAATTCCTTGTCTTCAACCATAAATGAAGTGTACAGTTGGAACAAGAAAAAGTCTCATCTTAATATCTCTTTATCTGTTTTATAATCTACCCCTAAACAAGGAACAGATTAAGAAGCTGACCCAGCCTCTCTTAAAATCCACTTTCCTAAGTTAAATTAATAGAATGACCTTCTGTAATGATTATGGGAACATTAGTGGTCACTATATTCCACTCATCTCCCAGAGCAGGAACATATTTTGCAGGATTCCCAGACTGGTGGGCTCCATGCCTCCTGCTGGTGTAAGTTTTCTGCCTTATAGGAGAGCCTTCTCCACTGTTTTAAAATCCTATTTTGATATTTTTATTGATGAAAAAGTACCTTTTTGAATTTTCAGTGTCAATGGTTCCCAGTGTGATATTATTTATTTCCAAATAGGAGTTAGGTTTTATAATGTTAGGTTTTACAATCCTGAATTATTCAGAGCTTATGTCTCTCCACACTGTCCACTCCCAAATAAACCCAGTCCTTTTCTTACTATATGGTAGAATATCTGTCCCATATCTAAAATTGTTCCCACATTCTTAGCTCTAAACTGCTCAAGACATGGCTCACAAACTCCTCAGTTATTATCTATATATAGTTCTATGCCCCACTGGAGGTGCACAGAAAATATTACATAGAAAAAATTAAAATGAATATTGTTCTAATAGAACAAATATAGTTCTGTGCCCCCACTGGAAGTACACAGAAAATATTACACAGAATAAATAAAACAAATATTTCCTGTTGGTCCCTACCCCCACCTTAATTGGCAATACTCAAATGTGCAGAAAGAGTTGAAGATTGAGATTGAGATCCTTTATTCAATGTTTAAGCCCTACCATTTTACAGTCTATATTTCTCAGCCTCGCAACCATTCCCCAATCTCTGGCATGTTGCAGTTTGTCTACCACATATTTCACACTTGCAAATTCCTCCATTAGAATCTTTTTACAATTATTTGGGGGTTGAAAAGTTTCTTCAGGCAAGATTTCCTGATTCTCACTGTTCTCTCTAGAAATGCAGATCCTGCGTGTGGTTTTAGCAACTTTGGGAATTGGTAGTGTTTCTGCTGCTAGCAACAGTGCTTCTGTCCACCACAACGAGCTCGTCCCCACCATATTGAGGTACAAGAGCTAAAGACCATCTGGTTTCAAAACACAAATTTCTGAATTTATTGATATTCATTGTGAATGAAAGACTGACACTGTTTAGGTGCCAGATGAATTAACTGTAATAGAAATGAACAGAGTAACTGAGAGCCATATATGTGCTATTATTATCAAATTATCAAAGCTGCGGGTTATTGCTACAGGTTAATTAATGCTATGGGTATCTCTATTTTAGTAATTATGAAACTAAGGTTAAGAGCAGTTACCAACATTATACTATCAAATAGGTAGAAACCAACAGAGGTAAATGTCACAATTAAGGGCTTGCTGTCAAAGCCCATGTGTTTAGTAACTCTGTTGTACTGGTCCCCATAAAGAAATAATGATGATAAAGAGCTGACATGTACAGATTCATACAAGATTTTTTGTATTGTTATTTGCACTCTAAGGTCAACAGTTGCAGGAATCAATGCAGTGTCCGGTAGGACTGGGGCAGCACTGGCTCCTCTGTTGATGACCTTAATGGCGTATTCTCCCCACCTACCCTGGATTTCCTATGGAGTCTTCCCCATCCTTGCTGTCCCTGTTATCCTCCTCCTTCCAGAAACCAGGGATCTACCTCTTCCTAACACCATCCAGGATGTGGAAAATGAGTGAGTAAACCCTCTAGCTGTCACTTGAGTGGGGAGTGGCTATGTGCTGTAGCTGTTTAATGAGAAAGGTCAACGACCATTTGGGGCCCTCTGTCCTTCATGTAGGCTCAGACCTAGGACTTTTCTATTTGTCACCATGTCCTTTAGTTCAGTAGCAGCCTACCCTATCCACAATGGAGTCAGACTCTTGAGGCCCTCTATGTCACACAGACCATTTCACACCAGAAGGTTCAGTGGTGAAAAGATCCAAATTAGCCTATTATGAGTGGCACATACTTTCTGCCCTTGTGGGAAACACACACTCCTGTTGTTTTCTCACAAATCTGCTAAGACTCAAATGCCTCATTCTCATCCCCTGGTTTTATCACACATTGGCTCAATGAGTGCCTGTTATGTGGTGGGAAAGGGAATGAGATTGCCTCATACCTAATTATTGCTTCAGTCAAAGAATCATGGGACTACAGCATAGAGCAAAATCTCCTTTGCAAAAATAACGATGTATCTGAAGGAAATGGATCTTGTTGGGATGCCTCTGAGATTTAGGCAAATTTGTTGCCATGGGCAACAGAAATTTTGAGGAGACAAAATTAAGAAAAGAAAGCAGGATTTTAAATGATGAAAAATAAGACAATAGCTTTAAAATTTTCAATTCTCGCTTTGATTTACTAAAGATGTCATTGGTCTGAGATCCAAAGAGACAATGGTGAGAGTATCAATATTCAACACTGCCTTCCCAGGAATGCCCAGGTATCAGGGCCTTTTCCAACACAATAGTATCAATATCTAGAGAATCTTGGATTACAATGCTGGTGGGTAGAGGGCAGCTTGTCCTCAGGCACACAGTATATATATGCTTAATCTATATCTTATTTATTTTTTGTTTCTTAATCTTGTTTTTGTTTGCATTTCTATTTCTCAGCAGAAAAGATTCAAGAAACATAAAGCAGGAAGATACTTGCATGAAAGTAACACAGTTTTAAGAGATTCCCAAGACCTGATCCAAAGAAGAGCAAAATGGGCAGGGGGAATCAAGATTATGCCTTTATATCTGCAAAACTAGCCAAAAATATAATGTGCAGACAGATGCCATTTATAATTATGGTACTACATGTATCAGTAATTCCAAAATACCTTATAAGTTTAAGTGATTCCATGAAATAATGATTTGCTTTTGGGAAGAAGTTGCACAACTAGTTTCAAATTCATCTGAAAATCACTAACAGCCAAGATGATTCAGGAAAAAGAGCATCATGGAGTGACGATCAGGCTGACTCATATACGGTAAAGCACATGCTGGACTTTTTATAAAACTACAATCAACAAAACAGTAATAGCAAATGCATTATAATTTGTTTGCATTAACACACCGTAATGACTCCAGAAACATGCCCAAGTATACAGAAAGAGTCTTCAAAAAATTCATGAAAATGCATATTATGAGTAAACTATGCATAGAGTTCAAATTTTTGTGCCAAAATAAATCTGTACTAATTTTTTATAACATGGCTGAACAGGATCTATTTTGAAGCACTAAGAAGGATAAGATGTTTGTGTGAAAAAAGCTGTTATCCAAGGAACACAAATTCTGCTGAAATAGAAGCAAGAACAAACATCAAATTTATGGTGAAACTTAGGTGGAAGAATGGTGAAATCATTGAGACTTTACAAAAAGTTTATGGGGACAATGCTCCAGAGAAATTAGTAGTTTACAAATGGATAATGCATTTTTAAAAGAGATGAGACAATGTTGAAGATGAATTCCTTAGCAGCAGAACATCCACATCAATTTGCAAGGAAAAAATAATTTAGAGAAGGCAGCCAAGATGGCCAAATAGCAACAGCTTGAGTCTACAGCTCCCAGCATGAGTGATGCAGAAGACGGGTGATTTCTGCATTTCCATCTGAGGTACCAGGTTCATCTCACTAGGGAGTGCCAGACAGTGGGCACAGGACAGTGGGTGCAGTGCATCGTGCGTGAGCCAAAGCAGGGTGAGGCACTGCCTCACTCGGGAAGTGTGAGGGGTCAGGGAGTTCCCTTTCCTAGTCAAAGAAAGGGGTGACAGACGGCACCTGGAAATTCGGGTCACTCCCACCCGAATACTGCGCTTTTCCAATGGGCTTAAAAAAACGGTGCACCAGGAGATTATATCCCGCACCTGGCTCAGAGGGTCCTACCCACATGGAGTCTCACTGATTGCCAGCACAGCAGTCTGAGATCAAACTGCAAGGCAGCAGTGAGGCTGGGGGAGGGGCGCCCGCCATTGCCCAGGCTTGCTTAGGTAAACAAAGCAGCCAGGAAGCTCGAACTGGGTGGAGCCCACCACAGCTCAAGGAGGCCTGCCTGCCTCTGTAGGCTCCACCTCTGGGGACAGGGCACAGACAAACAAAAAGACAGCAGTAACCTCTGCAGACTTAAATTTCCCTGTCTGACAGCTTTGAAGAGAGCAGTGGTTCTCCCAGCACACAGCTGGAGATCTGAGAATGGGCAGACTGCCTCCTCAAGTGGGTCCCTGACCCCTGACCCCCGAGCAGCCTAACTGGGAGGCACCCCCCAGTAGGGGCAGACTGACACCTCACACAGCCAGGTAGTCCTCTGAGACAAAACTTCCAGAGGAACAATCAGACAGCAGCATTCGCGGTTCACTAAAATCCGCAGTTCTGCAGCCACCGCTGCTGATACCCAGGCAAACAGGGTCTGGAGTGGACCTCCGCAAACTCCAACAGACATGCAGCTGAGGGTCCTGTCTGTTAGAAGGAAAACTAACAAACAGAAAGGACATCCACACCAAAAACCAATCTGTACATCACCATCATCAAAGACCAAAAGTAGATAAAACCACAAAGATGGGGAAAAAACAGAGCAGAAAAACTGGAAACTCTAAAACGCAGAGTGCCTCTCCTCCTCCAAAGGAGCACAGCTCCTCACCGGCAATAGAACAAAGCTGGATGGTGAATGACTTTGATGAGTTGAGAGAAGAAGGCTTCAGATGATCAAACTACTCCAAGCTACAGGAGGAAATTCAAACCAAAGGCAAACAAGTTAAAAACTTTGAAAAAAATTTAGATGAATGTATAATTAGAATAACCAATATAGAGAAGTGCTTAAAGGAGCTGACGGAGCTGAAAGCCAAGGCTTGAGAACTACGTGAAGAATGCAGAAGCCTCAGGAGCTGATGCAATCAACTGGAAGAAAGGGTATCAGTGATGGAAGATGAAATGAATGAAATGAAGTGAGAAGGGAAGTTTAGAGAAAAAAAGAATAAAAAGAAATGAACAAAGCCTCCAAGAAATATGGGACTATGTGAAAAGACCAAATCTACGTCTGATTGGTGTACTTGAAAGTGATGGGGAGAATGGAACCAAGTTGGAAAACACTCTGCAGGATATTATCCAGGAGAACTTCCCCAATCTAGCAAGGCAGGCCAACATTCAGATTCAGGAAATACAGAGAATGCCACAAAAACACTCCTCGAGAAGAGCAACTCCAAAACACATAATTGTCAGATTCACCAAAGTTGAAATGAAGGAAAAAATGATAAGGGCAGCCAGAGAGAAAGGTCGGGTTAGCCACAAAGGGAAGCCCATCAGACTAACAGCAGATCTCTCGGAAGAAACTCTACAAGCCAGAAGAGAGTGGGGGCCAATATTCAACATTCTTAAAGAAAAGAATTTTCAACCGAGAATTTCATATCTAGCCAAACTAAGCTTCATAAGTGAAGGAGAAATAAAATACTTTACAGATAAGCAAATGCTGAGAGATTTTGTCACCAGCAGGCCTGCCCTAAAAGAGCTCCTGAAGGAAGCACTAAACATGGAAAGGAACAAACGGTACCAGCCACTGCAAAATCATACCAAATTGTAAAGACCATCGAGGCTAGGAAGAAACTGCATCAACTAACGAGCAAAATAGCCAGCTAACATCATAATGACAGGATCAAATTCACACATAACAATATTAACTTTAAATGTAAATGGACTAAATGCGCCAATTAAAAGACACAGACTGGCAAATTGGATAAAGAATCAAGACCCATCAGTGTGCTGTATTCAGGAAACCCATCTCACAGGCAGAGACACACATAGGCTCAAAATAAAAGGATGGAGGAAGATCTACCAAGCAAATGGAAAACAAAAAAAGGCAGGGGTTGCAATCCTAGTCTCTGATAAAACAGACTTTAAACCAACAAAGATCAAAAGAGACAAAGAAGGCCATTACTTAATGGTAAAGGGATCAATTCAACAAGAAGAGCTAACTATCCTAAATATATATGCACCCAATACAGGAGCACCCAGATTCATAAAGCAAGTCCTGAGTGACCTACAAAGAGACTTGACTTCCACACAATAATAATAGGAGGCTTTAACAACCCACTGTCAACATTAGACAGATCAACGAGACAGAAAGTTAAGAAGGATACCCAGGAATTGAACTCAGCTCTGCACCAACCGGACCTAATAGACATCTACAGAACTCTCCACCCCAAATCAACAGAATATACATTTTTTACAGCACCACACTACACCTATTCCAAAATTGACCACATAGTTGGAAGTAAAGCTCTCCTCAGCAAATGTAACAGAACAGAAATTATACCAAACTCTCTCAGACCACAGTGCAACCAAATTAGAACTCAGGATTAAGAAACTCACTCAAAACCACTCAACTACATGGAAAATAAACAACCTGCTCCTGAATGACTACTGGGTACATAACGAAATGAAGGCAGAAATAAAGATGTTCTTTGAAACCAATGAGAACACAGACACAACATACCAGAATCTCTCGGACACATTCAAAGCAGTGTGTAGAGGGAAATTTATAGCACTAGATGCCCACAAGAGAAAGCAGGAAAGATCCAAAATTGACACCCTAACATCACAATTAAAAGAACTAGGAAAGCAAGAGCAAACATTCAAAAGCTAGCAGAAGGCAATAAATAACTAAAATCAGAGCAGAACTGAAGGAAATAGAGACATAAAAAACCCTTCAAAAAATTAATGAATCCAGGAGCTGGTTTTTTGAAAGGATCAACAAAATTGATAGACAACTAGCAAGACTAATAAAGAAGAAAAGAGAGAAGAATCAAATAGATGCAATAAAAAAATGATAAAGGGGATATCACCACCGATCCCACAGAAACACAAACTACCATCAGAGAATACTACAAACACCTCTACACAAATAAACTAGAAAATCTAGAAGAAATGGATAAATTCCTCGACACATACACTCTCCCAAGACTAAACCAGGAAGAAGTTGAATCTCTGAATAGACCAATAACAGGATCTGAAATTGTGGCAATAATCAATAGCTTACCAACCAAAAAGAGTCCAGGACCAGATGGATTCACAGCCGAATTCTACCAGAGGTACAAGGAGGAAATGGTACCATTCCTTCTGAAACTATTCCAATCAATAGAAAAAGAGGGAATCCTCCCTAACTCATTTTATGAGGCCAGCATCATCCTGATACCAAAGCCTGGCAGAGACACAACCAAAAAAGAGAATTTTAGACCAATACCCTTGATGAATATTGATGCAAAAATCCTCAATAAAATACTGGCAAACCGAATCCAGCAGCACATCAAAAAGCTTATCCACCATGATCAAGTGGGCTACATCCCTGGGATGCAAGGCTGGTTCAATATACACAAATCAATAAATGTAATCCAGCATACAAACAGAACCAAAGACAAAAACCACATGATTATCTCAATAGATGCAGAAAAGGCCTTTGACAAAATTCAACAACTCTTCATGCTAAAAACTCTCAATAAATTGGGTACTGATGGGCCATATCTCAAAATAGTAAGAGCTATCTATGAGAAACCCACAGCCAATATCATACTGAATGGGCAAAAACTGGAAGCATTCCCTTTGAAAACTGGCACAAGACAGGGATGCCCTCTCTCACCACTCCTATTCA
The DNA here is from genome assembly GCF_000001405.40 of Homo sapiens. Lineage (NCBI taxonomy): Eukaryota > Metazoa > Chordata > Mammalia > Primates > Hominidae > Homo > Homo sapiens. Next base: position 63,074,993 of record NC_000011.10, on the reverse strand, counting down.
ACATAGTGTTGGAAGTTTTGGCCAGAGCAATTAGGCAGGAGAAGGAAATAAAGGGTATTCAATTAGGAAAAGAGGAAGTCAAATTGTCCCTGTTTGCAGACGACATGATTGTATATCTAGAAAACCCCATTGTCTCAGCCCGAAATCTCCTTAAGCTGATAAGCAACTTCAGCAAAGTCTCAGGATACAAAATCAATGTACAAAAGTCACAAGCATTCTTATACACCAATAACAGACAAACAGAGAGCCAAACCATGAGTGAACTCCCATTCACAATTGCTTCAAAGAGAATAAAATACCTAGGAATCCAACTTACAAGGGATGTGAAGGACCTCTTCAAGGAGAACTATAAACCACTGCTCAATGAAATAAAAGAGGATACAAACAAATGGAAGAACATTCCATGCTCATGGGTAGGAAGAATCAGTATCATGAAAATGGCCATACTGCCCAAGGTCATTTATAGATTCAATGCCATCCCCATCAAGCTACCAATGACTTTCTTCACACAATTGGAAAAAAATACTTTAAAGTTCATATGGAACCAAAAAAGAGCCCGCATCGCCAAGTCAATCCTAAGCCAAAAGAACAAAGCCGGAGGCATCATGCTACCTGACTTCAAACTATACTACAAGGCTACAGTAAACAAAACAGCATGGTACTGGTACCAAAACAGAGATATAGATCAATGGAACAGAACAGAGCCCTCAGAAATAACGCTGCATATCTACAACTATCTGATCTTTGACAAACCTGACAAAAACAAGAAATGGGGAAAGGATTCCCTATTTAATAAATGGTGCTGGGAAAACTGGCTAGCCATATGTAGAAAGCTAAAACTGGATCCCTTCCTTACACCTTACACAAATATTAATTCAAGATGGATTAAAGACTTAAATCTTAGACCTAAAACCATAAAAACCCTAGAAGAAAACCTAGGCATTACCATTCAGGATGTAGGCATGGGCAAGGACTTCATGTCTAAAACACCAAAAGCAATGGCAACAAAAGCCAAAATTGACAAATGGGATCTAATTAAACTAAAGAGCTTCTGCACAGCAAAAGAAACTACCAGCAGAGTGAACAGGCAACCTACACAATGGGAGAAAATTTTCGCAACCTACTCGTCTGACAAAGGGCTAATATCCAGAATCTATAATGAACTCAAATAAATTTACAAGAAAAAAACAAACAACCCCATCAAAAAGTGGGTGAAGGTCATGAACAGATACTTCTTAAAAGAAGACATTTATGCAGCCAAAAAACACATGAAAAAATGATCACCATCACTGGCCATCAGAGAAATGCAAATCAAAACCACAGTGAGATACCATCTCACACCAGTTAGAATGGCCATCATTAAAAAGTCAGGAAACAACAGGTGCTGGAGAGGATGTGGAGAAATAGGAACACTTTTACACTGTTGGTGGGACTGTAAACTAGTTCAACCATTGTGGAAGTCAGTGTGGCGATTCCTCAGGGATCTAGAACTAGAAATACCATTTGACCCAGCCATCCCATTACTGGGTATATACCCAAAGGACTATAAGTCTTGCTGCTATAAAGACACATGCACACATATGTTTATTGTGGCACTATTCACAATAGCAAAGACTTGGAACCAACCCAAATGTCCAACAATGATAGACTGGATTAAGAAAATGTGGCACATATACACCATGGAATACTATGCAGCCATAAAAAATGATGAGTTCTTGTCCTTTGTAGGGACATGGATGAAATTAGAAATCATCATTCTCAGTAAACTATCACAAGGACAAGAAACCAAACACCGCATGTTCTCACTCATAGGTGGGAATTGAACAATGAGAACACATGGACACAGGCAGGGGAACATCACACTCTGGGGATTGTTGTGGGGTGGGAGGAGTGGGGAGGGATAGCATTAGGAGATATACCTAATGCGAAATGATGAGTTAATGGGTGCAGCACACCAGCATGGCACATGTATACATATGTAACTAACCTGCACATTGTGCACATGTACCCTAAAACTTAAAGTATAATAATAATAAAATAAAATAAAATAATTTATCTTGTTGGTTTCTGACATGGTTTGGCTGTGTCCCCACCCAAATCTCATCTTGAATTGTAGCTCCCATAATTCCCATGTGTTGTGGAAGGGACCCAGTGGGAAATAATTGAATCATGGGGTCAGTTTCCCTCATACTGTTCTCGTGGTAGTAAGTCTCACAAGATCTGATGGTTTTATAAGAGGTTTCCCTTTTCACTTGGTTCTCATTCTCTTCTTGCCTGCTCCCATGTAAGACAAGACTTTGCTCCTCTCACCTTCTGCCATAATTGTGAGGCCTTCCCAGCCATGTGGAACTGTGAATCCGTTAAACCTCTTTCCTTTATAAATTACCCAGTCTCAGGTATGTCTTTATTAGCAGCATGAGAAAGGACTAATACAGTGCTCTAACTGAAGAGGGCCAATGATTAACAGCAGAAGCAATAGCTGACACAACAGACATATCCGCTGGTTCCGGTTACACAATTCTGACTGAAAAATTAAAGCTGATCAAACTTTACACTCAATGGGTGCCAAAACCATTCCACCCAGATCAGCTGCAGACAAGAGCAGAGCCTTCAACGGAAATTTTAAATAAGTGAGATCAAGATCCTGAAGCATTTATTTGAAGAATTGTAGCAGGAGATGAAACATGGCTTTACCAGTATGATCCTGAAGACAAAGCACAATCAAAGCAATGGCTATCAAGAGGTGGAAGTGGTCTAGTCAAAGCAAAAGCAGATCAGTCAAATGTGAAAGTTCATGGCAACAGGTTTTTTGTTTGTTTGGTTTTGGTTTTGGTTTGTTTGTTTTGAGATGGAGTCTCCTTCTGCCACCCAGGCTGGAGTACAATGGTGCAATCTCGGCTTACTGCAACCTCCCCATCCCAGGTTCAAATGATTCTCCTGCCACAGCCTCTGGAGTAGCTGGGATTACAGGCATCCACCACCATGCCCAGCTAATTTTTGTATTTTTAGTAGACACGAGGTTTTACCATGTTGGTCAAGCTGGTCTTGAACTCCTGACCTCATGATCCACCTGCCTCAGTCTCCCAAAGTGCTGGGATTAGAGGCATGAGCCACTGTGCCTGGCCATGGTAACAGTTTTTTGGGATGCTCAAAGCATTTTGCTTGCTGACTTTCCAGAAAGCCAAAGAACAATAATATCAACTTATTATGAGAGTATTTTGAGAAAGCCAAAGCTTTAGCAGAAAAGCACCCAGGAGAGCTTCACCAGAGAGTTCTCCACCATGACAATGCTCCTGCTCATTTCTGTCATCAAAAAAGAATTTTGTGAGAGTTTCAATGGGAAATTATTAGGCATCCACCTTACCATCCTGATTTAGCTTCTTCTGACTTCTTTTTTGTTGCCTAATCTTAGAAAATATTTGAGAGGCATCCATTTTCCTCAGTTAATAAGGTGGAAAAAAAAAAAAACACTGCATCGCCATGTTTACATTCTCAGGACCTCAATTCTCTATAGAAGGGCCAAATGGCTGGTATCATCTCTCACAAAAGTGTCTTGGATTTGACAGAGTCTATGTTAAAAAAATAACATTTATATTTTTATTTTTATTTTTTAAATGCCATTTTTTATAACTCCTTCAAGTCCGCTTGTATAAACATTTAATATATAAAATTTTTGGCACCAGAAATCTCTTATAAATTGAAAGATAATGTAATCAATAGTTTTAATTGACCCTTTGGAAATGAATTCACAAAACTGATGACACTGGTTTCCTTTGGTGATAAAATTTTATTGTTTTTTCTTTGCATTCTTTCTGGCTTTATATTTTAAACAACTAATAGGAATCATTTAAAAATATAAACATCAAAAACTAAAGGATAATTGATATAAGTGATTTCAAAATGTACACATATATTTGTGTGTACATATTTAACATATCATTAGGATTAAAATTATATACTTCGGTACAAAAACAGGCAAAGAGCAAGAACGAGTAATTTTCAGGGGAAAAGGCCACATAAATAATAAATACGTGAAAAATATGAAAAGGTGTTCAAATTTAGTAGTGATCAAAGAAATGTACACTAAAATGAAATAAAAATTTGCATTTCACAAAGGAACAAGGATTTTTTAATGTACTATTCATTCTCAAAGTGGGTAAAATGCAATGAAATAGGTACTCATACAATACTAGGGGAAGTATAACATAAAGTGTGTTATAACAGCATGGCATTTTCATCAAACTTTTTAATACAATTGTTATTCCTTCAGCAAACACTTATTGATGTTGTGCAACATGCTATGCTAGTTCCTGTCATCTGCCTATAAAGAAAGCTTTCTTTCCAATCCCCATGCCCTTTTTTTTTTTAACCTTGCCTATTGCACTGGTAAGAAACACCAGAACAATGTAGAATAGAAAAAGATGAAACTAAAAATTCTTGCTTTATTCCTGATCTTTGATGGAGAAGGAATTCAGTACTTCAGCGTTAAGTATGATGTTATCTGTAGGTCTTCTTTACATTCCCTTTATCAGTTTGAAGAATTCCTTTTTATTCCTACAATGTTGAAATTTTCATTTCAGCTTTTATTTTAGATAAAAGGGGTATATATGAATATTTGTTACATGGGACTATTGCATGTTACTGAGGTTTGCAGTATGGATCCCGTCACTCAGGTAGTGAGCATAGTACACGATAGTTAGTTTTTAACCCGCCAACCCTCTAGTAATACACAGCGTCTGTTGTTCCCATGTTTATATCCATGTGTGTTCATTGCTTATCTCCCACTTGTGAGAACATATATTTGGTTTTCTGTTTCTGTGTTAATTTGCTTAGGATTATGACTTCCAGCTCCATCCATGTTGCTGCAAAAGATATTCTTTCATTCTTTTTATGCTGCATAATATTCCATAGTGTATGTGTACCACTTTTTTTAGCATACAAATTTATTTAATGTAAGTTTTCTGTGACACAAGAGTTCACATAAGGAAATGATGACCTGAAGAAACAGGTAAGCTTGCGTATTTTTATGCTTAGACTTGATGAAGAGCAGATAGTGATGGAGAAATATAATTGTATGTACTATGCACAATATTTTAAATTTCTTTAATGACACCCAACAATTCAAAAGCTGTTATTAGGATGAGTTAATCAAACAACAGAACAAATCAAAATGGCCCATGTAAATCTACAGCCATATCTTCATTTGTGGTTTACTAATCAGTTAACTCACTTATTGCTAAGTCTGTCTGTTTGGGATACAATGTGCTTTGTCCATAAAGCTTTTTCTTTAATTTTTTTATTTCCAAAAGTTATTGGGGAACAGGTGTTGTATGGTTACATGGGTAAGAATGACACGATGGACTTTGGGGACTCAGGGGGATAGGGTGGGAAGGGGGTGAGGGATAAAAGACTACAAATAGGGTGTAGTGTATACTGCTTGGGTGATGCATGCACCAAAATCTCACAAATAGACCACATTTTCTCAATCCAATCTACCATTGATGGGCACCTGAGTTGATTCCATGTCTTTGCTATTGTGAATAGTACAGCAATAAACATGCCAGTACGTATGTATTTTTGGTAGAATGATTTATTTTCTTTTGGGTTTATACCCAGTAATTTAATTGCTGGGTCAAATGGTAGCTCTGTTTTAAATTCTTTGAGAAATCTCCAAACTGCCTTCCACAGTGGCTGAACTAATTTACATTCCCACTAGCAGTGTATAAGCATTCCCTTTTCTCCACAGTCTCACCAGCATCTGTTTAGTTTATTTTTTTAATTTTTTATCAAGAAAAGATGTCATAGGCTGGGCACAGTGGCTCATGCCTATAATCCCAGCACTTTGGGAAGCCAAGGTTGGCAGATCACCTGAGGTCAGATGTTTGAGACCAGCCCGGCCAACATGGTGAAACCCCGTCTCTACTAAAAATGCAAAAATTAGCCAGGTGTGGTGGCACACCCCTGTAATCCCAGCTACTTGGGAGGCTGAGGTGGGAGAATTGCTTGAACCCGGGAAGCAGAGGCTGCATTGAGCTGAGATCACACCACTGCACTCCCTCCAGCCTAGGCGACAGAGTGAGACCCCCTCTCAAAAAAAAAAAAAAAAAAAAAGTTGTAATTTGTCAGATCTACTATCTTTTTAATCTCCTAATCTGGAAAATTACAGTGGTTAATTTTTAAGTGTTTAGACACCCTTATAAGTCAGCAAAAAACATTTATTTGGACATGATATATTATCTTTATACAATGTTGGATAGGTTTTTGTCTTAGTCACTTCGGGCTGCTATAAAAGAACGCCATAGACTAGGTGGTTTAAACAACAAGCAAAATTTATTTCTCACAATTCTGGATGCAGAAAAGTCCAAGATCAAGGCAGAAGCAGATCTGATGTCCGGTGAGAGCACTCTTCCAGGTTCACAGACAGTTGTCTTCTTGTATCCTCATATGGCCAAGAGAGGGAACAGACAAAGCAAGCTCTTTTCTCTCTTCTTATAAGGGCTCTAATCCCATATGTGAGGGCAGAATCCTCATGAACTAATTCTCTATCAAAGGCTCCACCTCCTAATACCATCACTTTGTGGGGTTAGAGTTTCAGCATGTGAGTTTTGGGAGCACCCAAGCATTTATTCCATAACAGTTTTCTAAAATTATACTGAAATATTTCACATTCATATTCATGAGTTACTGGTTTGTAGTTTCCTTTTCTTGAAATATTTTCATCTCATTTTTATATCAGAGTGAATTATGGCCTCACAGATTAGTTTCAAACGACTTTCTTCTCTGAAAGAATGTGTGTAGAATTGAAATTATTTCTTCTTTAAACTTTTTGTAGAATTCAACAGTGAATCTATGTGGTCCTGTAATTTTTTATTTTGTTTTGTTTGTTGTTCTGTATTGTCTTTTTTAACACTACAATTTTGTAATGTCTTAACTACAAACTTTTATTTCTTTGGTAGATATATAAGGCTGCTTAAGTTATCTATTTCTTCTTCATTAATTTTTCTCCTCACTAACGGTCATATATTCCTGCTAATCCAAAGATTAGCCATAGTAAATTTTATCACAATGTTTCAGCTTTGAGCAAAGTTCTAAGTTTTTCTGAATGAAGAAAACCATCCTCTATTATAAAACACAGAATGTCTTTGGAAATTAGCTTATGCTGTGAACTTGGTAATGTTTCTTTATGAGTTCAACCTAAAATTATAAGATGAACATCACTTACAAGTAAATTTACACTAATCTAAAGTCACTCCAATGACAACTAATATTTGTTGAATCACAAGTATCAACTCTTTTATATACTTCCTGTGCTGTCAAATGTCAGAGCAAGAAGCAAGAGTTGTACTTTCACACAAATTTACAGCAGATGTATTTTTTTTGTTCAAATTATAGCTCAGCAACACTTTTCATATCTCATTGCAAATTGCTAAGGAAATTTCTATGTTTAACTATCCATTTAGCTATGCTGTTGAGGAGCTTTCACGCAAACTAATATCAAGAGAACACTCTAATAGAACTCCATAAATATCTTCCAAGCAATATGTATTCTCATGGATTAATATCAGCATTTACCAGTAATAGCAGTATTTAGCGCCTGCCTGTGTGAAAAGAGAGTTTCAAAGATTAGATATGTAAAATCTCATTACAGATTATCATTAATAAATAAACATTTGTAATGGGTTTCAATGATAGGTAACACTAACTGTGAACCCTAATTAAGTGAAATATTACCTCAAAAGAAAATGAATTCAAGAGCACTTCAGATCCTTGGAAAGAAAAAGGGCAAGCCCCAAAAACTCCTTAAGCTGATAAGCAACTTCAGCAAAGTCTCAGGATACAAAATCAATGTGCAAAAATCAAAAGCATTCTTATACACCAATAACAGACAAACAGAGAGCCAAATCATGAGTGAACTCCCATTCACAATTGCTTCAAAGAGAATAAAATACCTAGGAATCCAACTTACAAGGGATGGGAAGGACCTCTTCAAGGAGAACTGCAAACCACTGCTCAATGAAATATAAGAGGATACAAACAAATGGAAGAACATTCCATGTTCATGGGTAGGAAGATTCAATATTGTGAAAATGGCCATACTGCCCACGGTAATTTATAGATTCAATGCCATCTCCATCAAGCTACCAATGACTTTCGTCAGAGAATTGGAAAAAACTGCTTTAAAGTTCATATGGAACCAAAAAAGAGCCCACATCGCCAAGTCAATCCTAAGCCAAAAGAACAAAGCTGGAGGCATCACACTACCTGACTTCAAACTATACTACAAGGCTACAGTAACAAAAACCACATGGTACTGGTACCAAAACAGAGATATAGACCAATGGAACAGAACAGAGCCCTCAGTAAGACTACCAAGCATCTACAACTATCTGATCTTTGACAAACCTGACAAAAACAAGAAATGGGGAAAGGATTCCCTATTTAACAAATGGTGCTGGGAAAACTGGCTAGCCATATGTAGAAAGCTGAAACTGGATCCCTTCCTTACACCTTATACAAATATTAATTCAAGATGGATTAAAGACTTAAATCTTAGACCTAAAACCATAAAAACCCTAGAAGAAAACCTAGGCAATACCATTCAGGACATAGGCATGGGCAAGGACTTCATGTCTAAAACACCAAAAGCAATGGCAACAAAAGCCAAAATTGACAAATGGGATCTGATTAAACTAAAGAGCTTCTGCACAGCAAAAGAAACTACCATCAGAGTGAACAGGCAACCTACAGAATGGGAGAAAAATTTTGCAATCTACTCATCTGACAAAGGGCTAATATCCAGAATCTACAAAGAACTCAAACAAATTTACAAGAAAAAAACAAACAACTCCATCAAAGTGGGCGAAGGATATGAACAGATACTTCTCAAAAGAAGATATTTATGCAGCCAACAGACACAAGAAAAAATGCTCATCATCACTGGCCATCAGAGAAATGCAAATCAAAACCACAATGAGATACCATCTCACACCTGTTAGAATGGCAATCATTAAAAAGTCAGGAAACAACAGGTGCTGGAGAGGATGTGGAGAAATAGGAACACTTTTACACTGTTGGTGGGACTGTAAATTAGTTCAACCATTGTGGAAGACAGTGTGGCGATTCCTCAGGGATCTAGAACTAGAAATACCATTTGACCCAGCCATCCCATTACTGGGTATATACCCAAAGGAATATAAATCATGCTGCTATAAAGACACATGCACACGTATGTTTATTGTGGCACTATTCACGATAGCAAAGACTTGGAACCAAGCCAAATGACCAACAATGATAGACTGGATTAAGAAAATGTGGCACATATACACCATGGAATACTATGCAGCCATAAAAAATGATGAGTCCATGTCCTTTGTAGGGACATGGATGAAACTGGAAACCATCATTCTCAGCAAACTATTGCAAGGACAAAAAAACAAACACTGCATGTTCTCACTCATAGGTGGGAATTGAACAATGAGAACACATGGACACAGGAAGGGGAACATCACACACTGGGGCCTGTTGTGGGGTTGGGGGAGGGGAGAGGGATAGCATTAGGAGATATACCTAATGTAAATGACGAGTTAATGGGTGCAGCACACCAACATGGCACATGTATACATACGTAACAAACCTGCACGTTGTGCACATGTACCCTAAAACTTAAAGTGTAATAAAAAAAATCATATTGAGAATATAAAAAATAAAATAAAATAAAAATAAAAAACATAGATAAATAAAATAGATAAATATGAATAACATAATAAACCGATATAAATAATAGATATTCTCTATAATATCTATTATAAATATTATCTATTTATAATAGATAAATTAAAAAATAAATAAATAGATAAATAAAAACGATAGACCATTAGAGCTCAATTAGAAATGAAAGGTGAGATATTATAATGGATACCAGAGAAATACAACAGATCATTCAAGGCTACTATGAACACCTTTACATGCATCAACTAGAAAACCTAGAGGAGATGGATAAATTCCTGGACATCTACAACCCTCCTACATTAAACAAGGAAGAAATAGAAACAAGACAGATTCTCAGCTGAATTCTATCAGACATTCAAAGAAGAATTGGTACCAATTCTATTGACACTAGTTCACAAAATAGAAAAGAAGAAATCCTCTCTAAATCATTCTATGGAGCCAGTATCACCCTAATGCCAGAACCAGGAAAGGACATAACCAAAAAAGAAAACTACAGACCAATATCCCTGAAGAATATAAATGCAAAAATCCTTAATGAAATACTAGCAAACTGAATACAACAGCATATAAAAAAGATAATCCACTATGATTAAGTGGGTTTTATACCAGGGATGCAGGGATGGTTTGACATATGCAAGTCAATAAATATGGTACACTACACAAAGAGAATTTAAAAGAAAAATCACAGGATCAAGGAGAGCTGGCAAGATGGCCAAATAGGAACAGCACTGGTCTGCAGATCCCAGCGAGATCCACACAGAAGGCAGGTGATTTCTGCATTTCCAGCTGAGGCACCCAGTTCATCTCATCGGGACTGGTTGGACAGTGGGTGCAGCCCACAGAGGGCGAGCTGAAGCAGGGTGGGGCACGCAAACAGGGTCTGGAGTGCATGCAAACAGGGTCTGCAGTGGACCTCCAGCAAACTCCACAAGATCTGCAGCAGAGAGGCCTGACTGTTAGAAGGAAACTAACAAACATGAAGGAGGAGTATCAAAACCAACAAAAAGGATGTCCACTTAGAGACCCCATCCGAAGGTCACCAACATCAAAGACCAAAGGTAGATAAATCTATGAAGATGGGGAGAAAACAGTGCAAAAAGGCTGAAAATTTCAAAAACCTTTGAAATTTTGGAGGAGAACACCTCTTCTCCTCCAAAAGATCACAACTCCTCGCCAGCAAGGGAACAAAACTGGACAGAGGTTGGCAAATTCAGTTTGACACATTGACACAAGTAGGCTTCAGAAGGTGGGTAATAAAGTCCTCCAAGCTAAAGGAATATGTTCTAACCCAATGCAAGGAAGCTAAGAACCTTGAAAAAAGATTAGATGAATTGCTAACTAGAATACTCAGTTTACAGATGAATATAAATGACCTGATGGAGCTGAAAAACACAGCACGAGAACTTTGTAAAGCATACACAAGTATCAATAGCCAAATTGATCAAGTGGAAGAAAGGATATCAGAGATTGAAGATCAACTCAATGAAATAAAGTGAGAAGACAAGACTAGAGAAAAAAGAGTGAAAAGAAATGAAGAAAGCCTCCAAGAAATATGGGACTATTTAGAAATCCCAAATGTACATTTGACTGGTGTACCTGAAAGTGATGGGGAGAATGGAACCAAACTGGAAAACACTCTTCAGGATATTATCGAGGAGAACTTCCCCAACCTAGCAAGGTAGGCTAACATTCATATTCAGGAAATACAGAGAACACCACAAAGATATTCCTCGAGAAGAGCAACCCCAAGACACATAATCGTCAGATTCGCCAAGGTTGAAATGAAGGAAAAAATGTTAAAGACAGCCAGAGAAAGGTCAGGTTACCCACAAAGGAAAGCCCATCAGAATAATAGCAGATCTCTCAGCAGAAACCCTACAAGCCAGGAGAGAGTGGGAGCCAATATTCAACATTCTTAAAGAAAAGAATTTTCAACCCAGAATTTCATATCCAGCCAAATTAAGCTTCATAAATGGAGGAGAAATAAAATTCTTGGCCAGGCGCGGTAGCTCACACCTGTAATCCCAGCACTTTGGGAGGCCAAGGTGGGCAGATCACGAGGTCAGGAGATTGAGACCATCCTGGCTAACACAGTGAAACCCCGTCTCTACTAAAAATACAAAAAAACAAATTAGCTGGGTGTGGTGGCTGGCACCTGTTGTCCCAGCTACTCGGGAGGCTGAGGCAGGAGAATGGCATGAACCCGGGAGGCGGAGCTTGCAGTGAGCCGAGATCGCACCACTGCACTCCAACCTGGGTGACAGAGCGAGACTCCACCTCAAAAAAACAAAATCATTTATGGACAAGCAAATGCTGAGAGATTTTGTCACCACCAGGCCTGCCTTACAAGAGCTCCTGAAGGAAGCACTAAATGTGGAAATGAACAATCGGCACCAGCCACTGCAAAAACATATCAAATTGTAAAGAACATCAATGCTATGAAGAAACTGCATCAACTAACAGGCAAAATAACCAGCTAGCATCATAATGACAGGATCAAATTCACACATAACAATATTAACTTTAACTGTAAATGGGAAAATATCCCAATTAGAAGAAAGACTTTATCCAAAAAATTGGATAGAGTCAAGACCCATCAGTGTGCTGCATTCAGGAAACCCATCTCATGTGCAAAGACAAACATAGGCTCAAAATAAAGGGATGGAGGAAGAATTACCAAGCAAATGGAAAGCAAAAAAAAAAAAAGAAGGGTTACAATTTTACTCTCTGATAAAACAAACTTTAAACCAACAAAGATCAAAAGAGACAAAGAAGGGCATTACAAAATGGTAAAGGGATCAATGCAACAAGAAGAGCTACCTATGCTAAATATATATGCACCCAATACAGTAGCACCCACATTCATAAAGCAAGTTCTTAGAGACCTACAAAGAGACTTAGACTCCCACACAATAATAGTGGCAGATTTTAATACCCCACTGTCAATATTAGACAGATCAACAAGATAGAAAATTAACAAGGATATTCAGGACTTGAACACAGCTCTGGACCAAGTGGACTTAATAGACATCTGCAGAACTCACCACCCCAAATCTACAGAATATACATTCTTCTCAGCACTACATTGCACTTATTCTAAAATTGACCACATAATTGGAAGTAAAAAAACTCCTCAGCAAATGCAAAAGAACAAAAATCATAGCAAACAGTCTCTCAGACCACAGTGCAATCAAATGAGAACTCAGGATTAAAAAACTCCCTCAAAACTGCACAATTACATGGAAACTGAACAACCTGCTCCTGAATGACTACTGGGTAAATAATGAAATGAAGGTAGAAATAAAGATGTTCTTTGAGGCCGGGTGTGGTGTCTCATGCCCAAAATCCCAGCACTTTGGGAGGCCGAGGCAGGCAGATCACAAGGTCAGAAGATCGTGACCATCTTGGTCAACGTGGTGAAACCCAATCTCTACTAAAATACAAAAATTAGCCAGTCATGGTGGTGCATGCCTGCAGCTACTTGGGAAGCTGAGGCAGGAGAACTGTTTGAACCCAGGAGGTGGAGGTTGCAGTGAGCTGAGATCACGCCATTGCACTCCAGCCTGGCAACAGAGCAAGATGGTCTCAAAAAAAAAAAAAAAAAAAAAAAAAAAGATGTTTTTTGAAACCAGTGAGAACAAGACACAACGTACAAGAATCTCTGGGACACACTTAAAGCAGTGTGTAGAGGAAAATTTATAGCCCACAAGAGAAAGCAGGAAAGATCTAAAATCAACACCCTAACATCACAATTAAAAGAACTAGAGAAGCAACAGCAAACAAATTCAAAAGCTAGCAGAAGACAAGAAATAACTAAGATCAGAGCAGAACTGAAGGAGACAGAGACATGAAAAACCCATAAAAAAAAATCAATGAATCCAGGAGCTGGTTTTTTGAAAAGATCAACATAATAGATAGACTGTTAGCCAGACCAATAAGGAAGAAAAGAGAGAAGAATCAAATACATGCAATAAAAAATGATAAAGGGGATATCACCAACGATCCCACAGAAATACAAACTACCATCAGAGAATACTATAAACACCTCTACACAAATAAACTAGAAAATCTAGAAGAAATGGATAAATGCCTGGACACGTACACCCTCCTGAGACTGAACCAGGAAGAAGTCAAATCCCTGAGTAGATCAATAACAAGTTCTGAAACTAAAACAGTAATTAATAGCCTACCAACCAAAAAAATCTAGGACCAGATGGATTCACAGCTGAATTCTACCAGAGGTACCAACAGGGGCTGGTCCCATTCCTTCTGAAACTATCCTAAACAATAGAAAAAGAGGGACTCCTCCCTAACTCATTTTATGAGGCCAGCATTATCCTGATACCAAAACCTGGCAGAGACACAACAACAACAAAAAAAGTTTAAGCCAATATCCCTAATGAACACTGATGTAAAAATCCTCAATAAAATACTGGCAAACTGAATCCAGTGGCAGATCAAAAAGCTTATCCAACAGGATCAAGTTGGCCTCATCCCAGGGATGCAAGGCTGGTTCAATACATGCAAATCAATAAAGGTAATCCATCACATAAACAGAACCAATGACAAAAACCACATGATTATCTCACTAGATGCAGAAAAGGCCTTTGACAAAATTCAACAGCTTTTCATGCTAAAAACTCTCAATAAACTAGGTATTGATAGAATGTATCTCAAAATAATAAGAGCTATTTATGACAAACCCACTGCCAATATCTTACTGAATGGGCAAAAACTGGAAGCATACCCTTTGAAAACCAGCACAAGACAAGGATGCCCTCTCTCACCACTCCTATTCAAAATAGTATGGGAAGTTCTGACCAGGCCAATCAGGCAAGAGAAAGAAATAAAGGGTATTCAATTCGGAAAAGAGGAAGTCAAATTGTCTCTGTTTGCAGATGACATGATTGTATATTTAGAAAACCCCATCGTCTCAGCCAAAATTTCCTTAAGCTGATAAGCAACTTCAGCAAAGTCTCAGGATACAAAATCAATGTGCAAAAATCACAAGAATTCCTACACACCAATAATAGACAAACAGAGAGCCAAACCATGAGTGAACTCCCATTCACAATTGCTACAAGAGAATAAAATACCTAGGAATACAACTTACAAGGGACATGAAAGACCTCTTCAAGGAGAACTACAAACCACTGCTCAAGGAAATAAGCACACAAACAAATGGAAAAACATTCCATGCTCATGGATAGGAAGAATTAATATTGTGAAAACGGCCATACTGCCCAAAGTAATTTACACATTCAATGCTATCCCCATCAAGCTACCACTGACTTTCTTCACAGAATTAGAAAAAAACTACTTTAAATTTCATATGGAACCAAAAAAGAGCCCACATAGCCAAGACAATCCTAAGCCAAAAGAACAAAGCCGGAGGCATCATGCTACCTGACTTCAAACTATATTACAAGGCTATAGTAACAAAAACAGCATGGTACTGGTGCCAAAACAGAGATACAAACAAATGGAACAGAACAGAGGCCTCAGAAATAACACTACACATCTACAACCATATGATCTTTGACAAACCTGACAGAAACAAGCAATGGGGAGAGGATTCCCTATTTAATAAATGGTATTGAGAAAACTGGCTAGCCATGTGTAGAAAGCTGAAACTGGACCCCTTCCTTATACCTTATACAAAAATTAACTCAAGATGGATTAAAGACTTAACTGTAAGACCTAAAACCATAAAAACCCTAGAAGAAAACCTAGGCAATACCATTCATGACATATGCATGGGCAAAGACTTCATGACTAAAACGCAAAAAGCAATGGCAACAAAAGCCAAAATTGACAAATGGGATCTAATTAAACTAAAGAGCTTCTGCACAGCAAAAGAAACTACCAGCAGAGTGAACAGGCAACCTACAAAATCGGAGAAAATTTTCGCAACCTACTCTTCTGACAAAGGGCTAATATCCAGAATCTACAGTGAACTCAAACAAATTTACAAGAAAAAAACAAACAACCCCATCAAAAAGTGGGCAAAGGACATGAACAGACACTTCTCAAAAGAAGACATTTACGCAGCCAAAAAACACATGAAAAAATGATCACCATCACTGGCCATCAGAGAAATGCAAATCAAAACCACAATGAGATATCATCTTACACCAGTTAGAATGGCAATCATTAAAAAGTCAGGAAACAACAGGTGCTGGAGAGGATGTGGAGAAATAGGAACACTTTTACACTGTTGGTGGGACTGTAAACTAGTTCAACCAGTGTGGAAGTCAGTGTGGCGATTCCTCAGGGATCTAGAACTAGAAATACCATTTGACCCAGCCATCCCATTACTAGGTATATACCCAAAGGACTATAAATCATGCTGCTATAAAGACACATGCACACATATGTTTATTGCGGCATTATTCACAATAGCAAAGACTTGGAACCAACCCAAATGTCCAACAATGATAGACTGGATTAAGAAAATGTGGCACATATACACCATGGAATACTATGCAGCCATAAAAAATGATGAGTTCACGTCTTTTGTAGGGACATGAATGAAATTGGAAATCATCATTCTCAGTAAACTATTGCAAGAACAAAAAAACAAACACCGCATATTCTCACTCATAGGTGGGAATTGAACAATGAGAACACATGGACACAGGAAGGGGAACATCACACTCTGGGGCCTGTTGTGGGGTGGGGGGAGGGGGGAGGGATAGCATTGGGAGATATACCTAATGCTAGATGACGAGTTAGTGGGTGCAGCGCACCAGCATGGCACATGTATACATATGTAACTAACCTGTACATTGTGCACATGTACCCTAAAACTTAAAGTATAATAATAAAAAAATAAAAGAAAAGGAATTCTTTTGTGTATATATAGATACTTGCATGATACCTGGGGCACTGCCTAGTGGAGCTGTGAGAAGAGGGCCACTGTCCTCCAGAACCCATAATAGTAAATCCACCTACAGTTTGCACCACGCACCTGGAAAAGCCACAGACACTCAATACCAGTCCGTGAAAGCAGCCAGAAGGCAGGCTGTACCCTGTAAAGCCACAGGGGCAGGGCTGCCCAACACCATGGAGACCCACCTCTTGCATTGGCGTGATCCAGATGCAAGACATAGAATAAAAGGAGATCATTTTAGAACTTTAAGATTTGACTGCCCCGCTGGATTTTGGACTTGTATGAGGCCTGTAGCCCCTATGTTTTGGCCAGTTTCTCCCATTTGGAATGGCTATATTTACCCAGTGCCTGTACCTTCATTATCTAGGAAGTAACTAACTTGCTTTTGATTTTACAGGCTCATAGGTGGAAGGGACTTGCCTTGTCTTGGATAAGACTTTGGACTGTGGACTTTTGAGTTAATGTTGAAATGAGTTAAGACTTTGGGGGACTGTTGGGAAGGCATGATTGCTTTTGAAATTTGAGGGCAGGAGATTTGGAGAGGGCCAGGGAGGGAATTATATGGTTTAGATGTGTCCCTACCCGAATCTCATCTTGAATTGTAACTCCCACAGTTCCCAAATGTCATGGGAGGGACTCAGTGGGAGGTAATTGAATGATGGGGTTGGGTCTTTCTCATACTGCTCATGATACTCACGTAGTCTTCTCATGCTGATAGTGAATAAGACTCACAAGATCTGATGGGTTTATAAAGAGGAGTTTCACTGCACAAGCTCTCTGTCTTTGCCTGCTGCCAACCATGTAAGATGTGACTTGCACTTCCTTGCATTCTGCCATGATTGTGAGGCCTCCCCCGCCATGCAGAACTGTAAGTCCGTTAAACTTCTTTTTTCCCCAGTCTCCGTTATGTCTTTATTAGCAGTGTGAAAATGGAACAATACACAGATTTTAGGCTAGGTGCAGTGGTGCATGCCTTTAATCCCAAATTTTGGGAGGCCAAGGCAGGAGGATTGCTTGCATCCAGGAGTTCAAGATCAGCCTGGCAACATAAGGAAATCCCTTCTCTGTGAAATATTTTAAAGACTATCTGGATGTTCTGGCATGCACCTGTAGTGCTACCCACTCAGGAGGCTGAGGTGGGAGGACCCCTAGAGCCCAAGAGTTTGAGGCTACAGTGAACTATGATTCTGCCACTGCACTCCAGACTGGGCAAAGGGATGAGACTCTGTCTCAAAAAAAAAAAAAAAAGAAGAAGAAGACTTTAAATCAAAAGCAGTAAAAAGGAAAAAAAGAAAAGAAAGACAAAGAAGGTCATTATGGAAGCCAGTGTGGCAATTCTTTAAAGATTTAGAACCAGAAATACCATTTGACCCAGGAATCCCATTACTGGTATATGCCCAAAGGAATATAAATTATTCTATTATGAAGATATATGCATGTGTATGTTCACTGCAGCACTATTCACAATAGCAAAGACATGGAATCAACTCAAATGCCCATCAGTGATAGACTGGATAAAGAAAATGTGGTACATATACACCACAGAAAACTATGAACCCATAGAAAGGAATGAGATCATGTCCTTTGCAGGGACATGGATGAAGCTGGGGGCCATTATTCTCAGCAAACAGAACAGAAAACCAAACACCACATGTTCTCACTTATAAGTGGGAGCTAAACAATGAGAACACATAGACACGGAGAGAGGAACAACACTTACTGGAGCCTGCCAGGGAAGGTTGGAGGTGAGAGCATTAGGGAAAAGAGATAATGCATGCTGGGCTTAATACCTAGGTGATGGTTGATAGGTGCAGAAAAATACCATGGCACAGGTTTACCTACATAACAAACTTGCACATCCTGCACATGTACCCCAGAACTTAAAAAATAATAATTATTATTATTATTTTTAAAAAGAAGGTCATTATGTAATTATACAGGGATCCATTCAGCAAGGGGATATAATACTTCCAAATATATATGCACCCCACATCAGGGCACCCAAATTCACAAAACAAAATGTTACTATACCTAAAGAAAGAAACAGACAGCAATACAATAATTGTGGGGGACTTCAACATCCTACTAACAGCACTAGACAGATCATTGAGACAAAAATTCATAAAGAAACATTACAGTTAAATTGGACTTTAGACCAAATGAACTTAATAGACATTTACAGAACATTCTACCAAACAACTACAGAATATACATTCTTTTTATCAGAACATAGAACATCCTCCAAGATAGACCACATGAGGCCAAAAAACAAGTTTTAACAAATGTTTAGGCCAGGCACAGTGGTTCATGACTATAATCTCAGCACTTTGGGAGACCAAGGCAGGACTGCTTGAAGTCAGGCATTAGAGACCAACCTGGGCAACATAGGAGGCCCCATCTCTACAAAAAAATATTTAAAAATAGCCAGGCATGGTGGCACATGCCTGAAGTTCTAGTTACTCAGGAGGCTGAGGCAGGAAGGTTGCTTGGGCCCAGGAGTTTAAGGCTGCTGTGAGCTATGAATGTGCAACTGCACTCTAGCCTGGGCAACAAAGTGAGACCCCCATCTCTAAAACAAACAAATAAATTTTGAAAAATCAAAATCATATCAAGTATCTTCTCAGACCACAGTGGAATAAAGCTAGGAGACAATGCCAAGAGGAACTTCAAAAACTATACAAATACATGGAAATTAAACAGCATGCTCCTGAATTATCACTGAATTAATGAAGAAATTAAGAAGAAAATTAAATTCTTTTAAATAAATGAAAATGAAAACACAACATATGAAAACCTGTGAAATATAGCAGAAGCAGTGCTAAAAGGGAAGTTTGTAGCATTAAATCCCTACATCAAAAAAGTAGAAAGATCACAAATTAACAACCTAATTTCACAACTCAAGCATCTAGAAAAACCAAGATCAAATAAAATTTAAAGTTAGCAGAAGAAAATAAGACCATCAGAGACTATTATGAACAACTATGTGCTCATAAACTAGAAGACATACAGAAAATGAATAAATTCCTGGAAACATATGGCCTCCTGAGATGGAACCAGGAAGAAATAAAACTTCTGAACAAATCAATAATAAGTAGCAAGACTGAACCAATAATAACGAAAAATCTCCAAAAGGGGAAAATAAAAAGCCCTGGGCCAGACATATTCACAGCCAAATCTGCCAAACATACAAAGAACTAACGTCAATTCTCCTGAAACTACTCCAAAAAATTGAGGAAGAGGGAATTCTCCCTAACTCATTCTATGAAGCCAGTATCATACTGGTACCAAAACCAGACAAGGACAATAAAACAAGAAAACTACAGACCAATATCCCTGATGAACATAGGATGCAAAATCCTCAACAAAATACTGTCAAATCAAATCCCACAGCACATCCAAAAGATAACACACCCTGGTCAGGTGAGGTTTTCCCAGGGATGCAAGAATGATTCAATATACACAAATCAATAAATGTGATACATCACATAAACAGCATTAAGGACAAAACCAAATGGTCATCTCAATAGATGCAAAAAAATTCTGTAAAATTTAGCATCCCTTTATAGTAAAAATCCACAAGAAACTAGCCATAGAAGGAATATTCTTCAACATAATAAAAGCAATATATGACAAACCCACAGGCAACTCACTCTTTTTTTTCAATGCCTTTTTCCTGCAGTAGGGAAACTCATTCTTAATGGGGAAAAGTTTAAGGTAGTCCCTCTAAGAACTGGAACAAGACAAGGGTGTCCACTCTCACCATTCCTATTCACCATAGTACTAGAAGTCCTTGCCAGAGAAATCAGGCAAGAGAAAAACAATAAAAGCCATCCAAATGGAAAAGAAGAAGTCAAATTATCCCTGTTCCCTGATTATATGATCTTATATCTAGAAAACCTTAAAGACTTCACCAAAAAAACTCTCAGCTTTGATAAATTCAGTAAAGTTTCAGGGCACAAAATTAATGTGCAGAAATCAGTAGGATTTCTATACACCAATAATGATCTAGCTGTGGACCAAATCATGAAAGCAATCTCATTTACAATAGCTGCAAAAAATACCTAGGAATATATTTAAACAAGGAGGTGAAAGATCTCTGCAAGGAGAACTGCAAAGCACTGATGAAAGAAGTCATAGACAACACAAGCAAATTGAAAAACATCCCATGCTCATGGATTAGAAGAACCAATATTGTTAAAATGATTATACTGCCCAAAGCAACCTACAGATTCAATGTAATATCTATCGAATTACCAATGTCATTTTCTACCAACAATCCTATAATTCATACGGAACCAAAAAGGAGCCCAAATAGCCAAAGAAATCCTAAGCAAAAAGAATAACGCTGGAGGCATCACATTACCTGACTTCAAATTATACAACAATGCTATAGTAACCAAAACAGCATGGTACTGGTACAAAAAATAGGCACATAGATCAATGTAACAGAATGAAAAACCCAGAAATAAGCCACATACTTACAATCAATTGATCTTTGACAAAGTCAGCAAAAATATACATTGGGGAAAGGACATCCTATTCAATAAATGGTGCTGGGAAAATTGGATAGCCATATACAGAAGAATGAAACTGAACCAAAACTTTTCACCATATATATAAATTAACTGAAGATGGATTAGAGACCTAAATGTAAGATCTGAAACTATAAAATTCTTAGAAGAAAACCTAAGAAAAATTCTTCTGTACCTAGCCTAGGAAAAGAATTTATGACCAAGTCTTCAAAAGCAACTGCAACAAAAACAAAAATAGACAAATGAGACTTAATTAAACAAAAAAATACTTCTGCACAGCAAAGGAAAAAAGCAACAGAGTAAACAAGACAACCTACAGAATAGGAAAAAATATTTGCAAATTATGCATCTGACAAAGGGTTAATATCCACAATCTAACAAATAGCCCCATTAAAAAGTAGACAAAGGGCAAAAACAGATATTTTTCAAAAGAAGACATATAAGTGACCAACAAACATACTAAAAATGAAAAACATCACTAATTATCAGATGTATTCGTTCATTTTGCCTTTCTATAAAGGAATACCTGAGGTTGGGTAATTTATAAAGAAAAGAGGCTTATTTTGGCTCACAGTTCTGCCAACTGTACAAGAATGATACTGCCATCACCTTCTGCTGGTGAGGGCCTCAAGAAGTCTACAATCATAGTGGAAGATGAAGGGGGAGAAGGCATGTCACATGGCGAGAGAGCGGGCAAGAGAGAGGGGAGAAGGTGCCAGGATCGTTTTGGCACTCAGCTCTCACATGAACTAGTAAAGTGAGAACTTACTCATTACCCATGAAGAGGGCACCAAGACATTCATGGAGGATCCGCCTCCATGACCCAAACACTTCCTACTAGGCCCCACCTTCAACAATGAGGATCATATTTCAACATGAGATTTGGAAGGGACAATCATCCAAACTATGTCATTCTGCCACTGGCTCCCCAAATCTCATGTCCTTCTGACATTGCAAAATACAATTATTCTTGATAGTCCCCCAAAATCTTAACTCCTTCCAACAACAACTCAAAATTCCAAAGTTAAAAGTCTCATCTGAGACTCAAGTCAAGTTCCTTATAGCCGTGAGCCTGTAAAATTGAAAAATAAGTTATTCCACAATACAATGGTGGTACAGGCATTGGATAAACACTCCCATTTCAAAAGGGAAAAATTGGCCAAAAGAAAGGGTTAACAGGCCCCACCCAAGTCTGAAACCAAGAAGAGAAGACATTAAGTCTTAAAACTCCCAAATAATTTTTGACTCCATGTCCCTCATTCTGGACACACAGGTGCAAATGGTAAGCTCTCAAGGCCTTGGGCAGCTCCACCCCTGTGGTTTTGCTGGGCATATCCCCTGTGTCTGCTCTTACCAGTTGGAGTAGAATGCACGCAGCTTCAAGAGTGCACACTGTCAGTGGCTCTACAATTCTGGGGTCTGGAGGGGAGCAGCACCTTTCCCACAGGTCCAGTAAGCAGTGCCCCAGTAGTGACTGTGTGAGGGCTCCAATCCCTCATTCTCCCTTGGCACTGCCGTAGTAGAGGCTTTCTGTGGGGACTCTACCCCTGCGGCAGGCTTCTGCCTGGGCACCCAGGCGTTGCCATACATCCTCTGAAATCCAGGTGGAAGCTGCCAAGCCTGCACCACTCTTGCATTCTGTACATCTGCAGACTTACCACCACATGAACACTGCCAAGGTTTATGGCTTGAGCCTTATGAAGCAGTGGCTCTTTTGTGCAGTGTTGAAATAATTTAGCTTCACATTCCCCTTGAAAACTGGCACAAGACAAGGAAGCCCTCTTTCACCATTTCTATTCTACATAGTATTAGAAGTCCTAGCCAGAGCAATCAAGCAAGAGAAAGAAATAAAGCCCTGGTTCCTTCATGCAGCCTGCATGAGGAAACATTAGGACTTTCAAGACAATATTTTCAATAAGAAGGATTAAGAAATGTCTTTTGGAAAACTGAAGAAGCCCTCTAATATTTTGAACAATTGACCTCTTTGAGAGCATGTTACAAAAGATAAACACTATGTGAGTTCCTAACCTTAAAAAAAAGAAATATCTTTTCCAGTTTGATCACTAAAAGTAGCCCAACAGCAGCAGAACTTTTGCCTACCACAAACATTTTTGCTACTCCCTAAGCCCAGATTTTAAGCATGAATACTGCTCACCACAGAAGGAACCAGGGCTTACTGGAGGAACCAGGGCTTATTGGAGGAAGTTTACCTAAACTTTGGAAACAGAAAAAAGATCCAACATAAACTTAATATTTCCAGAAAGCAAGGATGCTGTCAAAATTGAATGATTCTTTAAGGACCAAGAAACCAGTTTATAGAGGCTCTTTTGTGCAGTGTTGAAATAATTTAGCTTCACATTCCCCTTGAAAACTGGCACAAGACAAGGAAGCCCTCTTTCACCATTTCTATTCTACATAGTATTAGAAGTCCTAGCCAGGGCAATCAAGTGAGAGAAAGAAATAAAGGCCATCCAAATAAGAAGAGAGGGAGTCAAACTATCTCTGTTTGCAGACAACATGATTCTATATCTAGAAAACCGTAGTCTTGGACAAAAAGCTCCTTCACCTGATAAATGACTTCAGCAAAGTTGCAGGCTACAAAATCAATGTACAAAAATCACTAGCTTTCCTATACACCAACAACAACCAAACTGAAAGCCAAATCAGAAATGCAATCCCATTCACAGTTGCCACAAAAAGAATAAAATACCTAGGAATACAGCTAACCAGGGAGGTAAAAGATCTCTACAATGAGAATTACAAAACACTGCTTGAAGAAATCAAAGAAGACACAAACAAATGGCAAAACATCCCCTGCTCACCTTGCAGGTCGCTCCTTTCCCAGCCGTGGATAAAAACTGAAGCCAGGAATCTAATAAGGAATGCTGATTTCCTCAGTTCCATTTTGAGGAATGGGGAAGGCTATTCTAAAGAAAAAAATAGGACTTGTTTTCTAGGCAGATCTGCAAGCCTGGCTTTAAGAGCACAAGGAGGGAAAGTAACGAAAGGGCTGGACTACTATAAAAGTTACAAATACGTAGTTAGACCAATAGATTTATATAGTCAGGTTTTTGTCATGTAATTTATTAACTGTTACAGAAACACAACTAAGAATATCAAGTATTTCTCTGGCTCTTGACAGAAAAAATCAGCTGACCTAACTCTTTGCTGTCAAAAGAGTTGGCGTTTCCTGTTCTGGATGCTACTGCCAAACGTTCTGGTACTTAGAGTCGGGATGCACAATTTCAACCACTGACTTATCAATGCAGCCACCTGTGTATTGCAATTGGCCATTACCTTAAGCACTGAGCCACCCAGGTTTAGTTCAGCCATTTCAAGAAGTATATTTAACATCGGTAGCTCTGCTTTATTATAATGCAGCAGAGGTACTCTTCTGTCCCTTCCATTTATAGTTCTCTGAGAGAGTTCTATTTTTTGGTTTTGTTTTGTGTTTTCTTTTGCATTTTATATCTTGTATTTATCCCTGAACATGTTTTGTACTCTTTTTTTAAGAAAAGGAATTCTTTTGTGTATATATAGATACTTGCATGATACACTGTAGTCAAAATTCAGTTCCTCGAACAGTCTTGCTGCTGTCAGGTGTTATGTACTCCATCCATCATAATTGTATGAAACACATTTCATATGTAAATAAACATGGGACATTTGGCCCTTGGAAAAAAATCCCCTGCTCATAGGAAGAATCAGTATTATTAAAATGGCTATACTGCCCAAAGCAATTTACAGATTTAATGCTATTCCTATCTAACTATCGATGACATTCTTCACAGAACTAGAAGAAACTATTTTAAAATTCATATGGAACCAAAAAAAGAGCCTGAATAGCCAAGGTAATCCTAAGCGAAAAGAACAAAGCTTGAGGCATCATGTTACCCAACTTTAAACTATACTACAAGACTACAGTAACCAAAACAGCATGGTACTGGTACAAAAATAGGCACATAGACCAATGGAACAAAATAGCCCACAAATAAGGCCACACATCTATGAGCATCTGATCTTCAACAAAGCTGACAAAAACAAGCAATGGGGAAAAGACTCCCTATTCAGTAAATGATGCTGGGATAACTGGCTAGCCATATGCAGAAGACCGAGGCTGGACCCCTTCCTTTCACTATACACAAAAATCAACTCAAAATGGATTAAAGACTTAAATGTAAAACCTAAAACTATAAAAACCCTGGAAGACAACCTAGGCTATACCAACCGGGACACAGGAACCGGCAAATATTTCATGACAAAGACAACAAAATCAATCACAATGAAAGCAAAAATTGATAAGTGGGATCTAATTAAACTAAAGAGCTCCTGCACAGCAAAAGAAACTCTTGACAGAGTAAACAGACGGTCTACAGAATGAGAGAAAAATTTTGCAAACTACGCATCTGACAAAGGTCTAATATCCATTATCTATAAGGGAATTAAAAAAATTTACAAGGGAAAAACAAACAACCCCATTAAAAAGCGGGCAAAGGACATGAACAGACACTTCTCAAAAGAAGTACAGCCAAGAAGCATATGAAAAAAGCTCAGTATCCCTTATCACTAGAGAAATGCAAATCAAAACCACAATGAGATACTATCTCATACTAGTCAGAATGGCTATTACTAAAGAGTCAAAAAATAACAGATGCTGGCAAGACTCAGTAGAAAATGGAACACTTATACACTGTTGGTGGGAGTGTAAATTAGTTCAAACATTGTGGAAAGCAGTATGGTGATTCCTCAAAAAGCTAAAAGCAGAACTACCATTCAACCTATCAATCCCATTATTGGGTATATACCCAGAGGAATATAAATCATTATACCATAAAGACCATGAATTATTGGAATTTCACATACTCACATGCAGTGTTCCACATTTCACACGTACGCATATGTTCACTGCAGCACTATTCACAATAGCAAAGACAAGGAATTAGCCTAAATGCCCGTCAATAACAGATTAGATAAAGAAAATGTGGTACATATACACCATGGAATACTATGCAGCCATAAAAAAGAATGAGATGATGTCTTTTGCAGGAACATGAATGGAGCCAGAAGCTATTATCCTTAGCAAGCTAATGCAGGAACAGAAAACCAAATACCACATATTCTCACTTTTCAGTGGGAGCTAAATGATAACTTATGAACACAAAGAAGGAAACAACAGACACCAGGTTCTACTTGAGGGTGGGAGTAGAAGGAGGGGGAGGAGCAGAAAAGATAACTAATTATTGGGTACTAGGCTTAATACCAGGGGGATGAAATAATCTGTACAACAAACCCCCATGACACATGTTTAGCTATGTAACAAACCTTCACAGGTACCCCCAAACCTAAAAGTTAAAAAATACATTAATTAATTAATTAAAATGAGTAAATTAAAAAAGAAAGGACTTCATTTCAAGGAGAAGCATAAAGAGGGAAGGGATGGAAAGAATAAAGGGGAAGAATGGTTAATTGAAATAGTTGAGTATGTGAAATTCCAATAATTCATAATAACATTCAAAAGAGAAAAGTTAATACAAAGTATGCAAAAAGGGGAGTTACAAATACCAAAATTAAAGGTGAATGATTACTTTTTGTTGATTTAAAACAAGCAGAAGATTTTTTTCTTTGAACTTTTATTTTATTTTCTTAATCATGAAAGGAGACTGCTTATTCCTAAAGTTTTGCAATAAACATAGTAAATAGGCTCCAGGCAGTTGTTCTAGTCTCCCTTATCCTTGTCCTCATATAAGTTGATGCTTACTTTCTCATAATCCTTCTCCAGCACACCCATATCCTCCAGGGCCTCAGAGAACTCTCCCTCCTCCATGCCTTTGCCCACATCCCAGTGCACAAACGCCCTCTTGGCATACATCAGGTTGAACTTGTGGCCCGGGCAGGCCCAGGCCTCAGCGATAGTGATCATGTTGCTCAGCATGCACATGGCATGCTGCACCTTGGCCAGGTCACCACCAGGCACCACAGTGGGCTACTGGTAGTTGATACCAACCTTGAAGCCCATGGGGAACCAGTCCACAAACTGAATGCTACACTTGGTCTTGATGGTGGCAATGGCAGTATAAACATCCTTGAACATCACATCTCCACGGTACAGCAGGCAGCAGCCCATGTACTTGCTATGCCGGGGGTCACACTTCTCCATCTGGTTGGTAAGCTCAAAGCAGGCTTTGAGGATCTTGGCCACCGACAGCTGTTCATGGTATACCTTCTCTACAGAGATGATGAGTGAGTAGGTGGCCGGGGGAAGTGGATGTGAGGGTAAGGTGTGAGGTTGGTCTGGAACTTCATCAGGTCCACATTGAGGGGCCCATCAAAGTGCAGAGAAGATGTGACAGAGGAGATGATTTGGTAATGTGGCAGTTGAGGTTGGCTGAGGTTGGATGCTCGATGTCCAGGTTGCAGCGGCAAATGTCATAGATGGCTTCATTGTCCACCATGAAGGCACAGTCTGAGTGCTCCAGGGTAGTGTGAGTGATCAGGATGAAATTTTAGAGCTGGACCACAATTATAGACAGCTGTGGGGGCTGAGTAGATAAAGAATTCCAGCTTGGATTTCTTGCCGTAGTCAACAGAAAGCCACTCCATGCGGAGTGAGGTGAAGTCAGAGCCAGTGCCCCCAACAAAGCTGTGGAACACCAGGAAGTCCTGAGGTTCTGTGCAGTGGTCAGAAGCTTGCAGATCTGGTCTATCCCCAGGTCAGTGATCCCCTGGCCAATGGTATAGTGACTACAGGCATAGTTGTTGGCAGCATCCTCTTTCCCAGTAATGAGTTGCTCTGGGTGGAAGAGCTGTCAGTTTGGGACATCAGATCTCATCAATGACCACAGGCTCCAGATCCACAAAATCTGGCTGGGGCACATGTTTTCCAGCACCGGTTTCACACAAGAAGGTGGTGAAGAAGTCATCCTCTCCACCAATGACCTTGTCACTGGGCATCTGTCCATCAAGCTGAGTCTAATGTTTCAGGCAGTAGAGCTCCCAGCAGGCATTGCCCATCTGGACACCTGCCTGCCATATGTGGACTGAGATGCATTCACACATGGTGAGTCCGGGCAGTGTATCTGACATAGAGTCATGGTGACAGGTGTCAGTGAGAACTGAATTTTTAAGTTCAAGGAGTATATGTGCAGGTTTGTTACACGAGTAAACTGCATGTTGCAGGGGTTTGGTGTACAGATAATTTTGTCACCCAGGTAATCAGCATAATACCCCATAGTTTTTTAATCCTCACCTTCCTCCCACTCTCCACCTTCAAGTAGGCCCCAGAATCTATTATTCCCTTCTTTGTGTCCATATGTACTCAATGTGTAGCTCCCACTTATAAGTGAGAATATGCAGTATTTGGTTTTCCATTCCTGTGTTAATTTGCTTAGGACAATGGCCTTCAGGTCCAACCATGTTGCTACAAAAACATGATTTCGTTCTTTTTTATGGCTGCATAGTATTCCATGGTATATATGTACCACATTTTCTTTATCCAGTCCACCACTGATGGGCATCTAGGTTGATTCCATGTCTTTGCTACTGTGAACAGTGCTGTGATAAACATGCACTTGCATGTGTCTTTATGATAGAAAGATTTATATTCCTTTGGGTATATATCCAGTAATGGGATTGCAGGGTCAAATGGTAGCATCTTTTAAGTTCTTTGAGAAATCTCCAGACTGCTTTCTACAGTGGCTGAACTAATTTATATTTCCACCACGTATACGTTTTCCCTTTTCTCTACAACCTCGCCAACATCTGTTATTTTCTGTTAACAGGTGTTAATAATAACATCTGTTATTATTTTTTAATAATAACCATTCTGACTGGTGTGAAATGGCATCCCATCATGGTTTTGATTTACATCTCCCTGATGATTAGTGATATTGAGCATTTTTTCATATGCTTGTTGGCCATCTATATGTCTTCTTTTGAGAAGTATCTATTCATGTCCTTTGCCCATTTATAAATGGGGGGTTGTTTGTTTTTTGCTTGTTGATTTGCTTAAGTTCCTTATAGATTCTGGATGTTAGGC
The DNA here is from genome assembly GCF_000001405.40 of Homo sapiens. Taxonomy (NCBI): domain Eukaryota; kingdom Metazoa; phylum Chordata; class Mammalia; order Primates; family Hominidae; genus Homo; species Homo sapiens. Next base: position 63,045,805 of record NC_000011.10, on the reverse strand, counting down.
CTCTGTCAGATGTATGGTTTATAAACATTTTCTCCCATTCTGTAGGTTGTCTATTTGCTCTCTTGATAATGTCTTCTGTGCAGAAGTTCTTTCGTTTAATTAGATCCCCCTTGTCAATTTTTGGTTTTGTGGCAATTGCTTTTGGAGTCTTCATTATGAAGTCTTTGCCAGAGCCAATGTCCAAAATTGTATTTCCTAGGTTCTCTTCTACAGTTTTTATAGTTTTAGGTTTTACGCTTAAGTTTTAATCCAACCTGAGTTGATTTTTGTATATGATGAAAGGTAGGGGTCCAGTTTCAATCTTCTGCATATGGCTAGCCAGTTATCCCAGCACCATTTATTGAACAGGGAGCCCTTTCCCCTTTGCTTGTTTTTGTTGACCTTGTCAAAGATCAGGTGGTTGTACGTATATAGCTTTATTTCTGGGTTCTTGCCCTGTTCCACTGGGCCTTTGTATCTGTTTTTGTACCAGTACTATGTTTTTGGTTACTGTAGCCTTGTAGTATAACTTGAAGTTGAGTAGTGTGATGCCTTCAGCTTTGTTCTTTTTGCTTAGGATTGCTTTGGCTATTCAAGCTCTTTTTTAATTCCAAATGCATTTTAGAACAATTTGTTCTAATTCTGTGAAAAAAAAGTCTTTGGTAATTTGATAGTACTATCATTGGGTCTATAAATTGCTTTGAACAGGATGGCCATTTTAACAATATTTATTCTTCCTAGCCATAAGCATGGAATAGTTTTCCCATTTTTGTTTGTGTCATCTCTGATTTCTTTGAGCAGCATTTTGTAATTCTGGTTGTAGAGATCTTCCACCTCCCTGGTTAGCTGTATTCCTAGGTATTTTATTCTTTTTATGGCTACTATAAATGAGATTGTGTTCTTGATTTGGCTCTCAGTTTGGCTGTTATTGGTATATAGAAATGCTACTGATCTTCAGGCCTGGCACGGTGGCTCATTCCTGTAATCCCACCACTTTGGGAGGCCGAGGCATGTGGTTCACGAGGTCAGGAGATCAAAACCATCCTGGCCAACACGGTGAAACTCTGTCTCTACTAAAAATACAAAAAATTAGTCAGGCATGGTGGGATGCACCTGTAGTCCCAGCTACTCAGGAGGCTGAGGCAGGAGAATTGCTTAGAATCCTGGAGGCAGAGGTTGCAGTGAGCAGAGATTGTGCCACTGCACTCCAGCAGCCTGGGTGACAGAGCAAGACTCCGTCTCAAAAAAAAAAAAAAAAACAGAAATGCTACTGATTTTCATTCATTGATTTTTGCTGAAGTTGTTTATCAGATCTAGGAGCCTTTGGGCAGAGACTATGGAGGCTTCTAGGTATATAATCATATCATCTGTGAAGAAAGGTCATTTGACTTCTCTTCCTGTGTGGATGCCCAATTTTCTCTTGCCTGATTGCCCTGGCCAAGACTTCTCTACTCTGTTTAATAGGAGTGGTGAGAATGGGCATCCTTGTCTTATTCTGGTTCTCAAGAGGAATGCTTCCAGCTTTTGCCCATTCTGTATGATACTGGCTGTGGGCTTTTCAGTGGTGGCTTTTATTATTTTGAGGTATGTTCGTTTGATGCTTAGTTTGTTGAGGATTTTTAATATAAAGTGATGTTGAATTATATCAAAGGCCTCTTCTGCATCTATTGAGATAATCACGTGGTTTTTGTTTTTAGTTCTGTTTATATGATGAGTCACATTTATTGATTTGCATATGTTGAAGCAACCTTGCATTCCAGGAATAAAGTCTACTTAATCATGGTGGATTAGCTTTTTGATGTGTTGCTGGATTTGGTTTGTTAGTGTTTTGCTGATAATTTTTGCATCTATGTCCATCAGAGATATTGGCCTGAAGTTTTTTTTCCATTGTGTCTCTGCCAGATTTTGGTATCAGAATGATGCTGGCCTCATAGAATGAGTTAAAGACAAGTCCCTTCTCCTTGATTTTTAGGAATAGTTTCAGTAGGAATGGTACCGGCTCTTCTTTATACATCTGGTAGAATTCGGCTGTGAATTCGTCTGGTCCAGCACTTTTGTCTTCTTGGTAGGTTTCTTTTGTTATTGATTCTATTTCAGAACTTGTTATTGGTCTGCTCAAGGTTTTCTTTTCTTCCGGGTTCAATTTAGAGTGGTTGTATGTTTTCAGGAATTTATCCATTTCTTCTAGGTTTTCTAATTGTATGCATTGAGGTATTTATAATAGTCTCTGAGGGTTTTTGTATTTCTGTGGGGCCAGTGGTAATGCTCCCTTTGTCATTTATGATTCTGTTTTTAGGGATCTTCTCTCTTTTTTATTAGTCTGGCTAGTCTATCAATCTTATTTTTTCAAACAACCAGCTTTTGGTTTCAATTATCTTACATATGGTTTTTCTCATCTCCATTCCATCCAATTCCACTCGGATTTTGGTTATTATTTTCTTAAGTAGAAGAATATTTATATACCTGGACTTTTTGTTTCTTCTAGTAAATATATGTCTGTCTATAAGTAATTAATATGCACTGAATTCCATTTGTGTATGTAAAGAAGGGTATAAGCCAAATAGCCTGGAAAGAGTAGGAGGCATATGAAGAACAGGAGGGACTAACCAGCATCAATTGTAAATCAAGTAATTTATTCAACAGTGAATCAGCATAGATGGTCAAACAAAATGGCCAAGTGCGAGTGGTAGGTGTCAACAGTGTATTGCAAAGTGATTCATCAGTTATATAAAAAAAAGAACAGAACTAACTCCCCAAACTTCATCACGCATCTCCTAGGAGATGAAACTTCCACATGGCACTACTAAATATAAAAAGATGCTAATAAGGCAAACAAAAGTTTTTAATAATACTAACATATCAGTTATGCATAATCATAATGATAGGACACCACTATAGGGGATTCTAAAAGTGCATCCCTGGGGGAGGTTCCAGGCTATAAAATCCAAAAATCTAGTTGACATAACAAGTTAAGTTTAACTACAAAGAAGGAAGCAAAGCCTGATGACCAGTGGCTTGGGTCTGAATCACCTTGGAAATCCCCTGCCCTGACAAAAGCCCAGATTATTTAGCTCAGATTTGTTTTTTTAAGACAGAGTTTTGCTCTTGTTGCCCAGTCTGGTACAATCTTGGCTCACTGCAACCTCTGCCTTCTAGTTTCAAGCGATTCTCCTGACTCGGTCTCCCGAGTAGCTGGGATTACAGGCACCCACCATATTTTTGTATTTTTAGTAGAGACAGGGTTTCACCATATTGGCCAGGCTGGTCTCGAACTCCTGACCTCGTGATCCCCCACCTCGGCCTCCCAAAGTGCTGGGATTACAGGCGTGAGCCACCACGCCCGGCCTTAACTGAGATTATTTAACCTCAGCTGGTTTAAGAATTTGTGGCAGAGGGGAAGTTCCAAGATGGCCGAACAGCAACAGCTCCAGTCTACAGCTGCCAGCATAAGCCACACGGAAGATGGGTGATTTCTGCATTTCCAACTGAGGTACCGGGTTCATCTCACTGGGGCTTGTCAGACAGTGGGTGCAGGACAGTGGGTGCAGCCCACTGTGCATGACCCAAAGCAGGGCAAGGCATCATCTCACCCGGGAAGTGCAAGGGGTCAGTGAATTCCCTTTCCTGGCCAATGGAAGCTGTGACAGATGGCACTTGGAAAATTGGGTCACTCCCACCCTAATACTGAGCTTTTCCAATGGTCTTAGCAAATGGCACACCAGGAGGTTATATCCCACGCCTGGCTTGGAGGGTCCCACGCCCACGGAGTCTCACTCATTGCTAGCACAGCAGTCTGAGATCAAACTGCAAGGCGGCAGTGAGGCTGGGGGAGGGGTGCCTGCCATTGCTGAGGCTTGAGTAGGTAAACAAAGCGACCAGGAAGCTTGAAATGGGTGGAGCCCACTGCAGCTCAAGGAGGCCTGCCTGCCTCTGGAGACTCCACCTCTGAAGGCAGGGCATAGCCAAACAAAAGGCAGCAGAAACCTCTGCAGACTTAAATGTCCCTGTCTGACAGCTTTGAAGAGAGTAGTGGTTCTCCCAGCACAGAGTTTGAGATATGAGAACGGACAGACTGCCTCCTCAAGTGGGTCCCTGCCCCCCGAGTAGCCTAAATGGGAGGCACCCCCAGTAGGGGCAGGCTGACACCTCACACAGCCGGGTACCCCTCTGAGATGAAGCTTCCAGAGGAATGATCAGGCAGCAACATTTGCTGTTCAGCAATATCCGCTGTTCTGCAGCCTCCGCTGCTGATACCCAGGCAAACAGGGTCTGGAGTGGACCTCCATAAACTCCAACAGACCTGCAGCTGAGGGTCTTGACTGTTAGAAGGAAAACTAACAAACAGAAAGGACATCCACAACAAAACCCCATCTGTACATCACCATCATCAAAGACCAAAGGTAGATAAAACCACAAAGATGGGGAAAAAACAGAGCAGAAAAGCTGAAAATTCTAAAAATCAGAGCGCCTCTCCCCCTCCAAAGGAATGCAGCTCCTCGCCAGCAATGGAACAAAGCTGGATGGAAAATGACTTTGACGAGTTGAGAGAAGAAGGCTTCAGATGATCAAACTTCTCTGAGCTAAAGGAGGAAGATCGCACTCATCACAAAGAAGCTAAAAACCGTGAAAAAAGATTAGACAAATGGCTAACTAGAATAACCAGTGTAGAGAAGTCCTTAGATGACCTGATGGAGCTGAAAACCATGGCATGAGAACTATGTGACGAACGCACAAGCTTCAGTAGCTGATTTGATCAACTGGAAGAAAGGGTATCAGTGATGGAAGATGAAATGAATGAAATGAAGTGAGAAGAGAAGTTTAGAGAAAAAAGAGAAAAAAGAAATGAACAAAGACTGCAAGAAATATGGGACTATGTGAAAAGACCAAATCTACATCTGACTGGTGTACCTGAAAGTGACGGGGAGAATGGAACCAAGTTGGAAAACACTCTGCAGGATATTATGCAGGAGAACTTCCCCAATCTAGCAAGGCAGGCCAACATTCAAATTCAGGAAATACAGAGAATGCCACAAAGATACTCCTCAAGAAGAGCAACTCCAAGACACATAATTGTCAGATTCACCAAAGCTGAAATGAAGGGAAAAATGTTAAGGGCAGCCAGAGAGAAAGCTTGGGTTACCCACAAAGGGAAGCCCATCAGACTAACAGCAGATCTCTCGGCAGAAACTCCACAGGCCAAAAGAGAGTGGGGGCCAATATTCAACATTCTTAAAGAAAAGAATTTTCAACCCAGAATTTCATACCCAACCAAACTAAGCTTCATAAGTGAAGGAGAAATAAAATTCTTTACACACAAGCAAAACTGAGAGATTTTGTCACCACCAGGCCTGCCCTACAAGAGCTCCTGAAGGAAGCACTAAACATGGAAAGGAACAACCAGTACCAGCCACTGCAAAAACATGCCAAATTGTAAAGACCATCAATGCTAGGAAGCAACCGCATCAACTAATGAGCAAAATAACCAGCTAACATCATAATGACAGGATCAAATTCACACATAACAATATTAACCTTAAATGTAAATGAACTAAATGCTCCAATTAAAAGACACAGACTGGCAAATTGCATAAAGAGTCAAGACCCATCAGTGTGCTGTATTCAGGAGACCCATCTCACATACAGAGACACACATAGGCTCAAAATAAAAGGATGGAGGAAGATCTACCAAGCAAATGGAAAACAAAAAAAGGCAGGGGTTGCAATCCTAGTCTCTGATAAAACAGACTTTAAACCAACAAAGAACAAAAGAAACAAAGAAGGCCATTACATAATGGTAAAGGGATCAATTCAACAAGAAGAGCTAACTATCCTAAATATATATGCACCCAATACAGGAGCACCCAGATTCATAAAGCAAGTCCTTAGAGATCTACAGAGACTTAAGCTCCCACACAATAATAATGGGAGACTTTAACACCCCACTGTCAACATTAGACAGATCAATGACACAGAAAGTTAAGAAGGATATCCAGGAATTGAACTCAGCTCTGCACCAACTGGACCTAATATACATCTACAGAACTCTCCACCCCAAATCAACAGAATATACATTCTTCTCAGCACCACATCACACTTATTCCAAAATTGACCACATAATTGCAAGTAAAGCACTCCTCAGCAAATGTTAAAGAACAGAAATTATAACAAACTGTCTCTCAGACCACAGTGCAATTAAACTAGAACTCAGGATTAAGAAACTCACTCAAAACCGCTCAACTACATGGAAACTGAATGACTACTGGGTACATAATGAAATGAAGGCAGAAATAAAGATGTTCTTTGAAACCAATGAGAACAGAGACACAACATACCAGAATCTCTGGGACACATTTAGAGCAGTGTGTAGAGGGAAATTTATAGCACTAAATGCCCACAAGAGAAAGCAGGAAAGATCTAAAATTGACACCCTAACATCACAATTAAAAGAACTAGAGGAACAAGAGCAAACACATTCAAAGGCTAGCAGAAGGCAAGAAATAACTAAGATCAGAGCAGAACTGAAGGAGATAGAGACACAAAAAACCCTTCAAAAAATCAATGAATCCAGGAGCTGGTTTTTTGAAAAGATAGACCGCTAGCAAGACTAATAAAGAAGAAAAGAGAGAAGAATCAAATAGACTCAATAAAAAATGATAAAGCGGATATCACCACCGATCCCACAGAAATACAAACTATCATCAGATAATACTATAAACACCTCTATAAAAATAAACTAGAAAATCTAGAAGAAATGGATAAATTCCTCGACACATACACCTTCCCAAGACTAAACCAGGAAGAAGTTGAATCCCTGAATAGACCAATAACAGGCTCCGAAATTGAGGCAATAATTAATAGCCTACCAACTAATAGAAGTCCAGGACCAGAGAGATTCACAGCCGAATTCTACCAGAGGTAAAAGGAGGCGCTGGTACCATTCCTTCTGAAAATATTCCAATCAACAGAAAAAGATGGAATCCTCCCTAACTCATTTTATGAGGCCAGCATCATCCTGATACCAAAGCCTGGCAGAGACATAACAAAAAAAGAGAATTTTAGACCAATATCCCTGATGAACATCGATGCAAAAATCCTCAATAAAATACTGGCAAACTGAATCCAGCAGCAAATCAAAAAGCATAACTATCATGTTCAAGTGGGCTTCATCCCTGAAATGCAAGGCTGGTTCAACATTCACAAATCAATAAATGTAATCCAGCATATAAACAGAACCAAAGACAAAAACCACATGATTATCTCAATAGATGCAGAAAAGGCCTGCGACAAAATTCAACATCCCTTCATGCTAAAAACTCTCAATAAATTAGGTATTGATGGGACGTATCTCAAAATAATAAGAGCTATTTATGACAAACCCACAGCCAATATCATACTGAATGGGCAAAAGCTGGAAGCATACCCTTTGAAAACTGGCACAAGACAGGGATGCCCTCTCTCACCACTCCTATTCACATGCTGTTGGAAGTTCTGGCCAGGGCAATCAGGCAGGAGAGAGAAATGAAGAGTATTCACTTAGGAAAAGAGGAAGTCAGATTGTCCCTGTTTGCAGATGACATGATTGTATATTTAGAAAACCCCATTGTCTCAGCCTAAAATCTCCTTAAGCTGATAAGCAACTTCAGCAAAGTCTCAGGATACAAAATCAATGTGCAAAAATCACAAGCATTCTTATACACCAATAACAGATACACAGAGAGCCAAATCGTGAGTGAACTCCCATTCACAACTGCTTCAAAGAGAATAAAATACCTAGGAATCCAACTTACAAGGGATGTGAAGGACCTCTTCAAGGAGAACTACAAACCACTGCTCAAAAACATAAAACAGGACACAAACAAATGGAAGAACATTCCATGCTCATGGATAGGAAGAATCAATATCATGAAAATGGCCATACTGCCCAAGGTCATTTATAGATTCAGTGCCATCCCCATCAAGCTACCAATGACTTTCTTCACAGAATTAGAAAAAACTACTTTAAAGTTCATATGGAACCTAAAAACAGCCCACATTGCCAAGTCAATCCTAAGCCAAAAGAACAAAGCTGGAGGCATCATGCTACCTGACTTCAAACTATACTACAAGGCTACAGTCACCAAAACAGCATGGTACTGGTACCAAAACAGAGATATAGATCAATGGAACAGAACAGAGCCCTCAGAAATAATGCCACATATCTACAACCATCTGATCTTTGGCAAACCTGACAAAAACAAGAAATGGGGAAAGGATTCCCTATTTAATAAATGGTGCTGGGAAAACTGGCTAGCCATATGTAGAAAGCTGAACCTGGATCCCTTCCTTATACCTTATACAAAAATTAATTCAAGATGGATTAAAGACTTAAATCTTAGACCTAAAACCATAAAAACCCTAGAAGAAAACCTAGTCAATACCATTCAGGATATAGGCATGGGCAAGGATTTCATGTCTAAAACACCAAAAGCAATGGCAACAAAAGCCAAAATTGACAAATGGGATCTAATTAAACTAGAGCTTCTGCACAGCAAAAGAAACTACCATCAGAGTGAACAGGCAACCTACAGAATGGGAGAAAATTTTTGCAATCTACTCATCTGACAAAGGGCTAATATCCAGAATCTACAATGAACTCAAACAAATTTACAAGAAAAAAACAAACAACCCCATCAAAAAGTGGGCAAAGGATATGAACAGACACTTCTCAAAAGAAGACATTTATGCAGCCAACAGACACATGAAAAAATGCTCATCATCACTGGCCATCAGAGAAATGCAAATCAAAACCACAATGAGATACCATCTCACACCAGTTAGAATGGCGATCATTAAAAAGTCAGGAAACAACAGGTGCTGGAGAGGATGTGGAGAAATAGGAACACTTTTACACTGTTGTTGGGACTGTAAACTAGTTCAACCATTGTGGAAGTCAGTGTGGCGATTCCTCAGGGATCTAGAACTAGAAATACCATTCAACCTAGCCATCCCATTACTGGGTATATACCCAAAGGATTATAAATCATGCTGGTATAATGACACATGCACACGTATGTTTATTGCGGCACTATTCACAACAGCAAAGACTTGGAACCAACCCAAATGTCCAACAATGATAGACTAGATTAAGCAAATGTGGCACATATACACCATGGAACACTATGCAGCCATAAAAAAGGATGAGTTCATGTTCTTTGTAGGGACATGGATGAAGCTGGAAACCATCATTCTCAGCAAACTATTGCAAGGACAAAAAACCAAACACTGCATCTTCTCACTCATAGGTGGCAACTGAACAATGAGAACACTTGTACACAGGAAAGGGAACATCACACACCGGGGCCTGTCGTGGGGTGGGAGGAGTGGGGAGGGATAGCATTAGGAGATAAACCTAATTTAAATGACGAGTTAATGGGTGCAGCACACCGACATGTCACGTGTATACATATGTGACAAACCTGCACGTTGTGCACATGTACCCTAGAACTTAAAGTATAATAATAAAAAAAAAAAGAATTTGTGGCAGAAATTGCCAGTTAACTTCCAATATTCATTTTCCCATTCTTCCATAATAGATTTTTGGCCACCAAGAAAAAATGCAACATTTCACAGTCTTTCTTATAGGAAAGTGTAGCCATATGACACCTCAGCAAGCAGTATTTTCCGGACAATGGGATGTGAGCAGCAGTAATGTACATCTCCTCCCTCCCCCTCCTATTTTAACCCAGGCAGCCTACCTGTAGGGGGCAGGAAGGAATGGCAGGGGGTACTAAGTTCTTAACCATAGTGATTTATGTGTTATATGGCCATTTGATCCAGCTTGCTCTTCTACCATCCCTAGGTGGTTGCCCTCATATCATCATGGTTCAAAATGATCGCTGCCCTCTCTCCAAAATGATTCCTGGAAGGGAATAGATGGCAAGGCAGTCAATGGCTTCAGATCCCTAACTCTGAACACTATATTCTACTGCCCTCTAGTGGAATGTTCCAGTACTTGACACAATCGTTGCATAACTACATTGGCAAGAATGAAAGCTGTATGTGAAAAGAGCCACCAAGGCATGGATCGGTGTGTGAAAAGAACAATATTGGGACATGCAAAAGGGTATCTGCAGAGCCTGGAAGAGAAGTCCCAATCATCCCCTCCAGCACCTGGCTCAGGACTCTTGCCAATTCTTTGGTGAAAAGAACTGAAAGTCGGTATCAGAACTGAATACAGAAAACCCACGGTTGCTTGCCTAAATTTCTTCTCTGCCATTTGCATTGTAAACATATTGATTGAGCATCCACCAAGTGCCAGGCACAGCTCTGTCTCTATGATTGGGACAAACAAGGTCCCTTCTCTCAAAGGTGTACATTCTAAGGGGAGAGGAGGGTAAGTGTGGGCAAAGGAAAAGACAATAACAAGAAATGAATCAACACGAGGTTGGGCGCGGTGGCTCACACCTGTAATCCCAGCACTTTGGCAGGCAGAGGCGGGCAGATCACTTGAAGCCAGGAACTCAAGGCCAGCCTGGCCAACATGGCAAAACCCCGTCTCTATTAAAAATACAAAAATTAGCCAGGCTTGGTGGCATGCACTGTAATCACGGCTACAGCAAGAGGCTGAGGCAGGAGAATCACTTGAACCCAGGAGGTGGAGGCTGTAGTGGCCGAGATCGAGCCACTGCATTCCAGCCTGAGTGATAAAGTGAGACTCTATCTCAAAAAAGAAAAAAAATCAACACGAGTGGTGTCAGATAAAGGTAAACGCGGGCCAGATTGTGGAGATTTTTAAATGCATTAGGGAGTTTTAACATAGAGATAACATGCTTGGATTCAGGTTTCTAAAACACCATTCTGGCTTCTAGGTGGAAGATGGATTGTACAAGACAGGGATGGAGGAGGGAGACCAGCTGGAAGATGACTGTACGGGTCCGGAGGAGCGGTGATGGTAGCTTGAATTAGAAAGGAAGCAGCAGAGAATGAGGAGTGAAAAGACTGGTTTCCATTGTGAAAGTAAAGCCAACAGGCCTTAGTCTGTTCAGGCTGCTACCATAAAAATACAATATACGGGTGGCCTATAAAAGTCAGAAATGGATTTCTTACAGTTCTGGAAGCTGGAAATCTGAGATAGGTGCCAGCTTGGTCAGGCTCTGGTATGAGCCTTTTTCCAGGTTGAAGACTATTGTCTTCTCATTGTCTCCTCACATGGCAGACAGAAGGCTGGAGAGCTATTTGTGGCTCTCATGCAAGGGCACGAATCCTATTCTTAAAGTCTCTACTCTTAAGATCTAATTACCTTCCAAAAGCCCCACCTTCTAATACTGTCCTATTGAGAGTTAGGATTTCAACATAAGAATTTGTGGGGGACGCAAACATTCAATCCATTGCCGGGGAGTTGAGGGAAAGGAAAAAATCCAGGAGTTATATATAGTTCTCATTTCAGACCAGGAGTTCCATCATTCTCAAAATATCCTCTTTTTTTGCTTAAAAAAAATCCCAATTGGCCGGGCGCGGTGGCTCACGCCTGTAATCCCAGCACTTTGGGAGGCCAAGGCGTGTGGATCATGAGGTCAAGAGATCGACACCATCCTGGCTAACACGGTGAAACCCTGTCTCTACTAAAAATACAAAAAATTAGCCGGGCGTGGTGGCTGGTGCCTGTAATCCCAGCTACTCGGGAGGCTGAGGCAGGAGAATGGCGTGAACCCGGAAGGCGGAGCTTGCAGTGAGCAGAGATGGCGCCACTGCACTCCAGCCTGGGGGACAGAGAGAGACTCCATCTCAAAAAATAAATAAAAGTAAAATAAAATCCCAATTTAAGGAACTGTCTAGATGACTGGTCTGGATGGATCCCACCTAACGCTGAAATGATTCTTGATTCAGGAACCAGGTAAGAAGCCCTCTTCTAGGAAACATTGCAGCTGTGCAAACAGCTCATTGAGCTTATTCGGTCCCTAGCCTGGAACAGAGTAAGATAAGCCAGCTCCCAGTGGCCCAGCATCCTCCAGGCATGCAGGGTCTGTCAGTCCACATCCCAAAAGCCCAAAAGAGAGTTTTAACATAGAGATAAAGCCCAAGAGGCTTTAGAGACACCTTGGAATAAACCCTCTACAGGGGATAAGGATATCCCCTCTTCCCAGCCCCAGTCAACAGCTCAGTATTTTGTCATAGGAACACTTGCTAAAGGAAAAACCCCTCCAGCCTCCAGGTTCTTAATCCATACCTGAGGGCAAAGAAGGGTGCAGGTGAAACAACTGACCTGCGGCTAAAATTGGGACAGCCTTTAACCCATCAGGCAAGCCCTAGAGTCAAAAGTTTTTAAAAACATTAAAGCTGAAGGGGCAACTTCAAATACCTCCTTTATTAGATAAACAAAAGTAGTTTTTCCAACTACTTAGAAATGTAATGTCTCAAATTCTACTCTTTTCATCATTCAGGGGTATGTCATGGGTTGAATTGTGGCCCCAAAAAAGATATAGTGAAGTCCTCAGAATGTGACCATGTTTGGAAATAGGCTTGTTAGAGATGTGATTAGTCAGGATAAGGTCCTACTGGAGCAGAGTGGGCCCCTAACCCAATATGACTGGTGTCCATACAAGAAGACACAGACACACAGGAAGAACACCATATGGAGATGGAACACTGCAGAGACGCATCCACAAGCCAAGGAATGCCTGGGGCTACTAGAAGCAAAGAGAGAGGCATGGATCAGATTCTCCCCCAGAAGGAACCCACCCTGCTCTGATCTATGTTGATAAGGAGAATGGAGAACCAGGTATCCATGCAGCTCCTAAAGATAGGCTGAAGCTGGGATCTGGACCTTCAATCAAAGCCTTAGAGGGGAGATCTCAAGTTTCAGCACCACGTGTTGGCAAAATGTCCAATGCTTTACCAGCCTTACCTAAAGCTACCAGAAAGTCTTTTGGAACTGTCAACAGGGCTACAGAAACGTGAGTAAAGATCAACGGACTCCTCAAACTAAAACACCCAAATTTCTCTGCCGAAAAGATGACCAGGAAGACTGTTAAAGCAAAAAGCTCTGTTCCTTCCTCAGATAATGCCTACCCAGAAATAGAAAAATTATTTCACTTCAATCTTCTAGATTTTGAGAGTTTTAACCAACCTGAAGTGCACCAGATTGCAGGCCTCCCCTTGAGTGGAGTGCCTCTTATGATCCTTGATAAGGAGAGAGAGCTTGAAAAGCTGTTTCAGCTGGGCCCGCCTTCGCCTGTGAAGATGCCCTCTCCGCCATGGGAACCCAATCTGTTGCAGTGTCCTTCAACCCTTCTGTTGACCCTGGATGTTGAATTGCCACCTGTTTACTATGACATAAATATTTAAATTTCTTCATGCTTTAGGGTTTGTGTGTATTTGTACTAATAAAGCATTCTTTAACAGGAAAAAAAAAACTCACCCTGCTAACACCTTAATTTTGAACTTCCAGCCTCCAGAACTGTGAGACAATAAATTTCTGTTGTTTTTAAATCACGCAGTTTGGTGGACCATGTTACAGCAGCCCTAAGAAACTAATATAAAGTCAACTGAGTGGAGAAGCTGAGCACTGACACACAGTGGCAGGTCCCTCGTAAAATCTGCTCTCCTTGTCAGGAACCCGGGCACATCTAGGACAGAAAACTGGGGAAACCTAGGGTTCAATGCTAGCATACTCTTGTGTTTACTCCAGAAATGTTATTAACTTCTCTAGGCCCTTCTTCTAGGAAAACAAAGGGAAAAGGGGATCAAGCCATCAACTCAAAATCCTACAGAGACATTTATGTCAGTTTCATTGATGATTTGGGAACATAAACATTAGTTTTGAGGTGTTTAGGGGTTTTTTAACTAATTTATATGGGTCTTTTTTGTTTTTCGTGTTTTTGCTTTTTGGGGTTTTGTTTTGTTTTTTTTTGGGGGGTGTGTGTGTGTGTGGTTTTTTTTTATTGTTGTTGTTTTGTTTGTTTTTTGTTTTATTTTGTTTTTGAGACAGGGTCTCATTCTGTTGCTCAGGCTGGAGGGTAGAGGTGTGATCACAGCTCACTGCCACCTCTGCCTCCCAGGTTCAAGCAGTCCTCCTACCTCAGCCTCGCGAATAGCTGAAACCACAAACGTGCATCACCATGCCTGGCTAATTTTTTGTATTTCTTGTGATAGAGATGGGGTTTCACTAGGATGCCCAGGCTCGTCTCAAACTCCTGAGCTAAAGCAATCCACCTGCCTTGGTCTCCCAAAGTGCTGGAATTACAGGCATGAGCCACCGCACCCTACCTTATTTTTAATTTTTGTGGGTATACAGTAGGTGTATATATTTATGGGATACATGAGATGCTTTGATACAGACATGCGATGTGAAATAATCACATCATGGAGAATGGGGTCTCCATCCCTTCAAGCATTTATCCTTTGTGTTACAAACAATCCAATTACATTATTTTAGTTATTTTTAAACATACAATCAAGTTATTATTGACTATAGTCACCCTATTGTGCTATAAAATAGTAGGTCTTATTCATTCTTTCTAATTTTTTTGTACCCATTAACCATCCCCATTGTATTAGTTGTTTTCATACCACTGATAAAGACATATCCAAGACTGGGCAATTTACAAAAGAAAGGGGTTTAATGGACTTACAGTTCCATGTGGCTAAGGAGGCCTCACAATCATGGCAGAAGGCAAAAGGCACTTCTTACATGGTGGCAACGAGGCAGAATGAGAGCCAAGCAAAACGGGTCTCCCCTTATCAAACCATCAGATCTTATGAGACTTACTGTCTACCAGGAGAACGGATGGAAGAAACTGCCCCCGTGATTCAATTATCTCCCACCAGATCCCTCCCACAACACATAGAAATTATGAGAGTACAATTCAAGATGAGATTTGGGTGGGGACAGAGCCAAACCATAACACCCGTCTCCCCCACAGCCCCCCAGTGTTTGGGTTTACTATCATAAATTAGGAGATAAATCTATGATTAACCTTAAAGATAATTCATTTTATGTCTTATGTATATTAGACTTTGGGGGCTGTGGTAGGCAGCTTCTAAGGTGCCCCAATGATCCCCACCTCCTGGTATTGGAACCCTTATGTAATCCCTCCCTCTTAAGTGTGGATTGCATTTACTGCCTTGCTTCTAACAAATAGAAAACAGCAAAAGTGACAAGCTGTTACTCCTGAGATTCCATTATAAAAGGACTGTAGCTTCCATCTTGAGAGTCAGAGTCCCTCTTTCTCATGGCTCACTCCAGAGGAAGCCAGCTGCCATGCTGTGAGGTAGCCATGCAGAGAGGCCCACACAGTGAGGGACTGAAACCTGACAATGACCACATGAAGTTGTATCATCTGCCCCAAAAGAGCTTTAGATAAAACCCTGGGTCTAGCCACCAGCTTGACTGCCAGCTCACAAACGACCCTGGGCCAGAGACCTCCAGATAAGCCAGGTTCAGAATCCTGACACACAGAAACTGTGAGCTAGTACAAAGGTGCTGTTTTAAATCACTAAGCCAGGGCTGGTGGAGGGAGTCATTTGCCACACAGTACTAACGAATAGACAGATGTCATATGGGAATCTGAGTTTTTGTGGCAGGGTCGGAAATGGGTATTCTGAAGACTGGAGTTTGTATTTTCCTCTAATGACATGGAAATTAAGAGAACAGCCTGAGGGTCAGGGTCAATTTCAGCACAAGGGATGAAGCACACACTTTGGGTCTGTGTGCTTCATGGCAAACCTCCACCCCCAGGCTCTCCCGGTGCCTGCTTCCTCCCATATCCACACTCTTTCTTTTTTTTCTTTTTTAACCGAACAAATGTAGGTTTGTTATATAGGTAAAATTGTGTCATGAGGGTGTGTTGTACAGATTATTTCATCACCCAGGTACTAAGCCTAGTGCCCAATAGCTACTTTTTTTCTGCTCCTCTCCCTCCTCCCATCCTCCACCCTCCAATAGGCCCCAGTGTGTATTGTTCCCCTCCATGTGTCCATGTGTTCTCATCATTTAGCTCCCACCTACAAATGAGAACATGTATATTTGGCTTCCTGTTCCTGTGTTACTTTGCTAAAGATAATGGCCTCCAGCTCTATCCGTGTTCCTACAAAGGACATGCTCTCATTCTTCTTTTATGGCTGCACAATATTCCATGGTGTATATGTACCACTTTTTCTTTACCCAGTCCGTCACTAATGGGCATTTACATTGATTCCATGTCTTTGCTATTGTGAACAATGCTGCAGTGAACACACATATGCATGTGTCTTTATGGTAGAATAATTTCTGTTCCTCTGGGTATTCGCCCAGCAATGGGATTGCTGGGACAAATGAGAAAACAATCCTCATCCACATTCTTTCTCTACTTCCACCTTTACAAAATTGAGCGAGGTCAATCTAGCTTTCCAAATCCACTTGTAGTGGACTGAAAGGCAGTTCCCAAAAAGATACATCTTCATCCTAAACTCCAACACCTGGGAATATAACTGCAAATGATAAAAGATGTGATTAAGTTAAGGGTTTTGAAATATATGAAAAAATCCTCAACATCAGTAATCATCAGGGAACTGCAAATCAAAACCACAAAGCGATACCATCTTACTCCTGCAAGAATGGTCATAATCAAAAAAATCAAAAAATAATAGATGTTGGTGTGGATGCAGTGAACAGGCAACACTTCTCCACTGCTGGTGGGAATACAAACTAGTACAGCCGCTATGGAAAACAGTGTGGAAATTCCTTAAAGAACTAAAAGTAGAACTACCATTTGATCCAGCAATCCCACTACTGGGTACCCAGAGGAAAAGAAGTCGTTACACAAAAAAGATACCTGCACACCCATGTTCACAGCAGCACAATTCACAATTGCAAAAGTGTGGAACCAACCTAAATGCCCATCAATCAACGAGTGGATAAAGAAACTGTGGTACATATATACAATGGAATACTACTCAGCCATAAAAAGGAATGAATTAATGGCATTCACAGCAACCAGGATGGAACTGGAGACTATTATTCTAAGTGAAGGAACTCTGGAATGGAAAACCAAAATCACATGTTCTCACTCATAAGTGGGAGCTAAGCTATGAGAATGCAAAGGCATAAGAATGACACAATGGACTTTGGGGACTCAGATGGAAAAAGTGGGAAGGAGGTGAGGGATAAAAGACCATAAATAGAGGTCAGTATACACTGCTCGGATGATGAGTGCACCAAAATCTCCCAAATCACCACTACAGAACTTATTCATGTCATGAAATACCACCTGTTCCCCAAAAACCTACGGAAATAAAAGTTTTAAAAATAAAATTAATTAATTAATTTTGTAAAAAACGTTAAGGGTTTTGAAGGGAGGAGCTCATCCTGGTTACCTGAGAGGGCTCTAAGTCCAGTGGAAAAATGTCCTATGACCGTGAGGCAGTGGGAGATTCCACCCACAGCAGAGTAGACAGTGTGACCACAGAGGCAGAGATCGGAGAGCGCAGAGAGTGCGTCCAGAGGTCAAGGAAAGCCCAGAGCCACCAGAAGCTAGCAGAAAACCAGAACTGATTCTGCCCAAGAAAACCTATAAAAGAAGTTGCAGCCCTGCCAACCCCTGCCCCCCTCCCAGCCCGTTGTAACCCTAACCCTAACCCTAATCCTAACCCTAACCCTAACACTAACCCTATCCCTTCATCAGGGACCAAGCAGGGCTCAGGAATGTCCACCGTACTATACCTTGGTGTTCAGGAATGTTACGTGATCGCTCCTGTTTTTTTCCCAGCCACAAGGGCAGAGCTACCCAAGGCCATGGGAACCCACCTCTCACATCAGTGTGGCCTGAATGTGAGACATGAAATCAAAGGACATCATTTTGGAGCTTTAAGATTTGACTTCCCCGCTGGATTTTGGTCTTGCATGGGGCCTGTAGCCCCTTTGTTCTGGCCAGTTCCCCCCATTTGGAATGGGTGTATATACCCAATTCCGGTACCCCCACTGTTATCTAGGAAATAACTAACTTGCTTTTGATTTTACAGGCTCATAGGCAGAAGGGACTTGCCTTGTCTCAGATGAGACTTTGGACTATGGACTTTTGAGTTAATGTTGGAATGAGTTAAGACTTTGGGGGACTGTTGGGAAGGGATGATTGGTTTTGAAATGTGAGGACATGAAATTTGGGAGGGGCCAGGAGTGGAATGATACGGTTTTGCTCTATCCCCACCCAAATCTTGAATTGTAGCTCCCATAATTCCCACGTGTCATGGGAGAGACCCAGTAGGGGGTAACTGAATCATGGGGGTGGGCATTTCCCATGATAGTGATTTCATGATAGTGAATAAGTCTCACAAGATCTGATGGTTTTATAAAGGGGAGTTCCCCTGCACACACCCTCTCTTGCCTGCCACCACGTAAGATGTGACTTTGTTTCTCCTTCATCTTCCACCATGATTGTGAGGCCTCCCCAGCCATGTGGAACTGCGAGTCCATTAAACCTCCTTTCCTTTATAAAGTACTCAGTCTTGGGTATCTGTATTGTCAGCATGAGAACAGACTAATACACTGTCCCCTCAATGGGACCTCACCCAAGAGGCTACCTGCGAGCAGAAGGCAACCCCAGCAGAAAGAGGCTTTTTTGGTAGTACTGGGCAGAGTGTGAGAGATCAGCTGGGCATCACTCACATCAAGAATGGTGTGGGGGCCGGGCACGGTGGCTCACGCCTGTAATCCCAGCACTTTGGAAGTCTGAGGTGGGCAGATCACCTGAGGTCGGGAGTTCAAGACCAGCCTGGCCAACATGGTGAAACCCCATCTCTACTAAATTGCAAAAATTAGCCACGTGTGGTGGTGCACACCCATAATCCCAGCTTCTAGGGAGGCCTAGGCAGGAGAATTGCTTGAACCCAGAAGGCAGAAGTTGCAGTGAGCCAAAACTGCACCACTGCACTCCAGCCTGGGTGACAGAGTGAGACTCCATCTCAAAACAAAAAAAACAATGGTATGGGCAGAGTTCCTGGAGGGGGAAGCCCAGCAGTACACCCCACATGGATGACAAGAGCACAACTGAGGAGCCCTCTCCTCTTCCTTTCCTCCCTCCTCCCTTCCCAGACCCTGAAGGAGCTGAAGCAGCTGCTAGGAGTGGGAGGGGAGGTGAATCCGAGAGAGTGAGGACATTGGCCATACACCCGCTGCCCATCCCCCCAACCTTCCCCACTGCGGAAAGCCAGGCCTGGTCAGCTTGAATAGGAGAAGCTTTATATTGGATGGAAGATAAATATTTTTATTTATATAGGACTGGGTTTATTTTCTTAACCTGACAAAAGCAGTTTCCTTTTTGCCCAACATTTTATAAGAATTTTCAAACATATAGAAAAGTTGAAAGAATAGTATAATAAATACCTATATATTCACCACCTAGATTCAAAACTTGTTAACATTGTGTGTATGTGTGTATACATGGTCTTGCTAAATCACTTGAAAGCAAGCTTCAGACACCATGACTCTTCATTCTTAAATCCTTCAATGTACATCTCCTAAAAGAATCAGACTTTTAATGTCTAAAATTGAAATTGATCTAATACCTGAAAAAAATGGGTAAACTATACTTAGCTGAAACATTTTCAAGGAGGGGTGCTATGGTTTGAATGTCCCCTCCAAAACTCATGTTGAAATTTAATTGCTATTGTGATGGTATTAATAGCTGGGGGCCCGGCACAGTGGCTCACACCTGTAATCCCTGCACTTTGGGAGGCCAAGGCGGGTGGATCACCTGAGGTCAGGAGTTCAAGACAAGCCTGGCCAACATGGTGAAACCCCATCTCTACTAAAAATACAACAATTAGCTGAGTCTGGTGGCATGCGCCTGTAATCCCAGCTACTTGAGAGGCTGAGGCAGGAGAATCGCTTGAACCTGGGAGGTGGAGGTTGCAGTGAGCCAAGATCGTGCCACTGCACTCCAGCCTGGGAGATGACAGTGAAACTCCGTCTGGAAAAAAAAAAAAAAAAAACAGGTGGGAACTTGAAGATATGATTAGGTCATGAGGGCTCTGCCCTCATCAGTGGGTTAATGCTGTTATCAGAGGAGTGGGTTAGTTATCCCGGAAGCAGGCTCCTGGTAAAAGGATAAGTTCAACCCCCAGTTCTGTCTGTGTCTCACACTCTCTCACCCTCTCTCACCATGTGATGCCTGCCACTATGTTATGATGCAGCACTAAGGCCATCACTAGATGCAGTACCATGCTCTTGGACTTCCCACCCTCCAGAACCATGAGCCAAATGAATCTCTTTTTTTATTTTTTTTAAATTACCCAGTCTGTGGTATTCTGTTATAGGCAACAGAAAATGGACAAAGACAATGTGGGGAGAGAGAAGCAACAGAGCAAGTGCAAGGATGGAGGCAGAAGAAAAATAAAAACTATACCCTACTTTGCACTCTACAAAATCCAGCCCATAAAATGACCCAGTTTCACAGAGATAAGACAATTTCAGATCATGACAGGTGCTATGAAGAAAATCAAACAAGACAGAGGTGATAAGAGTATGGCTAGAAGGTAAGGCAACATTGGAGTGGCTGGTAAGAAATGAAATCCCCAGAAAAAGAAGGTGACATTTGAGATGAGACCTTGATGACAAGGATGACCTGGCAATGTAAGACAATCAGGAGAACAGCATTCAAGTCAGGGTAACCAATGAGGCCAAAGGCCTGGAGGCAAAAGGAGCATGGAGTAATATCTTGGTGAGGGAGAGGTGGCAGAAAGTACTGAGGCAGGAGAGGTGATCACAGACCAGATCCTGTTGGTCAAAAAGAGGAGTGTGGGGAGAATTTTAAGCAGGAGCGTGACTGATCTAACCTAGTTTTCTAGATGTTATGGCTGCTTAGTAGAAAAAGACTTGTTGGGAAGGGCCAAAGTGAAGCCAGGAGACCATCAAGGAGGCAGTTTGCAATCCTCCAGGTGAGAAAGTATGGTGGCTTGGACCAGGGTGGTAGCAGTGAGGTAAGCAGTATTGCTCTCCCCACTTTACAGATGAGGAAGCAGAGGCCCAGAGAAGCTAAGTGACTTGATGAAGCTCATGCAGCCCTTAGGTAGCAAGATGCTTAAAATGGTAAATTTTGTGTTATGAATATTGTATTACTTTTTATTGTAATGAAATATATACAACACAAAATTTACCATTTTAACAATTTTTAAGGGTACAATAAGTGGCATTAAGTATATTCACGATGTTGTGTGACCATGACTATTATCCATTTCCAGAAATTTTTCATTATCTCGAATAGAAACTCAGTACCCATTAAACCATAACTCCCCTTTTCCCCCTCTGTGAGCCCCTGGTAACTTCTGTTCTACTTTGTGTCTCTGAATCTACCTGTTCTATATACCTCCTATAAATGGAATCATAAAATATTTGTCCTTCTGTGCCAACTTATTTTCACTTAATGTTTTTGAGACTCATCCAGTTGTCATCGTTTCCTTCCATTTTAAGACTGAATAATATTCCATTGTATGTTATACCACATTATGCTTATCCATTCATCTGTTGATGGAGGGCCGGGACTTTTACCAAGATGTCTGATTCCAACGCTATTCTGGTTGGCTCTGTTGAGCCCTGTGCAGTACCCGCTATAGCCACCAGAGGGAGCAGAGGGAACACCAGGCGGGCGCACTGCAGGCACCGGGCGGTTTCTGGGAAGAAGAGGAACAGATGCAGCCTTTTGCACACAAAATCTTACACGCAGAAACCATGCAAATAGAGGGAAGCTGGCCGCCAGGAAAGCACCCAGACTATAGAATCGGCCACAAGTGGAAGAAAGGAGAAGGAAGGGTTAGGGCTGGAAGGAGCTGCCCCTGTGATCCTGGTCCAACCCCTAAAATGGAAACAGAGGCCTCTGGCCACCCACAGTTTCCCTGACAGCTGTCCTCAGCGTGAACAACCTCCGTGCTGAAGAGCTCAGGAGGGAGGCGGAGGGGGGCCGGTCCAGTAAGGCTCGGGTTCCCATTTCTGCCCTTCTCCAGCAGCGGCGTGACCTCCAACCTGTGGCTTGCACATTTTACGGATGAGGAAACTGGGACTTGGAGCTGTTGATTGTCCAGAGCAAGTGGAAGAGGCAAGATCTGAATGCCACCACGTGCCTTGTGATTCTCTTCTCCAAGCTCAGCGCCCTGGTTTCTTCAGCCGCATCTCATGATATGTGGTCTTTAGGACTCTTCCCCACCTCATCTGGTTGGCCAGCCTCCCTACAGGCGAAACGTACAAGGGTCTGTGGCTCTTGAGGCTGGTCTGACCACCGTGGCCTCCCTCTTCTGAGCACCCAGCCTCTAATAATGCTACCCAAGTTTGCCCTGGCTGGTTTTGGCAGCCACCTCATGTTGACTGAATTTCTGTCAGTTTCAATCCCTCGGCTTTTCTCACATGTGCTGTTGCTAAGCCATTTCTCCCCCACTGCATCCTTGTGCAGCTGGGTCTTTGGATGCGAGTCCAGGAACTGACATTTATCCCTGTCAAATTCATCTTGTTCATTCATCTGACAAACATTTGTTCAGTGCCCACGCCATACCAGGCACCAGGAATACAGGAACGAAAGACAAGGCTCCTGGCCTAAGGAGCTCACATTGGTATTCATCACAGCCGTAGCCACTAGTGAGTGAGGGGCTACTGTGTGCCAGGCATACAGCCTCTGCTGGGTGCTCTATGTAGGCTGTCTTCTTAACCCTTACAGCACTGCAGTGTCGGTGGCATTGTCCCCATTTTGCAGATGGGAAAACCAGGGCTCAAAAACTTTATGAGACTTGTCTGAAATTACATTGCCAGAAGGAAGCAGGCCCAGTATTCAACCTTCCAACTGCTTTGGATCTTGATTCTGTTCTCCTACTTAGACACCTTGTATCCCAGCTTTGGGTTCTCTGAAAACCTGATAAACTTTACTTCTCTGAATTTCATCAACAGCACTGATGAAGCTAAGATGAGATCAGAGCTCTGGGGTGGGCCACCAGTGCCCCCCTGCCCAAGATAAACAGCCATCTATGATTCTGAACACTGTTGGGTTGGCAGATACGAATGCACGCAACAGTGAACTCCTGCCCTCACCCCCAGCACCAGGTTCCCTCCCCTGACAAGCAGCTATGTATACGGTTGCTGTCATTTTTATCATCAGACTGGTCCCTGCTGCCGAGTCCTCTACATGCAGGAGCTCAGCTGTGACTGGCCCTTGCCTTCATCATGATAAAGTTTCATCTGCCAATCCCCCTCCCGAGGAGGGACATGCAAGTCCAAGGACAAGGTTGGTGGGGGAGGGGAGCAGTTGAGGGGATTTCACAGGCTCTGAGTATCTTCCCTTGCATCTGTGACTTCTGTCCCATGCCGTCTGCTCCTGGAAGCTCAGCCCATCTTTATCATTAAGCTCTTCTGCCATGCTGAGGGAGACCAACTGCAGAGCAGGCCTGTGCAAGGGCTGTGGGCAGGAAATAAGGCAGGCAGAATACATGCACTACTTGGGGGTAGGTATAAAATGGGCTCCGAGCTCCCAGCCAGGACCCAGGGGACACCATGCTTCATGACAGAATTTGGGGTTACCACCTCACAGGACGACGTGCACTCCCCTCCTCACACCCCTATGAGCTTGCAACAGTTATCATTCTGCCCATTTTTGCAGGCGAGAAAACAGGCCCAGCAAGTGTGGTCTGGGACAGAGCACTACCTCTGCTAAGAATGTTTCCTGAAAACAGATCTGGGATTTCCAGGGCCCCAAAGGACAGCAGAAAGCAGGGCCCTGCCATGGACACACCAGTGGAGATAAAAGGACTACCGATGATGGCGGTGACTCCAGAGTTTTAAAGACCCTTTGGACATTGTTGAAAACCTCTAGTCTAGCTTTTTGTGCCTGAAGAGCATCTGGGGAATATAAACTCACAAACTCCTGCCAAGGGTTCAGAGAGCAGCCAATACATCCTTCAGGAAGGCCCTGCCTTTGTGGCCTTATAGTTGAGTGGGGAGAAGGCAGATAGATAATAAGCAAGTGTATCATTTCAGACAGTGATGAGTGCTATAAAGAGTGTACGGTTGGTATAGAGAAAGCTGCTCTAGCTAGCATGGTCCAGGAAAGCCTCTCGGAGGAGGTGTGATTTGAGGAGCCAAGAAAGACCCAGCCTTGGAAACAATGAGAAAAGAGATGCTGAGTGGGAACGAGGCTCTCCACCCAAAGCATGGATGGCATAACAGGGAGGAGACCTCACAGCTCAGATAGGAGATCCCAATTGGGAAGTGGTGGTAAGGTGTCCCAGGGAGCCTGACACCTGTCCCCTCCATTCTTCCTTCATTCTCCAAAGCAATGCTCTGAGTCTTCTCCATTTCCTCCCATCTTCAAAATCCATTTCTGCACAAGGCCTAGCCCAGAGCAGGTGCTGGATGTTTGCTCGGTGAATAAACTCCTGAAGGCCAGCAAGGAGGAACTGTGAGGACGAATCAGAGGAGATCCTACCTTCGTCTGCAAGGAATCACTTGAGGGAGTTGACCCCTTTAGGGGGTTCAAGCAGAAAAGACAAAGGGATTCCAGAAGGTGGGAGGAGGGGTCGCCTACACAATTGGAAAATTTCACACAAAAGTCCAGATTTCAAGCTATTTTTAAAATATCTGAAGATCTGGCAACTGAAGCCTGCATATCCCCATGGCAACACCAGCTGGTGCTGAGCGGGCCGCTGCCCCCTTCAGACTGGACATGCGCTCTGCAACTCCCCGTGGCCCCGCGCTCCCTTTCGCTGGCACTTGGCCCACCTCACTTGGCCACATCACCTGGCCCCGTGAGTTGAGTTGGCCAACCCTGGCTTAAGACATCGGATGAACAGAAAGCCGTGCTGGGACATGGGGACAGTGGCATGTGTCCCCTCCGCCTGCTGCTAAGGAGCGTCAGCCTGGGGTCCCGCCCTCCAGTTCTTAGGCAGGTGTCTGGTGTGAGGAAGCTCCGGGATCCACATAATCCGTTCCCTGCGCTGGGTTCTTTGCCAGGTGGCGCGAGGGCTCCAAAATGCAGCCACACCCTCCTGAGGAAACAGGTGCCGTTCCGGTGCACACCAGAAGGGGGCGACTCTCCCGACCGTGCCTTCAGAGCTGCCCATGAGGACATTTCCTAGCCTTGCCCTGGCAGCTGGAGCACAGCCCTCAGAGCGTCCTGTGTCCCTGCACTGTGCCACTTAGGGTGGCAGCTGAGACCCAGGCTGCCTGGCAACATGATGGGCTTGACCAGAATTAGTTGGGCCAGGGCTGCCTCCAAGGGCCCAGGGAGGGCCTCAAGAAGCCCACCCACATGGAAGGGCTTTCGGCCCGTGCCCCAGGAGCTGGAGAACACTCCTCCTGTTCTGGCCTCTCTTCCTCCTCCTCTTCTGGGAGTGTCGGGCCTTGCTGAGGCCTGTGCCCTCAGGGCTGACCCTGTAATTAAATACTGTGTGCCCAACACTGGGCTCAGGCTTTATACACTTTTATTTAAAACCCCAACAATCCCATAGGTAGGTTTTATTCCCCGTTTTGCAGTTACAAGTGATGAAACTGAGGCTTAGGCGGGCATCACTACGCAGCTAACAAGACGTAGAGTCGAGATTCAAATTCAGGCTTGTGCAGCTGGGCACGGTGGCTCATGCCTGTAATCCCAGCACTCTGGGAGGCCAAGGCAGGTGGATCACCTGAGGTCAGGAGTTCGAGACCAGCCTGACCAACATGGAGAAACCCCCGTCTCTACTAAAAATACAAAATTAGCTGGGCATGGTGGCGCATGCCTGTAATCCTAGCTACTCGGGAGGCTGAGGCAGGAGAATCACTGGAACCTGGGAGACGGAGGTTGTGGTGAGCGGAGATTGAGCCATTGCACTCCAGCCTGGGCAACAAGAGCAAGACTCCCCCTCAAAAAAAGAAAAAAATTCAGGCCTGCAGAATCCTCATTCCCTGAACTGCCTCACTCCCATAAAGGAAACTTTAGAATCAGCCTGTGAAGGGAGAGAGAGATTGGGGTTTGAGGGCAGAGGACATCCCATGGCAGGTCAAGCCTGAAACCACCATACAGAGGCCACCAAATCTGTTAGAACCACCCAAGCACAGGGGCTGAATCTGGAGTCCCTAATAAGTCACTGACGAAGCCACGGGCTGAGAGGCCCCCAGTCAGCCACCAGAGAGGAATAGCTCCTGGCCCTTGGGAATTTACGGAATGTCTCGCCATCCCTGCCAGGGACTGCAGTCTGGGGAGCAGGACAGGGGCCCACACGTGCTGCAGAACTGCCTGGAACCACCCTGGAGAGGGTGGTGAGTGGGCAGCCAGCAGGCAGCAGCCACAGCAGGAGCAGGGGCACAAATGGCCCCATGGAAGTTTCATGATGGGTGAGAGACCCAGAATCTGCCCAAAGTAAGGCTAGGCACCACTGAGTGTGACTCGGTGAGCCCCTGGAGCCTCACGGGTCACAAGCCTCAGGAGCTTCCCCACTCCCACCCCCAGGAGGACAGAGAAGCCCAGGGGATTATCGGCCCCTCTGAGACTATCGCAGAGATGTCCCAGCCCCTGAGACCAAGGCCACCACCCTGGATGGAAGAGAAATTCTGCCCAAGCTGCTTCATCCATTTTACCTCCCATTTCCCCCCAACACACCTTACACTCACATCCCTGGGTTGGCAGGTCCCTCTCCGGTTTTATCTTTTGATCCCCACCCTCCACATCCAAGTTCAGTGTAAAGGCCACCTTCTCCAGGCAGCCCACCCTGATCCCATTCCCCAAACCTGGTCATTATTACCCTCTCCTTTGACCCCTGGAATGTATGGACTTCTCCCATGACATTGAGGTCATCTCCTTCATGCTGTGATTGTTTCTGGGTGGCTGCCTCCTCTGAGGCTGGAGGGTAGGGCAGGCACCATAGCTCCTAGAACGGGGCCTCAGATATACAAGCCCATGGCGCACATTGGATGGAGGGAGGGATGGATGGATGAATGAACGGATGGACAGATGAATGGGCAGATGGACAGACAAATGAGTGAGCAGCTAGGAGGGTTGATGGCCCACAGAAAGTTCCATGAGGCCACCTGGAATTGTCCAGAATGCCCAGACTCACCTACTGCTTCTGAAGATAAGACTTGTCATAGCTCCTCCCCTGCCTGAGTGAATTTAAGACTTCAAAGAGTGTCCACTGTGTGGAGGTGCCAGGGAAGCGGGGAATCAGGCCAGTGCTGCTCCCCTCCCTGCACCTCAGTTTCCCATAGATAAGATGAGAATGTCGGACTAGATGATTTCATAGGCCCTTCCAGCTCAAAACACAGGTCCATGCCAGGACCCAGCAGAGAACAGGGGAGACTGAACCCAGGTCAGCTTAAAGGAGCCCCTGGAAGAGTTCAGAGAAAAGATGAAAAGAGAGAAGGTGGGAGGAGGAAGGGTGGGAGTGGGGAGAGAGGGAAGGAGAAAAAGAGAAAGAAAATCTATTTCCATATCCCAAATTAAAAATGCATCTAGCATGTAAGATTTCCCAAATTTATAGTGTCTTTAAAAAAAAAAAGTTAATTTGAACATATTGAATTTAGGATCACAGCATGTAAAAAGTGATAGATCCCCCAATAAGGTGGATTTGACTTGGGGAGGGACTGCCTGGGGCAGAGAATCCCAAAGGGAAGGATGAAGCGTGTGGGATGGGAGAGGAAGGGTGACGGAGGGAGAGGTAGGGTGACGGAGGGAGAGGTAGCGTGACGGAGGCAGGGCTCTTCTGGTCACTTTCTCTCCCACTTTAGCTGAAGCATCCCCCCACACCCACAGTCCCCACTTTAGCCAGAGCACCTCTATTGTCTGCTTTATACATTGATCTTATGAACCCAATATATTGTTTGAATAAAAGGTTTCTGGTGCTTTTTTTTAAAAAGCCACTTAACTAATGAAGAGAAACAAGAGGCACAGAGAGAGTGATTTGTCCAAGGTCATATAACAAGTGCATCACACAATTCCTGATATCACTAATCCAATCACATCCATTAGGGGTTGGGGGGCGCTGCCCGGATGCAGCTGCCCCTGGCTGGGCAGTTCAGATATGTATACTCTGGCTTAACTCCAGCAGCCTCAGCGGGGAGTCACCAGGCTCCTTTAAACAACATTCCACTAGGACAGGAACAGATGGATAACCCAAGCCAATTAGGAACCAGAAAATCTCCAAGAGGCCAAATGCCCAGAACAGGGGGAGCTCAGGGCGGCAGCCCAGCTCACTGCAAGCCTCACAGTCGAAAATCTTCCTAAAACAACCCCTTGGCTGCCTTGGAGCATAATTTAATCTTCCTTTGATGACTCCAGATCTCGCCCTGCCTCAGGCCACTCTGAGAACATCAATAACTGCTGGGCCCAGGTGGGAAGCCGAGGGGCAGGGCTGGACCCAGGTTGACCAGCTGACCCTGCCCTGCGGTAGGAGGGAAGCTCAGTCTGGACCCTGGGGGCTGGATACTGCCTTGGTGGAGAGGGGGGCCCAGGAGGAGAATGGAAAGCCCTCCCCAACCAAGAAGGGGAGCCCTAAAGGGGCCCCTCCCTAGCCCCTAGAGCAGGTGGGAAGGGGCAGCTCCCAGGGGTTTCTGGAGGTAGGAACAGAGAGGTAAAGGCAGGCAGGAGTGATGTTGAAGACCAGCCTAGGTGACTTTTTTTTTTTTTTTTTTGAGACGTAGTCTTGCTCTGTCACCGAGGCTGGAGTGCAGTGGCACGATCTTGGCTCACTGCAACCTCTGCCTCCTGGGTTCCAGTGATTCTCCTGCCTCAGCTTCCCAAGTAGCTGGGACTATAGGCGCGTGCCACATGCCTGGCTAATTTTTGTATTTTTAGTAGAGATGGGGTTTCACCATATTGGCCAGGCTGGTCTGGAACTCCTGACCTCGTGACCCACCCACCTTGGCCTCCCAGACTGCTGGGATTACAGGCTTGAGCCACCCCGCCCAGACCTCTAGGTGGCTCTTTAAGGGAGAGGCAATATATTAATAGTACAGTGCCCCCATAGGCTTCGTAGAGAATGTTGGTTCTAAGGGAGGGAATAGGCTTAGGGCCACCCTGCCCCTGCCCTGTGCTTCCTGGCTGGGGGATGGTGAGGAGGTCACTTAATCTCCCTTTGCCTCAGTTCCCTAATTATTAATGCTAGACTAGTCACAGGGCTGCCGTGAGGGTTAAAAGAGCCTAATGTTGGTGGCTAGAAGTTGAGGTCTTAGACTGAAGTCTCTGCTGAGGAAAAGACCAGAAGAACAGATAGGCTCTCAGGTGAGACTGGACATTTTGCTTTGTTTTGATTTGTTTTGTTTGGCTTGTCTGTATTTCCCATGTTTTATGCAGGAAACACACATTATTATATAATTAAAATAATATTCAGAGTGAAAATAAAACAGCAGGGACTACATTTGGTCCCCAGGGGGAAGCGGCTGATCAGGAGAGAAGCCTGTCCATTGAGGGTGGGATGGAAGGGGGCAGTTCACCTGTGTCAGAGACACAGACACGGAGGTCCTGGCTGCCCCAGGGGCCCAGGAGATGGCAGCCCTGCGTCCTCAGGGATAGATGAAAGTGACATTTTCTGTCTGGGTGTGCCCTAACACTTCCTGAGAGGCAAATCCCCTTCCCCTACTCGGGAGGTGCCAGGCAGGGGAGGTAGCACACAGGAGAATGCTGCCTGCTTACGGGCACCAGTGCCTTTCCCATTGGTTGTCCTCAGCATCAAGTCCTCTGAACATCAGTTGAGAGGGACCTTGAACCCTCAGAGGTCAGGCCAGATTCCTTCCCAGAATCTCCCCTCGGTGAGCCTGCCAGGGCTGCTCGCGTTGGGCGGATGTACAAAACGGAGGCACGTCTCAGACTTCCCATTTGGGCCCGTGGTGTCCAGCCAGCAGCCCTGCTAGGCTCAGCCACGCTGCCCCACCCCCAGCGGCCCTCGCTGAGGCAGCCCTTTGAGGAGAGCTGGGCTTGGTGGGTCCACAGCACTCTCCCTGCCAGTGACGTTAATCCGCAAAAGAAAGTCAAACATTAGCCCGGGAAACAGCTTATGCCTTATATAAGCCCCCCTGGGGGAGGCACAAACACAGCTTGTTAGAGCTGAGCTGCCCTACTACAGCAGCTGCCGGCCCCTAGGACAGAGCAGGGACCTCAACTACACTGATCACCAGCCCCATCGGATCCAGACCCGGCCACCAGGTGAGGAGGGATGGAGGGCCTCCCCAGCCCAGGCACCTAGGAATCCCAGGGATCTCCCAAGGCCAGGCTCCACTTGCGACTAGCCAAGCCCCTAGTGCCCTCTGAGACCTGCTTCGGGCTCTTACAGATACTCCAGCATGGTGGGCCCAGCCCCAGGGAAC
This sequence comes from Homo sapiens, assembly GCF_000001405.40. Lineage (NCBI taxonomy): Eukaryota > Metazoa > Chordata > Mammalia > Primates > Hominidae > Homo > Homo sapiens. Next base: position 63,015,567 of record NC_000011.10, on the reverse strand, counting down.
TGCCAGAAGCCAGGAGGCTCTGAGCTTGGGGAGGCCTTTCCCAGCAGACAACCTGAACTCTGCTAACCCTGTGTATCTGCCTGGAGCAACTGGGGACATTCACCACCCACCCTCTAATCTGTCCTTTGTAGCCAACATCCAAGGCTGGGCCCCTTGGTCCCTGCTACGTGTCCTGCACTGCTCCATGCATGCAGCATGTGCAACCAGCCTAGCTGAGCACACACATGCTCGTGTCCGCAGGTGCACACGCTCACAACACATACCCGAGCTCACGCAGCTGTGTCCTTATGCTGCAGCCTAAATGAGCACATACCCATAGATACCTTTGTGTCCACACACCTGGACACACACTTCCACCTTTGATCCCACAGCCCTCCGTGCAGCTGGGCTCTTCCTCAGACATCCACACAAGAATCTGCGGCTCCACATGCCTGAGCTTCCACATCTTTACACACTTACACATGCTCTGCTCCACACACCTGTGCTCGCATATCCACCTGGTTCACCCTCCCACATATCGTTCCATAGACCCACGCACTACCAGGCACAAATATACCTCTCCCTGGCCTATGCCCTGCCCACAGCTCTGGCTCGTCTTGCCCCAGTGCCATGACCTTCTCGGAGATCCTGGACCGTGTGGGAAGCATGGGCCATTTCCAGTTCCTGCATGTAGCCATACTGGGCCTCCCGATCCTCAACATGGCCAACCACAACCTGCTGCAGATCTTCACAGCCGCCACCCCTGTCCACCACTGTCGCCCGCCCCACAATGCCTCCACAGGGCCTTGGGTGCTCCCCATGGGCCCAAATGGGAAGCCTGAGAGGTGCCTCCGTTTTGTACATCCGCCCAATGCCAGCCTGCCCAATGACACCCAGAGGGCCATGGAGCCATGCCTGGATGGCTGGGTCTACAACAGCACCAAGGACTCCATTGTGACAGAGGTATGCCTGGGCAAACCCTCTCCCTCCACTTACCCACGTACCCCCATACCCTGCACCGCTGGTGGGCAGCAGAGGAGGCTGGGGTCTGGTGTTCCCAGGAACTGAGGACAGGTCACTGGGCAGGCAAAGAGGAAGGACCTGAGTGCAGAAGCTCATGCACCAAGACCCTTGGCTTCTTCCCACTCAGAGTCCAAGCAGTGCTTCAACAAACTGCTACTGAGGGCCTGTTCTGTGACGGGCACAGAGCTAAGCTCTGGGAATACAAAAATGCACCATGCCTGCTCCCAGGGGGTCTACAGCCCGGTGGAGATAGCACCCATTAAGGAAAACACCACACAAATAAGTGTAAAATTGCAACTTCAAAGTGACCTTGCACTATGACCGACCTCTGGGGTGGGTGTGAGAGTGAGGGCGTGGGGAATGGGTGTTGAAGGAATCCTCCCTACAGAAATGCCCCTGGAACTGAGATATAAACATCAGTCAAGGGCCAAACAGGCAGTGAGGGAAAGGAGGAAAAGTCCGTCTTGTGCAAAGACCCCAAGGTGGGAGGGCTGTGGAGGAGGGACCGCACAGAGGGGAGGCTTGAAACACTCCACAGCAGACCCAGAAAATGTCTCATCCACACACACACAGTCACTCATGGGTTCACCTCTCATTCCCACAGCCCTTCACTGATTCATTGACTCTCTCACCTGCCACCTCGGGGAAATCCAGAGTTAAATCAGACTCTTCAATGAACTGACAGGCCAGTCAGGAGCCTATGATAGGATGAAGATGAGAAATTGGGGATTGGCATGTATTGGGCGTCACTAACTGACAGGCACATTTGGGGGCTTTGTAGACACTGTCTTGTTTGATTCCAACGTGATGCTCCGTTGAAGGTGATTTCTATCTCCCCTTACAGAATTTTTAAAAATAAAAAACCTAAGACCCAGAGAAAGGAAATGATTGTCCAGTGCCACATGGCTGGTCAGTTTCAGAACTGGAATTTACAGCTAAAGCCCATAAGAAGTACAGGGAGACAAATGTTTACGGGGGTCCAAATGAGGGAGAAACTGTTGGATTCAAGGGAGGCTTCATGGAGGAGGTGGCGTCTGAGCAGTGAGCAGAGACCAGTGTTTTCATCCTCCCTTGGGTACCATGAACCCCTCAAGGGCAGGAGCCTGTTTTGCCTCATGAGAAGAGATGCGTTCGTTGCAAAGCCCTTACCTGGTGCCAAGCACTATACATCTGTGGGTTCCTGGAGGCCCAGGAGATGTAATCTCTTTAAGAGAAGTATTATCTCCAGTTCACAGATGAGGAAACTGAGGCTCAGCTTGATTCCATGACCTTCCCATGTTATACACGGCTAGAACCTGGCAGAGGCAGGATTTGAATTTAGGGCTATGTTCAGAGTCTGTGTGATTGTTATTCATTTGTTTAACAAATATTTTTATATAAAGTGCTTACTATGTGGTAGGCATTGTTCTAAGAGCTTCACAGATATTAACACTTTTAACCTTCCTGAACACACTGTAAGATAGTTTGTATTGTAATTCTCTCTCTCAGATGGGGAAACTGAAGCACAGAGAGGTTAAGTAGCTTGCTCGAGGTCACACAGCTAATAAGTGGCAGATTCAGGACCCAAACACACACACCTGCCCTCCACACCATGACATTTGCTGCTCTCATATACCTAGATTATATCTCCTCCCTGTCATGTTTGCTACTTTCTCCCCCCAGCACCAAGCATAATGCCTGAAACCCATCAAGTATCCATTTATTGACACCCAGTGCATAATACTGAGGACATAAAGTCGAAGAGCCGCTAGCCCTGCGTTCCCTCCAGGAGCACACCACCAGCGAGACGCAGACCCGCTCTCAAGGATCATGGGCAGTTTGGTGGAATACACACGTTTCCCAAGGCAGGGATTTTCTGCTGCTTTGTTTACTACTCTTATCTGCAGCAGCTAGAATAGTGCCTGGTACAGAGGAGGTGTTCTGTGGAATGAATGAATATGCGCTTTGTACACTCAGAGTGCTCTGAGGCCCAGGGGAGGGTTATCTAACCAGCCTGGAGTGAGGATTGAGGCGGGCTTGCTGGAGTCAGTAATGCCCACACTGGGCATGGAGAGGTAGGAGTTAGTGAGCAGCGCACTCCAGGCAAAAGGAAGGATGGTGGGGGAGAAGGGTCAAACGCAAAGACACAGAGGCAAGAAGAAAGGCCGGGCGCAGTAGCTCATGCCTGTAATCCCAGCACTTTGGGAGGTGAGAGTTAGTGAGCAGTGAACCCCAGGCAAAAGGAAGAGTGGCGGGGAAGGAGGGTCAAATGCAAAGGCACAGAAGCAAGAAGAAAGGCCGGGTGCAGTGGCTCACACCTGTAATCCCAGCTACTTTGGGAGGCCAAGGCAGGCAGATCACCTGAGGTCAGGAGTTTGAGACCAGCCTGGCCAATATGGTGAAACCCTGTCTCTACTAAAAACATAAAAATTAGCAAGGTGTGGTGGTGCACACCTGTAGTCCCAGCTACTCAAGTGGCTGAGACAGGAGAATTGCTTGAACCTAGGAGGCGGAGGTTGCAGTGAGCCAAGATCACACCACTGCACTCCAGCCTGGGCACAGAGCAAGACAACCCCATCTCAAAAAAAAAAAAAAAGAAAAAGAGAGCAAAAAGTCAAGATTGCAGTTTCCAGGGGAAGGCTGGAGGAGTGAGCAGTAGGATATGGAGGTCCCCAGACATGGAGCTAGAGAGGACAGCAAGAGGGCCCAGCTTGGATGCTACAGAGGTAAAGGTGTGGCCTTTGTCCTAAGGGCAATGGGGAGCCAGTGACTGTGGTGGTGTTAAGCAGGAGAGTGACACCACAGGTCACCTTCGAAGGCTCGTCACTCTGACTGCCCCTTAGAGGGTAGTTTGTGGAGTGTTTTAGTCCAGCAGCAGGGAGACCCGTTAGCAAGCTGCACAGGGATCCAGGACAAAGACGACAGATAGAAGGGACAGTCAGAATAGATACCAGGAAGGCCAGGAAGTTGGAGTCTCTGGGACCTGGTAACTGAATGCAACTGAATGATGCAGGGAGTGAGGGACAGGGAGGGAGTCAAAGATGCCTCAATAGCCATAAGTAAGTTTCCAAATGTACAGGTGACTTGCCGTGCACCTGAGACCTGGGAAGACAAAGAGGAGTAAAACCCACCGCCCATGTCCTCCAAAAACACAGAACCTAGCCAAAGAAACAAAAATCTCACAGAGAACAATTAAATCACCATCACAATAACATTTACTGCATGCTCACACTGTGCCAGATGGTTCTAAGCACTTCGGCCACATAAACTCATTTCATCTTCACAATAACCCTCTAAGGTTAGCACCTTTCTTATCCCATTTCACAGATGAGGAAACTGAGGGACAGGTCATTGGCCCAAGGCCTCACGTTTCATACAGGATGGAGTGGGGAGTCAAAGTCAGGAGTCAGGCTCCAGAGCCTATGCTCCTCAGGAATGCACAACCCCCAACCCACAATCCGTGAGGCTGACTGTGCACCCTGCTGCCCAGGGACATCACAGATCCTCCTTCCCTGCCTTTAGTAGCTTCTCCAGGGCAGAGACTGTGCCTCTCTCACCCACCCTGTCATCACAGGACTAGATGCATGGCAAGTGCTCAATCAACACTGAATGAAGGACTTGCCCCCTCAGAGCCTGGCGGGAGAGACAGACGGGAGGGATGTAGACACCGCTCACTGCTGGGAAGTGGCTTCCTTTCCAGAAAACCCCTCGAGAAGCCTCTAGAAAGGCCAGACGGAGAGAGAGGTTGCAGGTCTTGTACCCAGTCAAGCATCAGTTCACGCTTGAGCCAGTTCCCAGTCACCATTTCAGCAGCTGAGATAGTGTGAACCGCCATCCCAGCAGGACGCCGGGGGTCACCAGGCCTCAGGGCACCGCACCCTTCTCTGGGTCAGGTCTGGCCCAGGCATTCATCAGGTGCCAGATCCCTAGAACTCTCAGCTGTGAGAGCACTTAGGAAGTGTCCCTGCCCGGCCATTAATGCATTAGTGGCTGGACCCAGCCAGCCACACTGGTACCAGCACAGCAAGGGCAGAACCCTTTCATCTTTCTGTTTGTGGTTCAGCCATAACAAGTCCAGTTCCATGTGCTTGGGTCAGGTTCTGGTGCCCCTCAGCTAGAGAAGAGCAGTAGCTGGACCTTACCTAGAAGTAGGTCTCTGACACAGAGGCGGGAAACCGATGCGTTGGCTCCAGGTGAAGAGGGTGGTAATGAGGAAGGCAGGGTATTTGGTGAAGAGCGAGATCAGTCCAGGTGACACCTGTTAGTAGAAGCAAGGGGCCATCTCGCAAACAGTGTGGGATCGTGAACCAGAGCTCACAACCTGCCTCTGCCAATGATCAGGAATATCATGATCCCTAGAAGTCTCGGATTCCTCATCCGTAAAAAGGGCTAAGAAAGCAAGTGTGAGGGTGAACGGGGATAACGCAAGCACAGTACTGAGCCCAGGGCCTGGCACACAGCATTCCATCTTCATGTTAGCTGCACTCCTTGCTGGTGCCATGCTTTTTTGCTGTTGTTGTTAATAGGGATGTCTGAGAACTAGAGGGTTTGTCCCCATCACAAGAGAGGGGGATCCCCTGGTAAAAAGGGGAGCCAGCTCTCACAGTTGTTTCTAGCTCACCCAGGCCCTGACTTTGCCTCCCTCCTCAGCCTGGCCCTCCTCT